>NC_000005.10:81018897-81321928 GCF_000001405.40 Homo sapiens
GTTAAAGTGATTCTCATGCCTCAGCCTCCTGAGGAGCTGGGACTACAGGCGCCCACCACGCCCAGCTAATTTTTGTATTTTTGGTAGAGATAGGGTTTCGCCTTGTTGGCCAGGCTGGTCTCAAACTCCTGACCTGAAGTGATCCCCCCAACCTCGGCCTCCCAAAGTGCTGGTATTACAGGCTTAAGGCACTGCGCCTGGCGCATCTGCACATCTTGAAACACTTGGAATCTCTCTTCTGACTGGGATGGATGGTCATGGCTGCCCACAGGATGTCAGGGAAAAGAATACCCTGGACTTCAGAGGACCACTCAATAGCATTATTCAAATTTCTGGGGAGTAGGAAGGCTGGACCGCAAGGCAGGTGAGATGGAGAGCTTTGCCTCACTTTTGGGCCCTGATGGAATCTCAGAGGCACTGCCCTCCAGGCTGCTGTGTTACTGTTACTATGATGGAACAGTAGTCCCCTGTGCGTTGAGATAAGTCACGGAGCCAGGCATGTGTCCTTTGAAAGGCAGCCACTTCTTTATCCATCTAGCATCTGACTTGTGAGGTTAGGGGTCCCACAGCCTGAGAGGAGGTGGGAACCTCCCATCCTTCCCAGCAGGAGCCTCGATGGCTGCACAGAGAGGGCTGGAGTATCTGTGAGAGGCGAGGCTTTCATTCTCTTTATCTGAAACTGAAAAATGTAAAGAACGTGTGTAGTAATTTAAAACCCTGCATTACTGTCCAAATAGTAATATGTGTGGAGCAGCATTTTTTTTAGAAATTATTTTTCTGCTGTATGCTTTTAAAGAAAACCAAAAATGTTTTTTAATCTTAATTTAAACATCACTGATTTGACCAGTATCATTTACTATCTATAGATATATGGGCAATATTAGAAGAACCTGCACACAGTTTTGAAAATTGAATAAATATCTTTATTGCTGATTATAAAGTGATACACGTTTGTTATAAATGATTCAAATGATACAGAAATGTGGAAAGGGGAAGTGGCCTGGCAATACCATTCTCTGGAAATTGCCACTGTTAGCTATAAGTCTGTTGCAAAGCTGCAGAAGCTTAAGGACCAGAGTTTTAAGTGAGCTTGTGTTCTCATATTGGGTTACATTTGTTCTCTGTAAAAACACATAGCATGAACAGCAGAAAACACATTATAATAAAAACCAGAAGACTGAAAATGAAAATTCACACAAAGCTACAATTGATGCCAATAAGACCCAGACCTTTGCATTTCCTAGAGGTATTGATTTTGTTGTCTTTCTGGCATGTTATGGTTTTTGTAGATAAGAGGAAGAGTCTTTCGTGAACCTGCCAACCTACAGTATCTGTTCTTACTGTTCTACTAAGGATTTGTGAGATCATTGTAATGTTCTGGTTTTCCATGGCTTATGATAAAAAGATATATTGGGAGGCTTAAGGGGGTCTTTTTTTTCTTTGAGTAATTTACCTGTAATCTTTTAGAAATCTGTGTATAAATCCCTTCTCTGGATGACTACCTGCATGTGACTGTGTAGTCATCATCGTGTATGACTGCGTGAAACACATTTATTAGGTTCATTACATCTCATGTTTCCTTATTGATGATCATTTATTCACCCAAATATTATTAAGGGCTTTCTGTGTGCCTGGCAAAGTGCTAGGATTGAGGGTACCACAGGACAGGGCTGGCTGGGAAGAGAGACACATTAGTGGACAGCTCTCAGCCAGTGTGAGAAAAGAAGGTGCAGAGGAGAGAGGGACTCCTTTTTGCCAGAAGGCTCCAGGGGAGGATTCTCTTGGAGTCCTGGTGTTACATTTCAGTGACATGAGTCAGAAAGTCCAGCAAGAATCTGTAGGTGCGGAATGGCCCAGGGATGAAGGAAAAATCAAAATATGTCAAGACAAAGAGATACACTAATAGAGAAGGGAGTTGACATTTGTTAAGTGTCTACTGGGTGCCAGGCACTGGATGTCAGCTGCACTCAGTCCTACGAGGTACTTAGCATTGTCCTCATTTTGCCCATGAGGAAACTCAGGTTCCAAAAGATGAAGTAACTTGCTCCAGGTCTCATAACTTGAGTTACCACCTGGAGGCATCAGGATTCACATACCGATGTGAACGCACCACAGATTACGCTGTCACAGCACAGGCTGAGGAGAGAGCTTGGCTTCTTTGGGGAGTGATATGTTGCTGGGGCTGGAGTATGGTGTGCATTGGAAGAAACTGGCAGAAATGAAAACATGGAGAATGGGGCCAGTTTGTGAAGGGCGCTTGCAGCCTATGTAAGATTTGCTATTAGAGTTTGAGAATACCAGCAAAAGTTTGTAAGCAGATCTGACAGCTCAGATTTATCTTTTAGAAAGAAAACCCTGGCTGCCTTGTTTGGGATGGAAGGATTTGAGAAAATTGGAGGAGGGTCACAGATTTATCCCCACTATGCTTAGATATACAAATAAAATATTTTTCTAAATTTCTCCTTAAGACCTCCTCCCCCACTGAATAAGTAGAGAAAAATGAACCTGCATTTAGTGGAGAGTAATCAACTCAGTTAGATGTTGAAATAGTAAACTCTAATAATATAAAAGGCCCCTTTTAGTAATTCACGTGTCCTCCTGTGCCTCACTAAAATAGTGCCATAGTAAAAGAGGGCTCACATGTTCTTGAGATTGTGCGAGCGTGTGTGTGTGTGTGTGTGTGTCTATCAGAGGGTGAGGCAGGGATCTTGCTGGTGCTGACTGGGAGCTGGCATTGCTCTGCTCAGCCTTGGCCATTTTGTTAATATCTGTTGCTGAAGTGTGTGGCTGCTGTAATATGTGGTTCTATAACCACAATCCGTTCATTTGCCCAATGCACAGTGAGTCAGTGTTCCAGGGCACTGGGATATAGCAGAGAAGGAGTTTAATAATCATAGGGTGGCCAATGAGGAGATGGGAAGAAACCCCAAATTCACCTCCCTGAAAGGTTTGGGGATAGGGTTTTTAAAGGGTCTGGACAGGGCTGAAGTATGGGGATCACTGATTGGTCAAGAAGTGAGAGAAGTCATGGGACAGGGAGGTGAAAAAATTGCATTCTTGTGCTGAGTCAGTTCCTTGGTGGGGGTCTTCAGACCGGTTGGTGTCAGCCATTCCACTGGAATTCAGAATCTGAAAAACACCTTAAACGATTCTTGAGCAAAAAGATCTTATGATTGGATCATCAGAGATTCAAAGTATAGGAACGATGGGGGAGTGGTAGCAGATGGTCAGCATGCTACGTGACTCTCCCTCAGTAGCTGCAGGAGAGTGGGTTGAAGTGCACCAGTGCACAGGTCAGTGACTAACTATGATTCTGCCCAAAGCAGTGAATTCTCTCCCAGGTCTCTCTTGCTGGGGCTTCATGACTCCAGGCCATGAGTTCTGATAGTGCACTTCCCTCCGCAGTCATCCACAGGATAGTTGGGAGCGTCCATCCCACGGAGATGCTCAGGGAGGCTCTGGATAGACCCTTTCTTTACCTAACTGCTGGGACACCAATCTTACTGATTTACAGGATGTGGTCCCCACCTCTAGGGTCACCACCCATATTGTCATGAGGCTTGGGGTGGAGCAAGAGGACATTGTGTGAGAGGATGTCCTCCAGAGCCCCTGAGGGAAGTGGCACTGAAGCTCTTTGGCATCAGCTTTGTCATCAGTGCCTTAAGCTCCTCATTCTTCTCTAGGAATTTATCCAAGTGGGGAGAAGCTGTACCACGTGTGTCCCTGCCTCCCTCTGTTTTCTCCACGTACCTCGGACCTCTCCTTCTTGCCACACTCCTCCTTGTGCTCCCAACTCACTGGGACTTCCCTTAGTTCATGCCGTCCTCCTCCCTGGGAGAGGGGGGCACTAGCTTCGACCTTTGGGCTGTAATGGCAGCTGGGATACAAGGAGAGAAAGAGACCTGCTATCAGACAGAGCAGCATAGATTGGAAAGTGTTTCACCGCTGTGACATCTGCTATCCCAGTGACAAAGGGTTGCGTCAGTGGGTCTAGTTCTAGGTGAGGGCTAATAAATTCCAGAAAGAGTCCTAGGACAGGGCACTGGTGAAACCAAATGGGCAAGGGCTGATAAGGGGGTAGAAATTGGAGATAACTTTGAGGTTCCTAGGTGGAGCAGCTGTTGAGTCCAGATGCACTTTTCTTGAGAGAAAAGACAAGAGAAGGAATAGTTGTGAGTGCGGAGGGTAGAGGGTGGGAGGGAGGGAAGGAAGGTAACAAGTACATTCCATTTTGGATGTAATAGGAATGCTGTTTAGTGTAGAAATGTAGGGCTGGTGCCTGGGAGAGAATCTGCCTGGAGAAATAGATTTGGAAACTGATGAGAATATCCAAGGAGAAAAAAGAAGAGGAACTTATTGTCATTGTAGATATTGAATTTAAAGACACAAACAAGGTCATAACTCTGTTTTAATTATTTCTTTCACTTTGTGATGACCCAGTACTTGGTAATGTCTGCTCCAGTTCCTGTATTAGGACAGGTGAAAGGTTACAGAATACCATCCAGGGTGTCTGCTGCTATTTTCCATCCTCTAGGGGACCTGTGAAGCCCCAGATCTGAGACAGATCTGTGATGCACTGAGTTCTTATCAGAGTGAGACTAGACATACAAGACTCTTTGATGAGCGGCTACAAATAATGATTTGCAGGCACATGCAGAGGCAGTGTTTGATTTTTTTGTGATTTAGCTGAATTTGTTTAACTCCTAAAAGTGTAACATGTAGTTATTGTAACTCTTTCCATCATTGTTATGCCTCAGACACGCTTTAACCTTTGGATGTACTCTGCTAATGTAATTGCCTTGCTGTCTTTTAAAGGCTGCTTTTAATTGGGTTCCCAAGCAGCAGCTGCTGTTAAGGTGCAGGCTGCAGCCTTTGGATACATTGGGCTAGTTCATTAAGTGTTTCCTCTCCCCATACTGGGCATTTGGGTTTGGATGGCAGCCAGCAGTTACTGAAATGCCATCAGTTATAAGATTGCCCTTTAAGCCACTGATTTGTTATTGTATTGAGTTTTGACTCTTTTCCTCTCAAATTTAAGTGGAGATTTATTGAATATAATGTTAACCTCAATACTTCCCATTCCCAGTTGTCTTTTCGTAAGCGTTATTTTCCCCTAGTTTATAAGTCTTCAGTCCTCTGCCTGAACTTGAGAGTTAAGAACTAAAGACAGCTGTCATTTATGGGGCTCATGACTGTCTGGGAAGCGTGGTGGATTATCTCATAGGCATGGCCCAGAGTCCTCAGTCACTGATGACATGCACAGGTAAACTGAGAGGTCTCTTAGCTAATTTTTCCTTTTTGGTAAAATTCTGCTGAAAATTTCCCTCTCCAGGACTAGAGGTATTCATATAATTTTTTTTTTTTTTTTTTTTTTTTTTTGAGACAGAAGTTTGCTTTTGTTGCCCAGCCTGGAATGCAGTGGTGTGATCTCGGCTCACTGCAACCTCCGTCTCCCAGGTTCAAGCAATTATCCTGCCTCAGCCTCCCGAGTAGCTGGGATTACAGCCACCCACCACCACGCCAGGCTAATTTTTGTATTTTTAGTAGAGATGGGGTTTCACTATGTTGGCCAGGCTGGTCTTGAACTCCTGACCTCAGGTGACCCACCCACCTCAGCCTCCCGATGTGCTGGGATTACAGGCGTGAGCCACAATGCCTGGCCTCATATGATTATTGACCTGAGGATTTTTACTTCATTTGAAGAAAATGACTACATAACTGTCATACGGAATAAGCAGGACTGTGGTAGGGGGAGGTGGGACAACTGGAAGAACTCTGTTTTGGTTTTTGGTTTTCTTTTTCAGAGCGGCTCTGTGGGGCTGGTTCTTTTCATGCTCCAGGATGAAGTCTTGGGCAGGCCCAGTGTATTTTCTGTTCACTGTAATACAATAAAAAGTTCTCTGGTCACATTTTCCTTCCAGACAGTCTCAGTTTGGTGATTAATATGTCCAGCCTCAGGCAGACGAATTTAAAGCGAAAGCTTCTCCCATCCCATCCCTGGCTGGAACTTGCTGCAGGGAAGGCCGATGCCGGCTGCTGGGTCTCCTCACCAGCTTCCTGGGCTGCTCTGACTTCTCCAAGTTGGGACCCATCCAGCAGGGGTTTCCTCTGTGTGTGGTCTGAGTTTAAAGCTCAGTCTTTGGGGATGCTCCCCTTTCAAGAAGCAGGACATGCATCTCCTCTGCCCAGTCTCCTATGATCCCCCATCCCATCTCCTTGGCACTGGGTGGGATTCCTGCAGCCTCTCTGTGCTGCAGCTTCTTGCCCTGCAAGCTGCCCTTTTCGCTGTCCTTGCAGCCGGCTCTAAGACAAGCCCAGCCTGGCTTTCTCAGGTGTGGCCAACTTCTGGCCCAAAGGAAACACTCCCTTTCTACTTGCCGTTGGTGGGTGTATTACTTCCCACATGCTCCCAGACATTAGCCCTTCCGATTCTTGCACAGGCCAGACATCAACTTCGGAGGACACAGGAATGACCCTTAGCAAGCTCGTTGGAGCTCCTCACACTAGCTTGAGGCCGAGAGAACACCCTTCCCCCTTCCCCAGGGTGTGTGTGTTGGGGCACAGGTGGTGGAAGTGGGGGACCTAGTGCACACAGTTCTCCGTGAAGAAATTTATGATCTCCAAGAGTTTGGCCGTTTCAAATCTAACTCTTTTATGGCCTTGAGTGAGTGAAAGTCAAAACCATTTTTAGCCACCTCCTTTCCAAGTCCAACATGGTGGTTGAGTACCTCACCTTGACACATGGCCATTGGTTTCTGTTTGTTGTCCGGAGGCAGCAGCTGAAACTGAAACACAAAGTCCCATTTTAATATTTGATTGCCTTTGGCTACATTGCCCGTTATATATAGTATGATTCTTAGAGACAAAATATGGACTGCTGCTGTCACTGTAGTTGGGGGCCACTGGAGGGAAAGGATCTCCAAAGTCTTTTGCTACCTCAGATTAGTTAGAAATGGTGATATTTTCCCCCCACCAAGCTAGTTTACCTATTTGGTAACCTGTTTGTATGTTTTATTTTTTTGCACGATTAAACAAACTCCCTCCCTCCCCACACGGCCCTTTCGCCCTCCTTCCTTCCCTCTTCCCTCCCTCCCTCCCTTCCTTCCTTTCTTCCTTCCCTCCTTCCTTCCATCCTTCCCTCCTTCCTTCCATCCTTCCCTTCTTCTCCTTCCTCTCTCCCTCCCTTCCTTCCTCCCTTCCTCTGTTCCTTCCTCTCCTTCCTCTCTTTCCCTCCCTTTCTCCCTTCCATCCTTCCTCCCTCCCTCTCTTCCTCCCTTCCTCCCTTCCTTCCTTTTTCCTTCCTTTCTTCTTCCTCCTATCTTCCTTTTTTTCTATTCTTCCTTTCTGTCTCCCCTTCTCTTTTTTTTTCTTCCTCTCAGGCCTCTGTTCTTTCTCCTGGCCAGTGAAGGAGACTTTCTTTCTATCTTCTCTACTTAAGCTCCCTCAGTGGTCTCCCTAGGGCCAAGACTCTGCAATGTGTCCCCCAAGGAGCCTTTTTGCCTCTTCATCCAACATTTGCATAGGAGATGCTCCCCTCAGTCCTGTCTGGGATTTACATATGTACCCACACTGGAACTCTTGGCCCACATCCTGGAACCCATGACACCAATGCCTTCACTGCACTCTCAACACTCCCAATGCACGTACAAACAGAAAAGAAATAAGTAGGTAGAAGGCAGAATAGTGAATGGGAGAGAGAATGCTTGGGAAATGGTAAAGTAACTGTTGGATAAGCCTGCAATTCCAGTCAACTTCATTAATGTAGCTAATCTAAGCAGGAAATCCAGGTAAATTAACTAAAAATTATGACTAATGAAATGGTTTGAAAAAGCTGCGTATGTATTTTTAAGGGCGAAAAAAAAAGCAGGCAACTTTTTGGAGGCAGAGGACAGGTTATATTAACTTTTTTATACTTTGAAGTCCTAATACAATGTTTTATCAGTAGTTGCAGGAGCCCAATAAACAATTATTTAATAAAAGACAGGTCAAAGTCAACCAGCTTGTTGAAGCTGAAACATTTTGGGGAAAGATTTCGTGAATAGATAAGAAT
The DNA here is from genome assembly GCF_000001405.40 of Homo sapiens. NCBI lineage: Eukaryota > Metazoa > Chordata > Mammalia > Primates > Hominidae > Homo > Homo sapiens. Next base: position 81,026,948 of record NC_000005.10, read on the forward strand.
GAGTGGAATTGAGTAAATCCAAGAATTTGCACATAGGTGTTTTTCCCCCAGTTTCCTGCTTCTTATTTTTTCCCCATTTTTAAAAGTTGAGATATAAATCATATCCCATAAAATTCACCATTTTAAAGTATACAATCCAGTGGTTTTCAGTATATTAGCCAGCTTGTGAAACCATCACCACCGTCTATTTCCAGAATGCTTTCATCATTCAAAAAAGAAAACACAGTGATGGTGGTTGCATGACTTTGTACATTTGTTAAAACCCATAGAACCCTAATAAACTATGGGCTTTAGTTAATAATTATGCATCAATATTTGTTCATCAACTGTAACAAACATGTCACATATATGCAAAATGTTAATAATGGGAAAAACTGTGTGTGGGGGATAGAGCATATGGGAGCTTCCTGTACTTTCTGTTCAGTTTTTCTGTAAACCAAATACTGTTCTAGAATGTCTGTCAATTAAAAAATAGTGATAAAAAAACTCCTCACCCATTAGCAGTCACTCTGCTCTGCCCATTCCCCTCGCTCCTGGCAACCACTTACCTGTGTTTTGTCTCTTGCATGAGTTCTTTGAAGAAGCATTTAAGCCATTTGTTTTGGTAGTTACAGTTAAGAGATTGCCGAGTGTTTCTACATTAAAATGTCACATCCTTATAACTCCCATCTGCCCTTGCTCAAAACATTAGTGAAGGATGAAATATGCTTTGAAAAATTAAAATGCCATAGCTTTTCATAAAAATAGGAGAAAAATGAAAATCTTGTCAGTCTAAAAGTGTAGTAAAAACATTTCTGCTATGCGAAACCTGAAGTTCCAGGTCTGTAAACTCTGCAGCAGGCAGAGTCAGCTGCGAGTTTGAAACTATGGGACAGAATCACTGAGAAGCATTCTAAGAATGGCTTGGGATCACAGTCACACTCAGAGAACTTGAACTGGGAACTATGTTGAGGTCGTCCTGGAGCAACATGCATGTGGCAGCTTATCTGTAGTGGTTGAGAAATCAGTGAAAATAATAAAGAGATATACCTGTGTGGAGAGGCTCAATGACTATATCGGCAATATCTGCAACATCACCATGGAGTGGGGGTGGGGAGTTGGAATTTGATCTGCCAGTCAAAGAGCTGGTTCTGGTCTGGGATTCTTGAGGGTCCAGATAAATATACAGAATTGGAGGGAAATCTTCCCACTCTAGACGAGCCTGAAAACTGAGATTCTAAGACACCAGATTACCAGAAAGACATCAGAAATGCAAACAATTAGGAAATAAATTTTTCTCAATGAAATGCACATCATAAATTTTAATTTGCATTTAAAATGCAAATCATAAATTTTAATTTGCATTTAAAGTGCAAATCATAAATTTTAATTTGCATTTAAAGTGCAAATCATAAATTTTAATTTGCATTTCACTGAGAAAAATTTATTTCCTAATTGTTTGTATTTCTGATGTCTTTCTGGTAATCTGGTGTTTTAGAATCTCAGTTTTCAGGCTCATCTAGAGTGGGAAGATTTCCCTCCAATTCTATATATCTATCTGGCCCCTCAAGATGAGATATAATTTAAAAAGTACATTTGGGACTCATAAAGATATGGAAATAGCATCCATGAAAAGGACAAGAAATTATAAAACAAAAACAGGTAGCTGTGAATCAAGGACAGGTAGATATGAAAATGATTCTACCAGAAGCCATGAAAATAAAAAATTTGCTATTAAAATAAAAATAACTTGGGAGGTTCCAAGATGGCCGAATAGGAACAGCTGCAGTCTACAGCTCCCAGGGTGAGCGACGCAGAAGACAGGTGATTTCTGCATTTCCAACTGAGGTACCAGGTTCATCTCACTGGGGCTTGTCAGACAGTGGGTGCAGCCCATGGAGCATGAGCAGAAGCAGGGCAGGGCATCACCTCACCCGGGAAGTGCAAGGGGTCGGGGAATTCCCTTTCCTAGCCAAGGGAAGCCCTGCCAGATGGTACCTGGAAAATTGGGACACTCCCAACCTAACACTGCGCTTTTCCAATGGTCTTAGCAAACAGCACACCAGGAGATTATATCCCACGCCTGGCTCGGAGGGTCCCATGCCCACGGAGCCTCGCTCACTGCTAGCACAGCAGCCTGAGATTGGACTGCAAGGCAGCAGTGAGGCTGGGGTAGGGGTGTCTGCCATTGCTGAGGCTTGAGTAGGTAAACAAAGTAGCTGGGAAGCTCTAACTGGGTGGAGCCCACCGCAGCCCAAGGAGGCCTGTCTGCCTCTGTAGACTCCACCTCTGAGGGCAGGGCATAGCTGAACAAAAGGCAGCAGAAACTTCTGCAGACTTAAACATCCCTGTCTGACAGCTTTGAAGAGAGTAGTGGTTCTCCCAGCACACAGGTTGAGATCTGAGACAGACAGACTGCCTCCTCAAGTGGGTCCCTGACCCCCGAGTAGCCCAATTGGGAGACATCTCCCAGTAGGGGCTGACTGACACCTCATATGGCCGGGTGCCCCTCTGAGATGAAGCTTCCACAGGAAGGATCAGGCAGCAACATTTACCGTTCTGCAATATTTGCTGTTCTGCAGCCTCCGCTGGTGATACACAGGCAAACAGGGTCTGGAGTGAACCTCCAGCAAACTCCAACATACCTGCAGCTGAGGGTCCTGACTGTTAGAAGGAAAACTAACAAACAGAAAGGACACCCACACCAAAACCCCATCTGCACGTCACCATCATCAAAGACCAAAGGTAGATAAAACCACAAAGATGGGGAGAAACAAGAGCAGAAAAGCTGAAAATTATAAAAATCAGAGCACTTCTCCTCCAAAGGAATGCAGCTCCTTGCCAGCAATGGAGCAAAGCTGGACAGAGAATGACTTTGATGAGTTGAGAGAAGAAGGCTTCAGACGACTGGTAATAACAAACTTCTCCGAGCTAAAGGAGGATGTTTGAACCCAACACAAAGAAGCTAAAAACCTTGAAAAAAGATTAGATGAATGGCTAACTAGAATAAACAATGTAGAGAAGACCTTAAATGACCTGATGGAGCTGAAAACCATGGCACGAGAACTATGTGAGGAATGCACAGGCTTCAGTAGCCAATTCGATCAAGTGGAAGAAAGGGTATCAGTGATTGAAGATCAAATAAATGAAATGAAGTGAGAAGAGAAGTTTAGAGAAAAAAGAGTAAAAAGAAACAAACAAAGCCTTCAAGAAATATGGGACTATGTGAAACAAAATCTACGTCTGATTGGTGTACCTGAAAGTGATGGGGAGAATGGAACCAAGTTGGAAAACACTCTTCAGGGTATTATCCAGGAGAACTTCCCCAATCTAGCAAGGCAGGCCAACATTCAAATTCAGGAAATACAGAGAGTGCCACAAAGATACTCCTCGAGAAGAGCAACTCCAAGACACATAATTACCAGATGCACCAAAGTTGAAATGAAGGAAAAAATATTGAGGGCAGCCAGGGAGTAAGGTCAGGTTACCCACAAAGGGAAGCCCATCAGATTAACAGCAGATCTCTTGGCAGAAATTCCACAAGCCAGAGGACAGTGGGAGCCATTATTCAACATTCTTAAAGAAAAGAATTTTCAACCCAGAATTTCATATCCAGCCAAACTAAGCTTCATAACTGAAGGAGAAATAAAATCCTTTGCAGATAAGCAAATGCTGAGAGATTTTGTCACCACCAGACCTGCCTTACAAGAGCTCCTGAAGGAAGCACTAAACATGGAAAGGAACAGCCAGTACCAGCCACTGCAAAAACAGGCCAAATTGTAAAGACCATCAATGCCAGGAAGAAACCGCATCAACTAAGGAGCAAAATAACCAGCTAACATCATAATGACAGGATCAGATTCACACATAACAATATTCACCTTAAATGTAAATGGGCTAAATGCTCCAATTAAAAGACACAGACTGGCAAATGGATAAAGAGTCAAGACCCATCAGTGTGCTGTATTCAGGAGACCCATCTCACGTGCAGAGACACACATTGGCTCAAAATAAAGGGATGGAGGAAGATCTACCAAGAAAATGGAAAACAAAAAAAGGCAGGGGTTGCAATCCTAGTCTCTGATAAAACAGACTTTAAATCAACAAAGATCAAAAGAGACAAAGAAGGCCATTACATAATGGTAAAGGGATCAATTCAACAAGAGGAGCTAACTATCCTAAATATATATGCACCCAATCCAGGAGCACCCAGATTCATAAAGCAACTCCTTAGAGACCTACAAAGAGACTTAGACTCCCACACAATAATAATGGGAGACTTTAACACCCCAATGTCAACATTAAACAGATCAACGAGACAGAAAGTTAACAAGGATATCCAGGAATTGAACTCAGCTCTGCACCAAGCAGACCTAATAGACATCTACAGAACTCTCCACCCCAAATCAACAGAATATACATTCTTCTCAGCACCACTTAACACATATTCCAAAATTGACACATAATTGGAAGTAAAACACTTCTCAGCAAATGTAAAAGAAGAGAAATTATAACAAACTGTCTCTCAGACCACAGTGCACTCAAACAAGAACTCAGGATTAAGAAACTCACTCAAAACCGCTCAACTACATGGAAACTGAACAACCTGCTCCTGAATGACTACTGGGTACATAACGAAATGAAGGCAGAAATAAAGATGTTCTTTGAAACCAATGAGAACAAAGACACCACATACCCAAATCTCTGGGACACATTTAAAGCAGTGTGTATAGGAAAATTTATAGCACTAAATGCCCACAAGAGAAAGCAGGAAAGATCTAAAATTGACACCCTAACATCACAATTAAAAGAACTAGAGAAGCAAGAGCAAACACATTGAAAAGCCAGCAGAAGGCAAAAAATAACTAAGATCAGAGCAGAACTGAAGGAGATAGAGACATAAAATACCCTTCAAAAAATCAATGAATCCAGGAGCTGGTTTTTTGAAAAGATCAACAAAATTGATAGACCGCTAGCAAGACTAATAAAGAAGAAAAGAGAGAAGAATCAAATAGACACAATAAAAAATGATAAAGGGGATATCACCACCGATCCCACAGAAATACACACTACCACCAGAGAATACTATAAACACCTCTATGCAAATAAACTAGAAAATGTAGAAGAAATGGATAAATTCCTGGACACATACACCCTCCCAAGATTAAACCAGGAGAAGTGGAATCCCTGAATAGACCAATAACAGGCTCTGAAATTGAGGCAATAATTAATAGCCTACCAACCAAAAAAAGTCCAGGACCAGACAGATTCACAGCCGAATTCTACCAGAGGTACAAAGAGGAGATGGTACCATTTCTGAAACTATTCCAATCAACAGAAAAAGAGGGAATCCTCCCTAACTCATTTTATGAGGCTAGCATCATCTTGATACCAAAGCCTGGCAGAGACACAACAAAAAAAGAGAATTTTAGACCAATATCCCTGATGAACATCGATGTAAAAATCCTCAATAAAATACTGGCAAACCAAATTCAGCAGCACATCAAAAAGCTTATCCACCACAATCAAGTTGGCTTCATCCCTGGGATGCAAGGCTGGTTCAATATATGCAAATCAATAAACGTAATCCAGCATATAAACAGAACCAAAGACAAAAACCACATGATTATCTCAATAGATGCAGAAAAGGCCTTTGACAAAATTCAACAGCTCTTCATGCTAAAAACTCTCAATAAACGAGGTATTGATGGGACGTATCTCAAAATAATAAGAGCTATTTATGACAAACCCACAGCCAATATCACACTGAATGGGCAAAACCTGGAAGCATTCCCTTTGAAAACTGGCACAAGACAGGGATGCCCTCTCTCACCACTCCTATTCAACATAGTGTTGGAAGTTCTGGCCAGGGCAATCAGGCAGGAGAAAGAAATAAAGGGTATTCAATTAGGAAAAGAGGAAGTCAAATTGTCCCTGTTTGCAGATGACATGATTGTATATTTAGAAAACCCCATCATCTCAGCTCAAAATCTCCTTAAGCTGATAAGCAACATCAGCAAAGTCTCAGGATACAAAATCAATGTGCAAAAATCACAAGCATTCCTATACACCAATAACAGGCAAACAGAGAGCCAAATCATCAGTGAACTCCCATTCACAATTGCTTCAAAGAGAATAAAATACCTAGGAATCCAACTTACAAGGGATGTGAAGGACCTCTTCAAGGAGAACTACAAACCACTGCTCAACGAAATAAAAGAGGACACAAACAAATGGAAGAACATTCCATGCTCATGGATAGGAAGAATGAATATCATGAAAATGGCCATACTGCCCAAGGTAATTTATACATTCAATGCCATCCCCATCAAGCTACCAATGACTTTCTTCACAGAATTGGAAAAAACTACTTTCAAGTTCATATGGAAGCAAAAAAGAGCCTGCATTGCCAAGACAATCCTAAGCCAAAAGAACAAAGCTGGAGGCATCACGCTACCTGACTTCAAACTATACTACAAGGCTACAGTCACCAAAACAGCATGGTACTGGTACCAAAACAGAGATATAGACCAATGGAACAGAACGGAGCTCTCAGAAATAATACCCCACATCTACAACCATCTGATCTTTGACAAACCTGACAAAAACAAGAAATGGGGAAAGGATTCCCTATTTAATAAATGGTGCTGGGAAAACTGGCTAGCCACATGTGGAAAGCTGAAACTGGATCCCTTCCTTACACCTTATACAAAAATTAATTCAAGATGGATTAAAGACTTAAATGTTAGACCTAAAACCATAAAAACCCTAGAAGAAAACCTAGGCAGTACCATTCAGGACATAGGCATGGGCAAGGATTTCATGTCTAAAACACCAAAAGCAATGGCAACAAAAGCCAAAATTGACAAATGGGATCCAATTAAACTAAAGAACTTCTGCACAGCAAAAGTAACTACCATCAGAGCGAACAGGCAACCTACAGAATGGGAGAAAATTTTTACAATCTACCCATCTGACAAATGGCTAATATCCAGAATCTACAAGGAACTTAAACAAATTCACAAGAAAAAATCAAACAACCCCATCAACAAGTGGGTGAAGGATATGAACAGACACTTCTCAAAAGAAGACATTTATGCAGCCAACAGACACATGAAAAAATGCTCATCATCACTGGCCAACAGAGAAATGCAAATCAAAACCACAATGAGATACCATCTCACACCAGTTAGAATGGCGATCATTAAAAAGTCAGGATACAGACACTTCTCAAAAGAAGACATTTATGCAGCCAAAAAACACATGAAAAAATGCTCACCATCACTGGCCATCAGAGAAATGCAAATCAAAACCACAATGAGATATCATCTTACACCAGTTAGAATGGCAATCATTAAAAAGACAGGAAACAACAGGTGCTGGAGAGGATGTGGAGAAATAGGAACACTTTTACACTGTTGGTGGGACGGTAAACTAGTTCAACCATTGTGGAAGACAGTGTGGCGATTCCTCAGGGATCTAGAACTAGAAATACCATTTGACCCAGCCATCCCATTACTGGGTATATACCCAAAGGACTATAAATCATGCTGCTATAAAGACACATGCACACGTATGTTTATTGCGGAACTATTCACAATAGCAAAGACTTGGAACCAACCCAAATGTCCAAGAATGATAGACTGGATTAAGAAAATGTGGCACATATACACCATGGAATACTATGCAGCCATAAAAAATGATGAGTTCATGTCCTTTGTAGGGACATGGATGAAATTGGAAATCATCATTCTCAGTAAACTATCGCAAGAACAAAAAACCAAACACCGCATATTCTCACTCATAGGTGGAAATTGAACAATGAGAACATATGGACACAGGAAGGGGAACATCACACTCTGGGGACTGTTGTGGGGTGGGAGGGGGGTAGGGATAGCATTGGGAGATATACCTAATGCTAGATGACAAGTTAGTGGGTGCAGTGCACCAGCATGGCACATGTATACATATGTAACAAACCTGCACATTGTGCACATGTACCCTAAAACTTAAAGTATAATAAAAATAAAAAAAAAGTCAGGAAACAACAGGTGCTGGAGAGGATGTGGAGAAATAGAAACACTTTTACACTGTTGGTGGGACTGTAAACTAGTTCAACTATTGTGGTGATTCCTCAAGGATCTAGAACTAGAAATACCATTTGACCCAGCCATCCCATTACTGTGTATATACCCAAAGGATTATAAATCATGCTGCTATAAAGACACAAGCACACGTATGTTTATTGCAGCACTCTCCACAATAGCAAAGACTTGGAACCAACCCAAATGTCCATCAATGATAGACTGGATTAAGAAAATGTGGCACATATATACCATGGAATACTATGCAGCCATAAAAAAGGATGAGTTCATGTCCTTTGCAGGGACATGGATGAAGCTGGAAACCATTATTCTGTGCATACTATCACAAGGACAGAAAATCAAACACCACGTGTTCTCACTCATAGGTGGGAATTGAACGATGAGAACACTTGGACATAGGGTGGGGAGCATTACACACCAGGGCCTGTCGTGGGGTGGGGCGAGTGGGGAGGGATAGCATTAGGAGATATACCTAATGTAAATGACAAGTTAATGGGTGCAGCACACCAACATGGCACATGTATACATATGTAACAAACCTGCATGTTGTGCACATGTATCCTAGAACTTAAAGTATAATTAAAACAAAATTAAAAAAAAAACAACTTAATAGACTGGCTAAGTTTATGCTAGATACAGCTGAATAGAGAATTGGTGAATTAGAAGAAAGTCTTAGATAATTCAATACAGTGAACAGAGAGATAAAGAAATGGAAAATACGAATGTAAAGGTGTTGTTAAGGCATACAGACAGTGGATTGAAAGATTCAAACATACATCCTATGGGAGTTACAGAAAGAGAGAATAGGGGGCATGGCAAATTAGTAATATTTGAAGAGATTGTGGCTGAGAACTCAAGCACTGAATTCAAGAAGCTAGAACCGCAGAACAAATATCCAAATAACAGATGTAAAAAGGAATATGGAGAAGAAATTAATAACACAGAAAAACAACAACAATAATCAAGAAGTCCTACTTATTTCAGAAGACATTTTTAGAATTACCATTTTTTAAAAAAGGCACAAATAACATTAAACATGGAGAAAATGTACCAACAAATGTTATAAAGAAAATAATTTGAAAACTTAGATGAAAAGGATAATTTAGAGGCAAATGTTTTTCATTTTGGTCTTTTTTCTTTTCCTGGTACTTACCTTCATATTTTAAAATAATATGCTTATAGAGGTATTTCTTGGGTTATGAATTTTAAATATTTCCTGGTGAATCGTTATAGTCATTGCAGATTTAGCTCTATTTTCCTCCTGCCATCTTCTTACCTTCTGCCTCCCACTCTCCTGTTCTGTATATATAATTATATCAATAATTTTGGTAAAATCAGTAATTTTGATTAACACTATGATGGAAATATTGTTATTAATTCTTATTAACACTATCATTGGAAATATTGTTTACTGCATAGCCATATAATATACACTATTTTTACTTTTACTTTTCTAGATAAGTTTATGTTTTCTTCCTGGAATTAATAATTGCCACCCCCCACATCCAATTTGCTTAGTTTTCTATTTGTATGTCCTTATTTTTTGGTAAATATTTAAATATGTCTGTGCCACTCTTAACTATAATTTTTTCACCAAATACTTAAGGACATTGTATACCTATTCCAGATATTTTATCAATTTTTTTTTAATCCCTAGTGGCTTCCTTTCTAGATACTCCCATCTTGTCCAAATTGAGCTGATTTCTGTCTGGATCTTCTGTACAGCTGTCATTCAGAGATTTTCCTATGTTACATTCCTGTGTTGGAACCATAGTTTCCTGACCCTCTGTATTTCTATTTCTTAGTTAATCCCTTTATTTGCAAAAGAATACATACAAGGACTTCCTTAGGAAGGGATTTGTATTAGTTCGTTCTCATGCTGCTAATAAAGACATACCTGAGACTGGGTAATTTACAAAGAAAGGAGATTTAATGGACTCACAGTTCCATGTGTCTGGGGTAGCCTCACAATCATGGCAGAAGATGAAGGAAGAGCAAAGGGATGTCTTACATAGCAGTCACAGAAGAGAGAGCTTGTGCAAGGCAACTCCCATTTACAAAACTATCAGATCTCATGAGATTTATTCACTATCATGAGAACAGTATGGGAGAAGCCACCCCCATGATTCAATTATCTCTCACCAGGTCCACACAACACATGAGAATTATGGGAGCTTACAGTTCAAGATGAGATTTGGGTGGGGACACAGCCAAACCATATCAGGATTCTACAAGGAATATTTTTCAAACTGTTAAAAAATATGTATTCTGCCCTAATACTTGATTGGTAGTTTAGTTGAATATAGAATTCTATGTTGAATATATTTTTTCCTCATGATATTAAAGGTGTTGCTCTACTTTCTTCCGGCAACTTCAATGCTATCCTAATTTCACATCCTTTTTATGTGGCTTCTTTATTTTCTGTCTCTCTCTGGAAGATTGTAGGATCCTCTTTTTGTCAGTCCTCTTCTGAAATTTCATGATGATGTCCCTTTGTGTGGATCTTTAGTTATTTGTTTTAAATTTATTGCACAATGTTAAGATACAAATATAAAGAAAGTTTAATATTTGTGTACTTTCACTCAACCTGGGATATAAAAAGATCAATACAAAATTGTTTATGTGAAATGATTGAGAGAAAGAGATTACAAATGAGGCAAAAAATGTTAAAAGGTGCACGTAGGTGAAGTCTTTATTGTGCTCTCGGAACATTTTTGAAGATTAAAAAAAGTCAAAATAAAAAGGTTTTTTTAAAGAAGAAAAATTCAGTTGAAATCCCATGTACCCCTCCTTGAAACCTCTTGCTATCCTTTCTCCCCTAAAGAAACCCATTATCTTCAGTTTAATGTTTATGTTTCCTTGTACTTCTTTATATTTTTCTAACTGTATACATATCTAAAAATAAATAGCTTGATATGCATAGTTTTAAGCCTTATGGAAATGATATCATACTGTATATAGTCAGAAACATTTTTTGCTCAACATTGAGTTGGTTCATCTATGCTGTTCCTTGTAGCTCTAATTATTCATTTTAATTGCTTTATGATATATTATTATACAGATATGCCTTGTAGTATTTATCCTTTCTCCTGTTGGTGGACATTTGGATTGATTCCAGTTTTTTTGTAATTATGAAATGTGAATATGTTTACTTGTACCAATATGTGATTGTTTCTTTATGGTATATGTGGAGGAGTGATATTGCTAAGGTGAGAGGATATGTGCATCATCAGCTTTGCCAGGTTTTGTCAAATTGCTTTCCAAAGGGCTTGTGCCAATTTGTGCAGCCATAGTATATAATTCTTTCCGGTGCTGTCTCCTTGTCAACAGTATTGTCAGGTGTTTTAATTTCTGTCCATCTAATGGGAATGAACTGTTATTTTTTTTTAGTTTTCATTTCCCTGATTATGAGTACAATTAAATGTCTTTTAAAATTTATTAATCATTTCTGTCTCATCGTCTGGGTATGGTGTGTTCATATTTTTTGCCTGTATTTATATTGAGTTTTAAAAAAATATTGATTTGTAAATATTTGCTTTTTTTTTTTTTTTTTTTTTTTGTAGAGATGGGGTCTCTCTATGTTGCCTAGGCTGAAGTGCAGTGGTGGGACCATGGCAAACTGCAGTCTCAAACTCTTGGCCTCCAGCAGTCCTCCTGCCTCAGCCTCCCAGGCAGCTGAGACCACAGGTGCATGCCACCATATCTGGCTAATTTTTAAATTTTCTGTAGAGATGGGGCTTTGCCATGTTGCCCAGGCTGGTCTCAAGCTCCTGGACTCAAGCAGTCCTCCTGCCTTGGCTCCTCAAATTGCTGGGATTACAAGCATGAGCCCCTGTGCCCGGCCTATATTCTTGACACTAATTTTTTTCAGTAAAATGTGTTGCAAGTATGTCTTTCAAATCTGTGGCTTGTCTTTTCACTTTTATGGGTATCATTTGTTGTATAAAAGTTTTACATTTTAATGCAATCAACATTTTCAATCTTTTTTTATGATTTGGGCTTTGTGTCTTGTTTAACAAATACTTTTCCATCCCAAGATCATAAAGATATTCTCTTATATTACTTTCTAAAAGTTTTAAAGTTTTACTTTTACCAGGATTTGACTCTTCCTTAGAATTAGATAATAACATTTTCTCCTTAGCCTATTCATATGGTAAGTTATATTAAAAGATTTCCTAGTATTTTACTGTATTTTGATTTTTCCAACTTTCTGATAGGCTTATGTTTAAAAATTGAGTAAAAGTGATTTAAAAGGGATATACCTAAAATATAAAAAGAGAACATTAAAAATAAAGTGATAGAAGAGACATAATAAGTAAACACTAACCAAAAGACAAAATTAGACTATGATGCCAAATGTATAATTTGGGCTAAAGAGGGCCACTATATCAATAAAATATTTAATTCATTAGAAAGTGTAGCAGGTCTAAACTTGTCCACACCCAATAATCTATATTATGCATTAAAACATGTAAAGCAAAAACTGACAGAACAAATGGAAAAAAATGTAAAGTGCCCCATTACATTGGATTTTAAACTGGCTGTCATTAATATAAACATCAATCAAAAAAGAAAAAACAATATAGAGCATATACATCTTTCAACTTATGAACTATATAGATCTTTATACATAAAAGTAATACAACCATAGAGGTTGTAAATATTAGTAAATCCATTAATATAACTTACCATATGTATAGGCTAAGAAGAAAAACCACATGATTATATTTATTAATGATATTATCCTTTTTATACAAATTGCTTATATTTTTCCCACATGTCTTTATGCATTGCTTACAGTAGTTTTGTTATGCAGAAGTGTTTTATTTTTGTGTAATCAAATCATTAGTCTTAATGCTTCCGGATTTCGAGTCCTAGTTAGGACAGTTTGTCCTATTCAGAGGTACAGCGTCATTCACTCATTTAAAAAAATACTCATATGGCTTAATTTTTTTTACATTAACTTTTTTGTTTGTTTGTTTTGAGACAGGGTCTTGCTCTGTTGCCCAGGCTAGACTGCAGTGGCCCAATTACTGCTCACTGCATCCTGCAGCCTTGACTTCCTGGGCTCAAGCAATCCTTCCACCTCAGCCTCCTGAGTAGCTGGGACTATAGGCATATGCCACCATGCCTAGCCAATGTTTTCATTTTTATTTTTGTAGAAACAGGGTCTCATTATATTTCCCAGGATGATCTCAAACTCCTGGGCTCAAGCGATCCTCCTGTCTCAGCCTCCAAAAGTGGTGCGATTACAGGTGTGAGCCACCATGCTTAATTTATTTTTTTAAGTGACTTGATACTATTCCTCAATTAGGGAAATGGAATTGTTGGGAAATAAGCAGAAGAGGAATAAGATACTTTATAATGTCTTACTACTACTGATAGTAATATTATAACTAGTATTTGATATTGTTGTAATAATTATCAATACAATAGAGCATTAACGTTTCTGATGCATTTGGAAATTATCCTGGTGTATGGTAGAGATGGGGGAGAGTTTTTCTAGTCTCTGTTACACGGAGGTGGTAACCCTTCATATGTCCTGATGTTATGCATGGATCTTAGCTCCAACTTGGTGCCCTGCACAGGGCCAAGACCATGGGGGCCAAGGCCCCCACCCCCTTGGATGTTAGAACCTTGGTTCCTGTGCTTTTTGCTATGGCTTTGCCTCTCATTTTTGTTTCTACACCTGAGGATTCCTTTTTTCTCCCCCTGCTTTAGCTTGATGTATGTTTCACCCAGTTTGGGATTTTCCCTCAGCTTGGTTTACTGCTTTGCCATACTTTGGTTCACAGTGGTTAGGAACTTGTAGAGGACATATCCTAAGGGGCTTGGAAATAAAATGGGGTAGAGATGAGCATTAACTCTGGAAGCACTATTAGTTTTTCTGGATCTAGTGGCTTGTTTTAAAGCATTTTGAAACTTTATAGGCTAGAGCATATCTTCAGATAGCCCATGTGTTCAATTACGACTTAAAAATGTCTGAGATTGGCCAGGCACAGAGGCTCACGCCTGTAATCCCAGCATTTTGGGAGGCTGAGGTGGGCAGATCACCAGGTCAGAAGTTCGAGACCAGCCTGACCAACATGGTGAAACTTCGTCTCTACCAAAAATACAAAAAGTAGCCAGGCGTGGTGGCACATGCCTGTAATCCTAGCTACTCAGGAGGCTGAGGCAGGAGAATCACTTGAACCAGGGAGACGGAGGTTGCAATGAGCCGAGATCACGCCACTGCACTCCAGCCTGGGAGACAGAGCAAGACTCCGTCTCAAAAAAAAAAAAAAAAAAATCTGAGATTGTACTGACTGATCGTGATCTACTGGGTGTACTGTTATTCGTGAATATTGTCAAAGGGCAATGCATCTTCAACTTAAGACATCTGTCACTTTGTCTAATTCAAAGCACACTCTAAACTCAATATACATATATATTTCTGCATATTTTACATGAGAATTCTCCACATCTTAACATAGATTATTCCAAGCTGATTGTAAAAAATTTCTGCTTTAGAACTGTGATCTGAGGACTCTCCTTGTTGTAAAGTTCCCCATTCCATGTCTGTCTTTGCTGGAACATGGAGTGGTTTAGTAAACTAGCATGAGTTTGGGAGTCTTTGAATCTTGGTTATATGATTATCTCTGTTGTGGAATCCTGAGAAGCCATTTACAAATTTTTATCTTCGTATTTATAGTATAAAATTGTCCCTTTTTTGGTGCACAGTTCTATGAATGTAAACACATGCTTGGATTTGCGTAACCTCCATAATCAGTATGTAGAACCATTTTATCACTGCGTAAGCTCCCTCATGCGATTCCTTTGTGGTCACACACTCCCACCCCTGACCTCTGGAAACCCCTGATCTGTTCTCTATCCCTATTTTACGAATATCACACAACAGGAATCATATATAGTATGTAACCTTTTGAGACTGACTTTTCTATTCAACCTGATGCTTTTGCTCCATGTTATTGTTTTTATCAAGAATTCTTCTTTTTTTAATTGCTGAGTAATATTCCATTGTTTGGATGTATTGCATTTATTTATTCACTCACCGATTAAAGGATATTTAGGTTGTTTCCAGTTTTTGGTGATTATGAATAAGGCTTATATGAGAGAAATTATTTTACCCCTGATAAATGCCAGTTTTTTCCCTACTTGAGCCCAGTTCCTTTCATCCAACAATAACTTACATTACACCTCTGCCAAAAAGAAATCCTGATCACATCTTGACCCCTAGGATGGCAATTACATTTCCTTTCCCGTGTCAAGTATGCATTCTGGAATACTGTGTTGAACAGAATTGCAAGGCTACCTCTGGGAAAACAGGGGTATAAGCAATTGATGACATCTGCTAAGGTTGCAGAAGAGGCAAATGGCAGCAATTGGACTGCATAATTATAGGCATATTGCTTCCCAGAATGGAGAATAGATATAGAATAGAACAGACAATAAAATTAGCTAGTGCAGTGATGTAGACTTCTGCGTTCCTGCAGCTTTATCACACCACAAAAAAGGAAAACCTTTTGGAAAATATCATATTACCTTTCATTTATCTGCATAGCCGAATTTGTGCAATATTCTTTTTTGTACATTATAGAAAGGTACATTAAAGGAGTGTTAAGGGTTGACCCTTACTGAGGTGTGTTAAGATGCAGTCTGTGGTATCTTCTAGGTGCAGAGTCATTGCCAACTGGACCCAGAGTGAAATGTTACATTTTGAAATAAAATTTGCATAAGCACTGATGCATTTTGTAAATATGTACCCTTTGTAGGCAGATACTGTGTTATTATGCTGTTGTGCTTGAAAAATAGAACTAAGTTTTTTGTGTTTCTTTTTCTTTCCAGTATTACTTTACTGTTCTTTTTGGCCATGAAGGTCAGAAGCCACTGGAGCTGCGCTGTGAGGAGGAGCAGGATGGTAAAGAGTGGATGGAGGCCATTCACCAAGCCAGGTATAGGCTCAGTCTTCCTGTGTAGTACTTGATTGTCTGGGTCCTGCATTGGGGTTATCACTGTTGGTGGTAGTTTTGGAAGAACTTGCAACTCTAAGATGAGTTTTCTCCTGGTACCTATTCCTTAGTCATGTGTGAGATCATTATTTGAGCTTTCCATGGCTACATTCCAGCTAAAGATTAATGGTAATAGATACAATGATAATAATAAGTAGTAGTAGTAGTCACTTTTGTGGATTTCTTCCTATGTGCCAAGCACTATTATATGTGCTTTTCAATTACAGAATGTATTGAATGTATTGACTCACTCTGTCAACAATCGGCAAGAGGGGCATTATAATTCCCCCTGTCTGCAGATAAGGAAACTGAGGCCTGGAAAGTTAGTTTTCCTGCCTGAGGTCACACAGCTAGTAAGCCACAGAGCTGGGATATGGCCCTAGCCTAGCCTACATTTGTAAACCCTGCTCTGTGCACCTCGGTTATCAAAAGAAGGGGATGACATCCTCTATTTAAAGAAATAGAACACTGTGATTTCGCTTCCCCCTAAGAAACATCAGGAAGGTGGAAATGTGTGTACAGGGTCTTAAACGGGAACTAGAAATCTGAAAGAGATACAAGGCAGGTCCCTCTCTCTTATTTTCCTATTCAATCCCTAAACCTGGTTCAGTTTTGTTTCCCATGGCTCTCAAGCTCTTGCTTTTTGCCTGTCCACTCCCTAATCCAGGCTGTTGCTCCACTACTCCCTGCTCTCTTGTCTTGCTCATCTCTTGGGTATTTTGGGGCAACACTCTAGCTGTGGCATGCTTTCTTTTTCTTCACCTGATGAGCCTTCCCTTCTCCATCTGTCTGTTCCTCCCTCTACCACTCCCGCCCTGAGACATCTCCCTGCAAGTCAGCCCTCACTGGCGCCCTCTTCAAATGGCTGCAGCACTTGCATTGTGTACTGCACGTGGGCGATTTAGCAATTCTGGTTATCATTACTTTTTTAATATAGTGAATGTGTTAGATTTCTGTTTCCTGAGTGGGATTGTATACACCTTGAGAATGAGGAGAGGGATTGGGGCACATTCATGTCTGAGTGAAGCGCATTGCTAATTATGTAGTAGGTGATCAGGAGATTTCTTCAGTTTGATTGTAAGAATGAGGCATTTAGGCTGGGCACAGTGGCTCATGCCTGTAATCCCAGCACTTTGGGAGGCTGAAGTGGGCAGATCACCTGAGGCCAGGAGTTTGAGACCAGCCTGGCCAACATGGTGAAACCCCGTCTCTACTAAAAATATAAAAATTAGCCGGGCATGGTGGCACACGCCTGTAGTCCTAGCTACTTGGGAGGCTGAGGTGGGAGAATTGCTCAGACCTGGGAGTTGGAGGATACAGTGAGCCAAGATCACACCACTGCACTCCAGTCTTGGGGAGAGAGCAAGACTCCATCTAAAAAAAAACCACACACACAATGAGGTATTTATTCTGAGTGAGTTCAGGCTGTTCTTTGAACCCTTGACGCTTTCTCTGAAAGTCTGCCCTCCCCTTCCCTCGTCTCACCTCTATTCTCCCTACCCTCTTCAGCTACTTATATTTACCACCTTCTCTGACAAGCAGTGTGCCAAGTGTTTTATGTACTTATCTTTTTTTATTCTTCACAATAAGCTAATAGGATATTATTATCCCCATTTTACAGAGGAGAAAACAAAAATTTGTGACAGGCATATTGGCCAAGTTCTAACACAAAGTTGTTAAGCTGCAGATCTGGGATTCAAACCCAAGTTGAATTGGGTTTGGACTTCAGAACCTTTAGCTAATGTTCAATATTGTACTTATCTTCGTTATCCTCTTTATCACTACAGTCTTTTCTTGTTCTATTTTTTTTTTCTTTTCCTCATTCAAAGACGAAAGTAGATTAATGTGAGACTAGGGTTGAGAGTAGAAGATGTTATTTGCAAAATATTTCAGTTCCTTTTCTTTCTCTGAGATGCATGGGGCTGGCAACTAAGTGCCACTCTCCATGTGGACCCCAGGAGAGCTTGCCACGAGTCATCATGACCCCGGCACATGGTTCAGCCGTCCTTGCTCTTGGTGCTCTCTGTTTGAGGGTTTTGATCCAGACTTAGGACTAATGCAGAATGACTTGCTGTAGAAAGAAAGTCAGGCCTTCAAAGATGAAAGAAGCATCAAGCTGGCAAGGTAGAGCCCTTGGGTCATTTCCAGACACAATCTTTTCCTTTCTACAATCTCTATTCCTTTCTACCTAGGAGTTAAAATACATAATTTAAAACATGCCTGTTTTCCTATCTTTTTCATTCCAGGAGAGCAGGCACCATCAGTAGCCCAAATGCCTTTGTAGTTGTCAAGCAAATATCTTGGTGAACCAAACACAAATAATGCAAATTGCTTTAAAGATGATTAGATTCCAAGTAAGAAATCTTTTTTTCTGTCCCAGGAATGCATTTTATCATCTACAGGAAACTGAGTCAGTAATTATTTGGTGGTGTTTGACATACAGTCAAAACCAGGGCATGTGTGATGTTGTCAGGAGACAGACTTTAGAAACCACTTAAGTGGTTTAGATGATACAATGGTGAAAATTCTTTTCTTTTTAGATTTGAAGATTTGGTTAATAATTGACTTTTTCCCTTGATGTTTTGACTTTTTGGTCCATTAGGTTTGCTTTTCCCTTGACTTGAGACCTAGGACTGGGTTCTTTGATAATTTCTTTTAATCTGACTGCTTTATACTGTGTTTTTATATTTTCTGTTTTGCATTGAGATATTTCTTAAATTTTTGTTTTCTAAATCAGGGAAGAAAACTTTTTTATCTAAGCTTGATTAAGTTGAGTTTTTGGTTTAAACTTGGATCTGCAAAATTCACCTTGATTTTGTTCATGTATGAACAAAGCCAGAAAGTTAATGAAGCTGATTCAGAGCAAGAATTATCAGCCATTTTTGCTTGGCATTGTAATAAAACACAATTAATTAATTATGGTTGGTTGACTTAACATTTCACCCTCGAAAGACAGTCTGATGGCATTAATTCAGTACTGCTGCCTTTCTAATATAAAAGTTTTAAATACTCAATATTTATGGTTTTATTGATCCTTTTTTAAAAAATCAAAACTTTTGATTAGTTTAGCATGAGATGTTCTTTTCTGAGCTACAAATCCTCCTGTAGATGCCACTTAGATACAAAGACTGCTCAGAACCCCTTCTCTCATTTACTTTTGTTTTCCTGGGATGGCTTTTCAGTACCAGCCTGGGTGTGCTGTCTTTGTGTGCTATGAACATCACATTGTTCTGTTGGCTTTCGTATCTCAGAGCAGAATCTACTTGCCCCACTTTGCCTTCAGAGAATCTTAGGGTCATTTTCTGGGATGTCCCATTGCATGTTTTCTCCTTTAGATCTGGCCCAGAAAAAAAAAATCGTTTTGGAATTAACATTTTTCATTTTGAAGCTTTGACCAGTCCAAGAAGCTCATTTTAATGTTTTGCTTACCATTGGCCAATACTGCATTTCTAGAACACGGGCACATTTAGGATATCATTTTACCACATGTTATGGCACTAGTTCAGGGGACGCTGCTACCGAGACCCAGTCTTGTTTTTGTCTGGTTGAGTTGAGGCCAGAGCCTTTTCATAGTAGTTAAGTCTATGCTTATTTTATGTGGTTGCTACTTGAGTATGGAACTCTGGACATAAAAAATAACCTGATATTTCTTCTTTGTTTTCTTGTCCATAAGTGTCCATCATGGTTGATTTAGTTGTAGACACTAGGACAATCAAAAACTGACCTGGTTGATTGTGAGTCCTTAGGGCTTGTTAGCTGAAAAGACAACTCTTCAATGTTTCATCTGCTAGAACATGGACCAAGCAAAGTATCAGCAGTTAGGAGATAGTCATGGCCTGGACATGGATCCAGTTGTATATCTTCCAAGGGTCTTCCCATCCTTGACTAAGCCTAATACCCACAGGACCTAGACTATGACATTTGGGAAGAAACGAGGAAGGTTCTCCAGAGATGTAGGGGGTAGACTTCAAGGGACTTTGTGACTATCTGGATTTGAGCAGTATTAGACTAGGGTGGCATCTAACACATCTCTCAGGCCCCTAGCTTGGACGGTGTCACTCTTTGGGAGAAGAAATGATGAATGAGGACAGGTTTGTGGGCAAAGATGATGAGCATTGGCCAGGAAATGTTGGGCAATTTCTGCTGGAAATTGGAAGAGTATGATTATCGCTGGGAAAGGAAGGAAACTGTGAGACACTGAATTGATCCCTTGGCGTGTGGGGTATGAGAGAATGAGTATCCAGGGGGCTGATAGAGAAGTAAGGTGTATCCTGAGGAGGGAGGAGAGTTTGGGTTTCTACCAAGGTGGAGGGATTGGGAAAACAGATATTGAGAATGTTGAGCCTAGCACAGAGCACTGTTGAATGTGTGTAGCTTTGCACACCCTGCAGATGGCTTGTGTGTCCTGTGTTTGAAACTGTCCCACTATCTTTTGCCTGCTTTCTGATTTCTTCAGCTGAACCTGCTCAAATCTCCACCTCGATTCTCTTCCCTCCCCTCAGGGTGTATCTTGAGCAGGCAGATCGTAGGTTTTCCTTTAAGGGCAGAGCATACAAAAGGAAAAAAGAATTACAAAAAGGAATATGTTTCCACTCCATAAAGCTCACAGTCAGATGGTGTTTGGCAAGGGCCTGACCTAACCCTTTGTTTCACCCTGTCAGTCTCCAACCTGACGAGCAGAGAGACTTTATCATCCAGTTAAACCTTTCAATTAAGCCTTATTCTCTTTTCCAGTAAAGAAAGCTGTAATGCAGCCTCTTGGATCTGTTTTTAATGTTTAGTCTTTTTGATTACCTGTGTCTGAGACAGCTGTTGTTCATTCTCTCTCTCCCTTAAAATACACACACATGCACACACACACAGTGTGGTAGCTGCACCAAACACCCAGAACCTAATGCTTGTGGTCTCATCCTTGGAAAAAGGCTTAATTTGCAGCAAGGTATATAGTATAAAAATCTGTACAGCACTAAAGGCTGCTGTGTATATCATATCCTCCCCTTAAAATCAGCCCTTTAGAGAATGCACACAGAGAGAAATCCCTCACAAATCAGAGAAGAGTGATGACATAGAAAAGCTGAAAATGTTTCATGTGTCACAGCAACATCACAAGACTAGAAAAATTAGAGATGGACAGTGATGTTATAGCCTAAAGCAATCCAACACCATAGTTTGTATTCTTCCTGTAACAGTAAAACTGTCACTACTTTAAAGATGAAAATGTGGATTTTGTTCATTTAAGGTATTATTATTATTATTTGCTAAGAAATTCTGTCAGGGCTTTGCCTTCATATTTGCCACAATGAAAGATAATTCAACATTTTTTTTCCTTTTACAGCCTACAGAGTGCAACATGAAAGAGAAGGGATACTACTAAACTACTAAACTGTGAAATATTTCACTTGATTTGATGGTTACAATTGTTTTCTATAGGGAAAAGTCGGGCTTGAATTTTCTTATTTTAATACTTTGTTAATACTTTCGTCAGCTGTCTTTCCAACTTCTCAGTGTTTTTGTTTCAAGTGCTTGTCTTGCACATTTAGCATCCAGCTGAAAAGGCAGTCAGACCTTCTGCCTACACTCACCGGGCAGGTGCCCCGTCCTCATGCGCACACCATCTCACCTGCAGGAGGGAGCCATCCTCATGATTCTCTTTGCCTGCTCCAGGAGAACCATCCCCGGTTCAAGACAAATTTCTACTTTGAGCTCTCTCTCTGATTTCTTGCTCCATTACTTATTCCATTTCTCTCTTATATTTCCAGTCTGTTTATTCCTCGCTCCTTACCTTTTTTTCCTGTATTTTTTGGATCTCCTAAAAATCTCTCCTGTCTTGTAAGAGAAATTAAAGCCTTTTCTTGGCACTGAATACTCCTCTAGCTACTGTCTTCTCTTGCACATGCAGCCCGGCTTCTTGAAGAAATGGTTCGGTTGCTCTCCTAGGCACGCAGCTCTTCCTCTCTCCAGCTCTTCCTGGTGGGTTTTGTCCCTACTCTACTATAACTGTTGTCACCTGGGTCAACAATGAATTTCCAAAGCTTTTCTTTCCTTATATAACTTCAACTTTCTGTTCATATTTAATACTTACTTTTGAATTACACCAGTAATACATAAAAGCAAGTTCCCTAAAAAAAAAAAAAAAAAAAAAAATTCAGACAATACAAAAGTAAAGAGTTATAGTTCCACCCCCTCCCCCTTTATTCCCCAAGCCCATTTACTTCCTCAGAAGTATTTACTGGTAACAGTTTGGAGTGCATACTTCCAGATTTTTCTGTATATTTGCATATGGATAGATAGGTAGAATGATATAATTACAGACTTTTTATTTGCTATTCATATTATTCGCCATCTTTTTATGCTAATTTGGAGGGTTTCTTTTAACATTAGTTTATAGGGATCTAAGTCTTATCTCGAAATTTTCATTCCTTTTGTTTACGATGTCTCTCCCTCCTGATTCTCCCTTTACTCCTTTGACAATTTCTTCTTGTCCTATTTCACTACTCCTTGTGTTCTGTCCCTTTCTTTACTGTGGCTGCTATGTAGGGCTTTGCTTTTGCTCTTCCTGTCTCGTCACTTGGATCCATTCCCCAGACTTAGGTCGTGTAGATAGAGCTGCTCTTTCTCAATACTTTCTCTGCTAAATACCATGCTATGTGCATGATATCTCATGAAGTAGCTGGCACTATCCCCAGGAAATCTGAGTATTGGAGAGATGAAATGACCTCCTGAGGGCCACCAGTCTAGTAAACGATAGAGCTGGAATCAAGTCCTGGGCAGGCTGACTCCAAAACCTATGCACTTAACCACAAAGATATATAGCCTCCATTATATGTAGAAATTCACCAACATGTATTTTTCTATATTGAACTATCTATATATCATCTCTCCCTGGGTGCTCAGAATTACTTGATACTAAGCAAGACAAACCCAAACTCATGTATTTCTCTAGGCAGCTTCATGTTCCCTTCCTGGATAGGAATGTAAGGCATACTCTCCTGTACACTCAGTCACTCAAACCAGCAGGATATCATCCCCTGACCCCAGCCTAACTGCTCACTGCAGTCACCACTTGTGGATTCTACCCCAGAACATCACTGGTCTGCGTTTCTCCACATGTCTGCAGCATTGCCCTGGTGCAGGCCATCAACACTGATTGCCTGTCCTATTGCTCTGCCACCTCGCCTGTCTCTTCCAGGTCGGCTTCCTTCCCATCGATTCTCTACAGTTACTAGAGTGCCCTTTCTAAGCAAACATCTGATCTGCTGAAGGAATTCCGGGGTTCCCAGTTGCTTTTAGTTATTATAATTCAATTTACTTCTTATTGTAGAAAATTTTAAATATATACAGAGAAAGAGAGATAACAGTCCTCCATGTTGCTTTAAGAAGAGAAAATATTCATTATTTCACTGATATTTATTGCTTCCCTACCCAATGCTAGGCTTTGCTCTGAGTTCTGGGATGGAGTGAGCCAGTCCAAGCGAGGCCCCTCTGAGCTGACCTCTGCGAACTCCTCGTGCCACCCCTCCCCTTATGTCCTGGGCTCCAGCTGGAGCCACCACATACAGGAATTTTAATGTGTGGGAATGTCTCTTCCAGTCTGACTTACACCAACACATCTTTCAGGATGGAGCTCTTAGCAGCTTGCATCTTTCCTGGTCCTCTTCCTCTACGAGCAGGAAGGGCTGACCATTCCCTTCTTTGAGCCCTCACTGTAACTTCTTATTTCGCTCGAAGCACCTAAGAAATTATTGCATTGATTTGTTTATGTGTCTGTATCTCTCTGTCAACCTGAATTCCTTCAAAGCAAATTGTGTACTACTCATCTTTTGTGCCCTGCCCCAGTACAGTGCCAAATTGCTTTTCAGAAATGCATGTACTGATTTAATCTCCCTCCATTAGGGCAGAAGAAAGCTGGAATCATTTTTTAAAATCTTTACTATATCAGTGGGTTAAAAATGATATATTAGTATAATAAGCATTTTCTTGATTATTGATAAGATTGTGTTTTGCTATCACTAATATCTGTCTATATTTACTATATAAATTATCATCTCATGTCCTTTTCCCATTTTTTGGTATTGGTGTTTTTCTAGAAGTTTTTAAATAAGCTCTTTGTATGACAAAAATATATTCATCTTTTATGTTTGTTCAAATCACCCTGCATCATTTTTTTGTCTTGTAGTTATACCTATGGGATTTTTTTGACATTAGAGTTTTTGAATTAAAATGCAATCAAAGTATATTACTTTTGGGGGGAAGTTGTTCTATTGCTTTTTAAAAATATTTTTTAAAATCAAGATATACTTCATATACCATGAAGTTTATCATTTTAAAGTGTATAATTCAGTGCTTTTCTAGTACAGTCACAAGGTTGTACAACCATCACCACTAATTTCGGAGCATTTTCAACACCACAAAAGAAACCCCATATCCGATAGCTGTCACTCTCAATTCCCCACTTCCCCTAGCTCTAGCCAACCACTAATCTCCTTTCTGTGTTTATGGATTTGCTCATTCTGGACATTTCATATAGATGGAATCCTACAAACATTTTGTGTCTGATTTCTTTCACTTAGCATAATGTTTCCAAGCTTCGTCAATGTGGTAGCATATATTAGTACTTCATTCCTTTTAATGGCTGAATTCTATTCCACTGTATGGATATACCACATTTTATTTATCTACTCAGTTGATGGCCATTTAGGTTGTTCCCACTTTTTGCTAGTATGAATAATGTTGCTATGAATATTTGTGTGCATTTGTACATGAACATATGTTATCAACTCTCTTGGGTATATGCCCAGGAGTGGAATTGCCATGTCATTTGGTAACTCTATGTTTAACTTTTTGAGGAGATGC
This sequence comes from Homo sapiens, assembly GCF_000001405.40. Taxonomy (NCBI): domain Eukaryota; kingdom Metazoa; phylum Chordata; class Mammalia; order Primates; family Hominidae; genus Homo; species Homo sapiens. The sequence continues at coordinate 81,051,894 of NC_000005.10, forward strand.
CAAACTGTTTTCTACAGTGGCTGCACCATTTTACATTCCCACCAGCTACGTATTGAGGGTGCCAGTTTCTTCACATCCTTACCAACACTTATTTTCGTTGCTTTTTTGCTTAGAGTCTTTATACGTTCTCATATATAAACCCCTTTAATCTATTCTTGTTGAATTAATATAGTTGTATCTGTATTCTTGCTGGAGAATTTTCTGTGATGATAAAGATAATTCTACCAATACCTGCTTGTGCACATGGAACAGAAATGAAAGTCTCAGTGTTAGGAAAGAATCATTAATGTCTATTGTGATACAAAACATTTTCTTCAGCTTCATAATATAGTACTATAAAAGATATTTACTTTTAGAAGCACTCCTTAAAATTTCTCTGTTCCAAGGTAATAATTTTACCATTAGTGATGTTCTGTTGTATTTCCTAGTAAAAATATTTTGCCTGCTTTTATATTTAATTGTGCTTTAGAAAGGATTATCGACAACTTTCCACATGTCCCAAAGTTTAGTGAAATGTTTAAGTAACGAACTGTGACTGTGAACAGGAAAGAAGGAGCAATGTTTAGAAGAGGGGTTTTTAGTCTTTAATTTTTGTTCCTCTTTTTGATCTCTCTTAACTAAGATGCTTGTGTTTCCATTTACTGTAGAGCAGACAGCTTAGGAGGGAAGAGTCTGTCAGTAGAGAGAAGACATTGGTGGAGGTGACAGTGTTAGGACCTCATGTTAATGTGATATCTAAAAAATATTAATTAGCCAATGAAGTGGAGATACTGACAGGAGAGAACTTGAGAACCAGAAACAGTATGTGACAGTAATGCTGAAGGGGTGTGAGTAAAGATAGAGAAACTGGCCTTGCTTAGGTAAGGTCAAAGCAAATGTTGCTTTGATAGGAGCTGTACTATTGTCATCCATGCTTGGATTTTCTCCACTCCCAAAGGCCTCATGATTCTCCTGGCATGAGGAACGCTGATTCCAAACAGTTTTCTGGATAAAATTTAGCATAACCCTGGAGATAGGTGGAGTTTTTCTTTCTTTCTTTTTTTTATTCTAAGTAGTCTTTATTCTCTGTGCACATATATACAAACAAACCACAGAGATATCTCTCCCCATAAATTAGATTCTTAAGTGACTTTTACATTAAACAAATATTAAGAAAGTATGATAATTACTTGAGTTGTGTTAAATTCTTCCTTTAATTAAGAAATAAAGCCCACAATGGATAAGATAATTCTTTTCTTTTTTTTAATTATACTTTAAGTTCTAGGGTACATGTGCACAACCTGCAGGTTTGTTACATATGTATACATGTGCCATGTTGGTGTGCTGCACCCATTAACTCATCATTTACATTAGGTATATCTCCTAATGTTTTCCCTCCCCCCTCCCCCCACCCCATGACAGGCCCCAGTGTGTGATGTCCCCCTTCCCATGTCCAAGTGTTCTCATTGTTCAATTCCCACCTATGAGTGAGAACATGCGGTGTTTGGTTTTTTGCTCTTGCGATAGTTTGCTGAGAATGATGGTTTCCAGCTTCATCCATGTCCCTACAAAGGACATGAACTCATCCTTTTTTATGGCTGCATAGTATTCCATGGTGTATATGTGCCATATTTTCTTAATCCAGTCTATCATTGATGGACATTTGGGTTGGTTCCGAGTCTTTGCTATTGTGAATAGTGCTGCAATAAACATACGTGTGCATGTGTCTTTATAGCAGTATGATTTATAATCCTTTGGATATATACCCAGTAATGGGATGACTAGGTCAAATGGTATTTCTAGTTCTAGATCCCTGAGGAATCGCCACACTGTCTTCCACAATGGTTGAACTAGTTTACAGTCCCACCAACAATGTAAAAGTGTTTCTATTTCTCCACATCCTCTCCAGCACCTGTTGTTTCCTGACTTTTTAATGATCACCATTCTAACTGGTGTGAGATGGTATCTCATTGTGGTTTTGATTTGCATTTCTCTGACGGCCAGTGATGGTGAGCATTTTTTCATGTGTCTGTTGGCTGCATAAATGTCTTCTTTTGAGAAGTGTCTGTTCATATCCTTCACCCACTTGTTGATGGGGTTGTTTGTTTTTTCTTGTAAATTTGTTTGAGTTCTTTGTAGATTCTGGATATTAGCCCTTTGTCAGATGAGTAGATTGAAAAAATTTTCTCCCATTCTGTAGATTGCCTGTTCACTCTGATGGTAGTTTCTTTTGCTGTGCAGAAGCTCTTGAGTTTAATTAGATCCCATTTGTCAATTTTGGCTTTTGTTGCCATTGCTTTTGGTGTTTTAGACATGAAGTCGTTGCCCGTGCCTGTGTCCTGAATGGTATTGCTTAGGTTTTCTTCTAGGGTTTTTATGGTTTTAGGTCTAACATGTAAGTCTTTAATCCATCTTGAATTAATTTTTGTATAAGGTGTAAGGAAGGGATCCAGTTTCAGCTTTCCACATGTGGCTAGCCAGTTTTCCCAGCACCATTTATTAAATAGGGAATCCTTTCCCCATTTCTTGTTTTTGTCAGGTTTGTCAAAGATCAGATGGTTGTAGATGTGGGGTATTATTTCTGAGAGCTCCGTTCTGTTCCATTGGTCTATATCTCTGTTTTGGTACCAGTACCATGCTGTTTTGGTGACTGTAGCCTTGTAGTATAGTTTGAAGTCAGGTAGCGTGATGCCTCCAGCTTTGTTCTTTTGGCTTAGGATTGTCTTGGCAATGCAGGCTCTTTTTTGCTTCCATATGAACTTGAAAGTAGTTTTTTCCAATTCTGTGAAGAAAGTCATTGGTAGCTTGATGGGGATGGCATTGAATGTATAAATTACCTTGGGCAGTATGGCCATTTTCATGATATTGATTCTTCCTATCCATGAGCATGGAATGTTCTTCCATTTGTTTGTGTCCTCTTTTATTTCGTTGAGCAGTGGTTTGTAGTTCTCCTTGAAGAGGTCCTTCACATCCCTTGTAAGTTGGATTCCTAGGTATTTTATTCTCTTTGAAGCAATTGTGAATGGGAGTTCACTCATGATTTGGCTCTCTGTTTGCTTGTTATTGGTGTATAGGAATGCTTGTGATTTTTGCACACTGATTTTGTTTCCTGAGACTTTGCCGAAGTTGCTTATCAGCTTAAGGAGACTTTGGGCTGAGACGATGGGGTTTTCTAAATATACAGTCATATCATCTGCAAACGGGGACAATTTGACTTCCTCTTTTCCTAATTGAATACCCTTTATTTCTTTCTCCCACCTGATTGCCCTGGCCAGAACTTCCAACACTATGTTGAATAGGAGTGCTGAGAGAGGGCATCCCTGTCTTGTGCCAGTTTTCAAAGGGAATGCTTCCAGGTTTTGCCCATTCAGTATGATATTTGCTGTGGGTTTGTCATAGATAGCTCTTATTATTTTGAGATACGTCCCATCAATACCTAATTTATTGAGAGTTTTTAGCATGAAGGGCTGTTGAATTTTGTCAAAGGCCTCTTCTGGATCTATTGAGATAATCATGTGGTTTTTATCGTTGGTTCTGTTTATATGCTGGATTACGTTTATTGATTTTGGGTATGTTGAACCAGCCTTGCATCCCAGGGATGAAGCCCACTTGATCATGGTGGATAAGCTTTTTGATGTGCTGCTGGATTCAGTTTGCCAGTATTTTATTGAGGATTTTTGCATCGATGTTCATCAGGGATATTGGTCTAAAACCCTCTTTTTTGTGTGTGTGTCTCTGCCAGGCTTTGGTATCAGGATGACGCTGGCATCATAAAATGAGTTAGGGAGGATTCCCTCTTTTTCTATTGATTGGAATAGTTTCAGAAGGAATGGTACCAGCTCCTCTTTGTACCTCTGGTAGAATTCGGCTGTGAATCTGTCTGGTCCTGGACTTTTTTTGGTTGGTAGGCTATTAATTATTGCCTCAAATTCAGAGCCTGTTATTGGTCTATTCAGGGATTCCACTTCTTCCTGGTTTAGTCTTGGGAGGGTGTATGTGTCCAGGAATTTATCCATTTCTTCTAGATTTTCTAGTTTATTTTCGTAGAGGTGTTTATAGTATTCTCTGGTGGTAGTTTGTATTTCTGTGGGATCAGTGATATCCCCTTTATCATTTTTTATTGTGTCTATTTGATTCTTCTCTCTTTTCTTCTTTATTAGTCTTGCTAGTGGTCTATCAATTTTGTTGATCTTTTCAAAAAACCAGCTCCTGGATTCATTGATTTTTTGAAGGGTTTTTTATGTCTCTATCTCCTTCAGTTCTGCTCTGATCTTAGTTATTTTTTGCCTTCTGCTGGCTTTTGAATGTGTTTGCTCTTGCTTCTCTAGTTCTTTTAATTGTGATGTTAGGGTGTCAGTTTTAGATCTTTCCTGCTTTCTCTTGTGGGCATTTAGTGCTATAAATTTCCCTCTACACACTGCTTTAAATGTGTCCGAGAGATTCTTGTATGTTGTGTCTTTGTTCTCATTGGTTTCAAAGAACATCTTTATTTCTGCCTTCATTTCATTATGTACCCAGTAGTCATTCAGGAGCAGGTTGTTCAGTTTCCATGTAGTTGAGCGGTTTTGAGTGAGTTTCTTAATCCTGAGTTCTCGTTTGATTGCACTGTGGTCTGAGAGACAGTTTGTTATAACTTCTGTTGTTTTACATTTGCTGAGGAGTGCTTTACTTCCAACTATGTGGTCAGTTTTGGAATAAGTGCGGTGTGGTGCTGAGAAGAATGTATATTCTGTTGATTTGGGGTGGAGAGCTCTGTAGATGTCTATTAGGTCTGCTTGGTGCAGAGCTGAGTTCAATTCCTGGATATCCTTGTTAACTTTCTGTCTCGTGGATCTGTCTAATGTTGACAGTGTGGTGTTAACGTCTCCCATTATTATTGTGTGGAAGTCTGAGTCTCTTTGTAGGTCTCTAAGGAGTTGCTTTATGAATCTGGGTGCTCCTGTATTGGGTGCCTATATATTTAGGATAGTTAGCTCTTCTTGTTGAATTGATCCCTTTACCATTATGTAATGGCCTTCTTTGTCTCTTTTGATCTTTGTTGGTTTAAAGTCTGTTTTATCAGAGACTAGGATTGCAACCCCTGCCTTTTTTTGTTTTCCATTTTCTTGGTAGATCTTCCTCCATCCCTTTATTTTGAGCCTATGTGTGTCTCTGCACATGAGATGGGTCTCCTGAATACCCGCAGCACACTGATGCGTGTTGACTCTATCCAATTTGCCAGTCTGTGTCTTTTAATTGGAGCATTTAGCCCATTTACATTTAAGGTTAATATTGTTATGTGTGAATTTGATCCTGTCATTATGATGTTAGCTGGTTATTTTGCTCCTTAGTTGATGCAGTTTCTTCCTAGCATTGATGGTCTTTACAATTTGGCATGTTTTTGCGGTGGCTGGTACCAGTTGTTCCTTTAGTGACCTGGGCTGTGACATTTCATTTGGGTTTTGCTGTAGTTTGCTTCATATATACGTCCTCAGTCAAAATAAGTGGGGTGGAATTCTGGCCCAGCAACAACAACTTTTTGCTAAGCTAATATAATTTTTGCCCTTCTATAAGATAACTAAGGTCTGTAATTTCACACTGTGCCTCTGCTTTGGACTTTTCAACATTTTATTTGAATGTTTCCTTTTCTCCATATGGAGTGATGGTGGTTAGGATTTTTTATTTATTTTTATTTGTTCATTTATGATTGATACATGATTATTGTACATATTTACGAGGTACAAGGTGATGCTTCGGTACACACATGCATTGTATCATGATAAAATCAGGGAAATTAGCATATTAATCAGCTTAAACATTTATTATTTCTTTGTGATGAGGACATTAAAAAACCTCTCTTCAGCAGGGCACAGTGGCTCGTGCCTATAATCCAAGCACTTTGGGAAGCCGAGGCCAGTGGATCACTTGAGCTCAGGAGTTCAAGACCAGCCTGGGGAACATAGTGAGACCTCGTCTCCACAAAACAATCAAAAAATTAGCCAGGCCTGGTGGTATGCACCTGTAGTCCCAGCTATTTGGCAGGCTGAGGCAGGAGGATGGCTTGATCCCAGGAGGTCGAGGCTGCAGTGATCTGTGATTGTACCACTGCACTCCAGCCTGGGCAACAGAAGAAGAACCTGCCTCAAAAATAATTAATTAATTAATTAATTAATTAATAACCCTGTTTTCCAGCTATCTTGAAATATATAATACATGATTATTAATTCTTATAAATATTACACACTAATATTTTATTCCCATATATATCCTAATGTTGACATCTGTTTGTACTCAACAGCTGAATTTTGAGTTATGCTTTCACCAAGTGGATTTATATGTCCTTTGGCAGGGGGATCCTTTTTTTGTTGTGGGAGTTGAACTAAAAAGCGAAAATACAAAATAAAAAAATAGCTAACCAAATGAAAATAATAAGGAGATTAGGCAAACATTTTAAAACTTGAGTACTACCTAGTAAATGGAAAATTTAATCACATAAGATATGTGTTGGCAATATAGTAGAATAGAAATGCCAGTGGTTTGAGAAATAGTGAAGGGAAGCCCTGCATGTGTTTTCAGTTGATTTGATGCAATCCTGGAGCAGACATCCATTTACTAGTGGGATATGTAAAGAAAGTTTTGTGATGCAGAGTTGGGGGGATACCCCAGTAAGAGCAGAATAGGAGTAGTAAACTAGGGAGCCCTAATGAAATCAATGGCATGACCTGAAAATTACTATGTGAAGAATAAGGAGCCATGCATCCTGGGCAACATAGTGAGACCTCATCTTACGAAACACAAACAATTGGCCATGTGTGATAGCTTGCACCTGTAGTCCCAGCTACTTGAGAGGCTGAGGTGAGAGGGTTGTTTGAGCCTGAGAGGCCGCTGTACTCCAGCCTGGGCAACAGAGCAAGGCCCTGTATCAAAAAAAAAAAAAAAAAAAAAAAAAGAGAGTGTGTAAAATAAATCATATTAGATGAAATAAATCATATTAGATGATAAATCATATTAGATCATATTAGATGATTTATTTCATTTGAATAATATGATTTATTTCATTTGACAATGACATTGAATCATTTGAACGACTATTCTGTGCCAAGTCCCCAGGCCTGGACTTGTCTGTAATCTTTTTGCCTGGATTATTATTGTAATAGTTCCAACTCTTCCCCCTTCTCCTCTTGTGCTCCACCCCTACCCTTCTTTCTCATCAGAACAGCCAGTGGGATCCCGTTAAAAACTGAAATCTTGGCTGGGCGCAGTGGCTCACGCCTGTAATCCCAGCACTTTGGGAGGCTGAAGCCGGTGGATCACGAGGTCAGGAGATCCAGACCATCCTGGCTAACACGGTGAAACCCCCTCTCTACTAAAAAATACAAAAAATTAGCCGGGCCTGGTGGCAGGCGCCTGTAGTCCCAGCTACTAGGGAGGCTGAGGCAGAATAATGGCGTGAACCCGGGAGGCGGAGGTTGCAGTGAGTTGATATCGCACCACTGCACTCCAGCCTGGGTGACAGAGCGAGACTCCGCCTCAAAAAAAAAAAAAAAAAAGTGAAATCTTGTAAGGCCTTTGATCAAAGCTTACACCTCGCTGGACTGGGGGAAAACCTGAGACTTTCTATTGATCTACGTGATTTAGAATCCTGTTCCCTCTTCTACCTCTTTCTTACTCCCTGTCTTAGGCCATTCTTGCATTGCTATAAAGAAATACCTGGGCTGGGCGCGGTGGCTCACACCTGTAATCCCAGCACTCTGGGAGGCTGAGATGGGTGAATCACGAGGTCATGAGTTCAAGACCAGCCTGGACAAGATGGTGAAACCCCGTCTCTACTAAAAATATAAAAATTAGCCAGGCATGGTGGCGGGCACCTGTAATCCCAGCTATTCAGGAGGCTGAGGCAGAGAATTGCTTGAACCCAGGAGGCGGAGGTTGCAGTAAGCTGAGATCGCGCCACTCCACTCCAGCCTGGGCAACAGAGGGAGACTCCACCAAAAAACAAAAAACAAAAAACAAAAAAAACAACCTGAGGCTGGGTAATTTATAAAGAAAATAGGTTTAATTGGCTCACAGTTCTGCAGGCTGTACAAGCATGGCACTGGCATCTGCCCCACTTCTGGAGAGACCGCAGGAAGCTTTTACTCATGGCAGAAGGCGAAGGAGGAGCAAGTGGGTCATACAGCAAGAGCAGGAACCAGAGAGAGAGAAGATGCCACACATTTTTAAACAATCAGATCTCATGAGAACTCATTCACTGTCTTGAGGACAGCATGAAGCCATGAGGGATCTGTCCCCATGATCCACACATGACCCACACACCTCCCAATAGGCCCCACCTCCAACACTGGAGATTACATCTCAATGTGAGATTTGGGTGTGACACAGATCTAAACCATACCATTCCCCTTGAGGAAACTCACCACTTTGTCATTCCCTAGACAGGCTAGGCCCACTCCCACTGCAGGGCTTTTGCACATACTGTTCCCTGGGCCTGGATGCTGTTCCATCAGCTAGCCACGCATGTCCCTGCTTCAAGTCGTTTCTCCAGTACCATTTCTCCATGAAAGCAGCCCTCACCGCTTGGTTAAAATTGTAACCTCTGCCCCCCTACTTCCTGTTCTCCTCTTACCATTTTTCCTCTACAGTACTCATCACCAGGTGACATATGATAGATTTGTCTTATTAATGTTGTCTTTCTCTCTCTACTACTGTATAAGCTTCATAAAGACACAGATTTTTTTCCTACTGTGTTTACTCCTGTGCCCAGTATTTTGAACAGTTCCCAAATATACAACACTCAGTAAATATTTATTGACTCAAAGAATCAATTTGGACTCGCAGGAACCCAGGAAGAAGGAAATCATGTTACTTATAATCCCAATGCATGAAGTAAATAACTACCATTAGGATTTTATGTATTTTCTCTTTTCTCCCCACTTAATATTACAGAAATATTGGAAAGTATGGAAAAGTACAAAAGAAGTAACTCAAGAAGAAATTAAAAATCACCCATAATTGCTCCAGCCAAAGAAAGCTCCCTTTAAGTTTTGATGTATGTCTCTCATTAGAGTACCTTTCTCTCTGTCTCTCTCTTCCCTTCTCCTCTTCTGCTTATGTCTGTGTATACACTTAATTTTCTCCCTCTGTGTATGAACATATATACATGTACATGTACATATAATGTTTATCTCAATTTCTTGTTTTTTTTTCTGTTTATTTATCAATAAATCTTGGGTATGTGCCATTATGTTATGACTATTTTCAAAAAACATATTTTAAATGGCTTGTTATCATTCCATTATGAAGATATATTATTACTTATTTAACCAATCCCATATTATAAATGTGTATATTTAGATTGTCTCCATTTTCTTATATTTGTTTTTAATGAATGAACATTTTGTTTCTTTTGTATCTCGTTGTGCAAGTGTCAGATTATTTTTCTTGAGTGATATTATTAGAAGTGAAATTATGAAGGCAAAGGATATAACCATTTTGACCTGTTTTGATACATATTGTGATATTGTCTTCTACAATGACTCACTTCAGTGGTACTATATGACAATATCTATTTACTATATCTTTGTTAGCCCTGAGTACTATTTTTCTAAAAATCTTAACCAGTTTTGGTAAATAATTTGTAATTCTTTGATTAAGAAGGACTTTTTTTTTTTTTTGAGACAGGATCTCTCCCTGTTTCCCATGCTGGAGTGTGGTGGTGCAATCATAGCTCACTGCAGCTTCAAAATCCTGGGCTCAAGTGATCCTCCTGCCTCAGCCTCCTTGAGTAGCTGGGACTATAGGTGTATGCTACCACACCCAGCTAATTTATTTCCTTCCTTCTTTCCTTCCTTTCTGAGATAGGGTCTCATTTTGTCACCCAACCTGGAGTGCAGTGGCATGAATACCATCATTGCAGCCTTGATCTCCCGGGCTCAAGTTACCCTCCCGCCTTGGCCCCCCAAGTAGCTGGGGCTACAGGTGCATGCCACCACACCCAGCTTATTTTTGTATTTATTTTGTAGAGATGGGGTTTCACCATGTTGCCCAGGCTGGTCTCAAACTCCTGAGCTAAAGTGATCTGCCTGCCTCAGCCTCCCAAAGTGCTAGGATTACAGACATGAGCCACCACACCTGATCCCAGCTGACAAAAAAAAAAAAAAAAAAAAAAAAAAACTGTAGAGATGAGATCTTACTATGTTGCTCAGGCTGGTCACTCCTGGCCTCAAGCTATCCTCTCACCTCAGCTTCCCAAAGTGTTGGGATTGTAAGCATAGGCCACTGTGCCCAGCAAGAAGGACCCTTTTTCATGCATTTATTAGTCATTTGTTTATTACATTGTGTGAAGCCCTTTTGTGTATTTCTTGACTTACTAATTTTAGCCAGTGTGATTGATTCTCTGGCATAAAAATGAAAAATTTAACACCCTTACAATACCTCTTATGTCCCTGTCTTTTGCCCGCTCTGTTTTTGTTACTTACATATTTTTAGATCTTAAATTGGTTGACTTCATAACTTAAAATAATATAATTAAACCTCTATTGATTTATCAACTTTAGACAGTATGTATTGTCTCTGCTAGGAAAAATAAGTATAATAAGTTAAGACATTTAATGTGTTTTCATTGTTTTTTCTTTTCTAATCCTGAGGTTTTCTTTCATTATTATTTATTCTCACTTTATAAACTTTTAGACATATTCTGTTCTCTAAATTGTTCCTCTGTGTTTTGTCATAGGCTGATTCTGAAAATTAAAAACCAACAAGGAACATTTCCATAGTGGTTATAACAAATATTGTGTCCCAAAGTATCAAGGTTGGTGTTTGGTCCCACAGAGAATGAAATGTACCGTGTCATTGAATATTTGCTCCTTGAAGAAGAACCTTGTGTGTGTCAACTTCTAGTTTCTTTCTACCTTCCTTTACTTCATCTGGCTTGTTTTCTTGCATTCAATGTCATTTTATTGTCTTTGATTTCTGTTTTGTTTGGTTGGAAAACCTCCTCATAATGTTTTCCTGCAGTAAGTGTGTGGGGATAGTAAGTTTTTCCTGTCTTGTCCTGGTACTTGGTCAGTGATTGGTTGTCTGTGTATTGTTTATTGTTTTAGAAATTGTTATGCAGGCTCAAAATATTTTCTCCACAATTCTTTGTTGCCACCTAGAATTCCAAGTTAATGATGAAAAGTATGACAGAAAAAAAAAAACTATGACAGCATGATTCTCACTTCCTTTTGCTACCTATTGTTTCTCTTTGGAAGCTTCTATAATTTTTCTCTATCCTTAGAATTCTGATATTTTACCAAGATGTATCAGAGTATGAAATGTTTTCATTTATCTTGTCTGGTATTTGGATTATTCTATTTGAACTGTGCTATGCTCAGTTCAGGGAAAGTTTCTTCCATTTCTGTTTTTTCTTTTTTAGATGGAGTCTCTCTCTGTTGCCCAGGCTGGAGTGCAGTGGCGTGATCTCGGCTCACTGCAACCTCTGCCTCCCGGGTTCAAATGATTCTCCTGCCTCAGCCTCCCAAGTAGCTGTGACTATAGATGCCCGCCACCACACCTGGCTAATTTTTTGTATTTTAGTAAAGACAGAGTTTCACCATGTTGGCCAGGCTAGTTTCAAACTCAGGTGATCTGCCTGCCTCAGTATCCCAAAGTGCTAGGATTACAGGTGTGAGCCACAGTGCCCAGCTCTCATTTCTTTATTATTAATATTTTTTCCCTATTGCAGTGTAACTTTTTTCCTTTCTGGAACTCCCACAAGACAGATATTAGACTTCTTGGATCTATACTCTAGGTTACTCAGTTTTCCTTTTATATTTCCAATCTCTTTATATTTTTGTTTAGTGTTCTTTATTTGACCTCTCTGACCACCCAGCTTAGTTTTTAGCCATGTCTGGGTTATTGGTTAGTAATTCCATTGAGCTATAAAATTTTAGTAATTATCTTTTTTTTCCAAGAACGCTTTTTTAAAAAAATCTGATTACTCCTTTTCCATGGCAGCCTCTTTTTGCCTTATGTCTAATATCCTTCCATGTCTTTCTGTAGGTAGTAAGTACCTTTTTTCCTGAATTAGCTTTGTTTCTTTTAATGTCTTTTCTGTTTGTTCATTTGGGGCTGTGTTTGTTATCTCTTGCTGCTTAACAATTTTTAAAACAATAAACAATTTATTGTTATACACAGTTTCTGTGGGTCAGGAACCCAGGCATAGCTTAGCTGGGTGCCTCTGCCCAAAGGTATCTCACAAGGCTACAATCAAGGTGTTGGCCAGGTCTGTATTCTCATCTGAATGCACAACTGGGGAAGGATCCACTTCCAAGTTCACTCACTCTGCTGTTGGCTAGGTTCGCTTCCTTACCAGTTGTTGGCTTGAGCTCAGTTCCTAAATGACTCTTGGCCAGAGGCCTCCTACAGTGTCTACTTTATTCATGGGCCTCTCTGTAGAGTAGCTCAGAACCTGGCAGCTGACTTCCCTCAAAGCAAACCAGCAAGACAGCAAGAGAAGGCAAGTGAGATGGAAGCCAGAGTCTTATAAACCGATCATGGAATTGCCATCCCATCACTCCTGCCATGTTGTATTCTTTATAAGTGAGTCACTTAAGTCCAGCTCACACTCAAAAGGAAGGCCCTTTTACCTAAGGGGTTGAGTACTAGAAGCCGGGGATCATTAGGGGGCCATCTTAGATGCTGCCTACTATAGGGGCCTTTTGTGGTGAGAGGGGAGTCTGGTTTTCATGAGTGTCTGCTATTCCTTGTTTCTAAATGAAGGATCTTGTGGGACATTATGGGTAGTTGGTCTGGGCTTACTCTGTGACTGTGAATGCTGCATCGTGTAACATGTGTCAGCTTCCTTTTCAGATATGTGGGCAGACAGTAGGAAGGTGATTTGGAAATTCTTCCTTGTATAATTCTATACCCTTTAGCCCACACAGCTGGAAACTGTTACTGGCTACTACCCACTAAAATATGGAAACATGATGGGATAGTGACGTCCTTGATTAGGTTATGTTATATGGCAAAGGAAAAGAGTTACTGAAGATATCATTACAGTCTTAAATCAGTTAATATTGAGTTAATAAAAAGGGTCGTTAGTGGACCTGATTTAATCAGATGAAAGACCTTACAGAGCAGGTGAGAAATGTTCTCCCACTGGCTTTGAAGAAGGAAGCTGCTACGAGTTCTACAGCAGCAAGGAAATGAACTTTTCTAACAGCCTGAATGAACTTGGAATAGGATTCTTGCCCAGTCAAGCCTCAAGATGATAATGCATCTTGATTGACACCGTGATCGTAGCCTCGTGACATCCTGACCTAAAGGTCTAGCTAAACTGAGCCTAGACTCCTAATCCACAGAAACTATGAGATAATAAATATATGTTGATTTAAGAGCCTGGAAGTAAAATACACTGTATTCATTTTCTATTCTGTAACAAATTATCACCAAATTTAGTGGCTTAAGTTCTGTTTTTACAGAATAGAAAATGAATACAGTGTATTTTATTTCCAGGCTCTCTTAAAGCCTTTCCCTTCTTGGTTCTCCCTTGTGTCCACGGTGAATGTCTGGAGTAAACCCAAGCTCTGTTCTCAGAGTCCAGCTCCTTCATTAGAGTTCTTCTTTAGGAAGGTGCCACCCTTTTCTAGAGAAAGCAGACCTTGCACTGTCAGCTGGGGACATGTCATTGCTGCCAGCTGTGCCTTTTATTTCTTATTTTTGAGGGGTGTGAAGAGGAGGAGCCTAACTTCACATATTCTAAAGGTACTTGTTTAATGGAAGATCATAACAATTGCCCTTGCCTACGCTCTGTTGTTTACATTTGCTGCTTCCGAGCTTGGAGACTCTCCGGGCCACTCTTGGTGAGAAGTGTGCTTATGCAAGGTATCTGTATCTGTGGTTTCCTCTACTCTCATTTCCCCACCAAGCTAATTCTGCTTGCTTAGTTTTTCTCTTCATGGAATTTTACAAATTCCATTATATAGGTGCTGAGGATGTCTGGTCTATTGATGGCATATTTTCCTGTTTTTATCATGCTCTTATGGTTTCATTCTTTAAACAGAAAACAATTTTCCTAGCAAAGACCTTGGAAGCGCAGGGAGGGGGACGTTGGTGATGAGTCTGTGTGAAGTCAGCCTTGCATTCCAAACTGGACCTGCCTTTCTCTTTTTCTTTTTCTTTTTTAAGAGAAAAGAAAATACTGCTTTGCTACCTAACACTGATGTAATATATTTGTAACCAATTTGGCATATTTCTAATAAAACTGATGAGAAAGGCAGAATTTTTATAACAATTGCTTTTTTTATGCTCTATTATTATTTTTCTCCCTTAAGTTCTCCCACAGCATATTCCTATCAAGACTCTTCTATCTTTTCTTCTTCTTTTCCCTTCCTGTCACTTGTAATTTCATAGCCTCCCTTTCTATTCTCTTTGGGTAATTTCTCAGAACGAGTGACTTAAAAATGTTGCTGACACGGTTCTTTTCTAACCCTAACAACACGCACGATACAGGTGCTGAGGATGTTGAGATAATTGATCTAAAATTGTGATTTTAGAAGTGTCTTAAGACTTTTAGTTCCAAGCAACACAAACCAAGTAAGCTAAACCTCAAACCAGTTTAGGTTAAAAGAAAGAATTTATTAGCAGGACACTGCAGTATCTCCCTGAACCCCAGCCTAAAATTGTGTTCCAGCGTCATGAGGGCCTGGCACCAGGAACTAGAAAGCTACAGGAGCCCAGGTAGCCATTAACTTTCTGTCTCAGACTTTCTGTCTCTCCTGTCTTTGCTTTTCTGAACATCCGCTTATTCTTTTCTCTCCCGTCGGACTCACTTTGACTGTTTTGGCTCGGATGTGGCCAAATATGGCTGCCCAAAAATGGCAACTAGAATTTCCAAGTTAATATTATTGCAGTTCAAGCAAATAAAGCGAGGTAGAATCCCAGATTCCAAGGGGAAAGAATCCATTTGGTTTAGCTTGCACCAGTTATCTCTTTTTAGGCTGGTTTAATGTGGTCATGAGGGCAGCTTTTGTGGTATAAACATGGCTTGCCATGGCCCAAGTTCCCAAAGAGGAGGTAAGTGTGTGGAAGATTGGGCAGGTATCTCAAAACACTTCCGCTGCAACATTCTTGTTTATGTCCAGCGTGCACTTTCTCATGAGAGAGGCAGTTTAGCTGGTGTTTAAGAACATGGACTTCGGGTCAGACATACCTTAATTTGAATCCCAGCCCTGCTACCTACTAGCTGTGCGATCTGAGGTCAGTACTTCGCCTCTGTGAAGATCAAATTCCTTCTCTGGGCAATTGGGATCACATATCTCCTGGGGTTGCTGGGATTATGAGATGAAATAATGTATACTATATCCTATGCACTCAATAAATAGTAACTATCATGAATTATTACTGTCATACCATTGGGGAAAGATGATATGCATGGAAGAATATCCATTTCATCATCCTGAATGATGCAAGAAGATCTGGAGGCAAAATTTTAGATACCACAGAATTATATCATCAGTAAAAATCTGAGAGTAAGTTTTGTTTTACCATACTTGACCAAAGACATAGATACAGGCTAGGCTGCAGGAGTTAGAGCCCAAATAATCTAAACTTAATTCTAGAATATAATTTCTATTTCTGTTGGCTTTAGAAATAGAGTAGTCAATGATTTTGCAGTCTTAAAGAGAGCCCAACAGAGTTGGTAGTCACTAATACAGACATAATAGATTTTTTCCAGTTAGTGCCTGTTGTAATGGTCTCTGCATTCATTCTGTTTGGGAGCAGGTTTATTTTGATTGGCTAATATCTTACTCGGTGAAATATTTTGAATAGCATCCCTGGAAACCATGTGCCAGAATTCAAAAGACCTCAGTTTTTTTGTTAAAGAAGACACACTACTTTCTTTTTAAAACTATTACAATTTCTTTTGTACTTTTCCCACTTCTATGGTAAGATTTTTTGGGTAGCAAGTATCATTAAGTGAATTCTTAGTAAAGGATATGTAAAATGATTATTTAAATTCTTCATCGTCGAAGGATACCAAATGTAAGCTGAAAGTTAACATTTATGTCAAGTAGAGATAGCTGAACAAACAATGCTCATAACTTCTTTTTCAAATGTAGCATATTATATTCTATATGGAACTCTATATAGTAGAACAATATCTCAATGACTAACTGTGTAATTTTCTCTCAAGTTATGCAGACATTTTGATTGAGAGGGAAGTATTAATGCAGAAGTACATTCATCTAGTTCAGATCGTAGAGACAGAAAAAATTGCAGCTAACCAACTCCGACATCAACTTGAAGATCAAGACACAGAAATCGAAAGGCTTAAATCAGAGGTATTTCCCAGTCAATAGATTCCTTCTCATTGTTTCACGTTTACCGTCATTTCCTCATGATTACTTAAGGCCTATTCAGGGCAACATTTTAATCCCAGGCTGACTTCCTCTGACATCAACACATACGTGGCTGGGCCTGACCTAGACATGAATCTAATGTCTATATTAGGATTAAGTAAATGTGCTACAGGAACATATCAGGATAATGTGCTTTTTTTTTTTTTTTTGGTGGGGGGTGGTTATTTGTTCTCCTGATACCCTTCATTAGCTCAGAAATTCAAGAATTGATTATAGCATTTAACTGTTTTCAGATACCCTACAGTAATGATAATTATGAGTCTGCCATAGATTCAATTAAAGTCTAAAATGACAACTAAGGGAGAACCAGCAATGAATTCAGAAATACTTTACTCTTTTAGATTTGAAGGAGTCCAACCTTCTCCCCTCCACAGTTTTGAAAAGAACATTTGGATTAAACTATAAGACATTTGCTAGGGTGCATTTTTCCCTGGAGTTGGAATTCCTGCCTCCCCCTCCCTCCCTCAGAGTGTGAACTTCTCAGGCCTTGCATCCCCAGATAGTGAGGCTGATGCCCAGTGTGAGCAGAAGGCGGTTTTAGAGTCCACAGCCATGGTGTGTGCCTGAGTCCTCCCTCCCTCCCAGGCCTCAGTCTAGATAGAGAATCCTGAATGTACCTTTCCCGCTGTCCTATCCTTCCTCATGGGCAGTAAGCAATCACTGAAGAATGGGAGAGGAATGCAGAGAATGAAATTTCCTCCCTCTTTCTGCCCAGGGATGCATTAGTATCTTCTGAGATTCAAAGAAGGGAATAGGACACAATGAAACCTACTAGTAATTGTATCCTCATTGACAGAAACAGTTTAGGCTTGTCAGTTTTGGCAATGTTCTTGTCATTTTTATTGTCATCAGACAACATTTTCCTTTTTGTGTCTTGCACCTTCCTCTGAGACATACCCTGTGAATCCTAGGTGGGGTTTTCGCCTTCTGCTCCCTACACACATCACCTCCGGTGTTGAGAGTATGGGTACAAGCGTCCTCCAACAGAGATGTGGCAGCTTCTCTGATGATGACAACTTGCAGATGGTGTTCACCATATTATTACAGTTGTTAACTTCCCAATTCGACCCTGATATGTGATATAGTGAAAACAGCAACAGAAAACTTAACAAACCTGCATTTTAAAAGACTATATCAGGCACTGTTATTTAAAACAAAATTATTGTGTTCTTTCTTAGCCACTGTAAGCTGGAGCAGATGCTTGTCTGCTCAGTGAAAGAGGTTGGTATTTACTCCACGAGAGAAGCTCAACACCAGGCGATGTTCCTCAATATTTGTGTGTGTTTATCTGCCTTCACTATGTTCTATTTTAGTCTGAATGTAGATTGCAGCAAAAAACTGTCAGTTGCAGGTATGTCTTCTCTGGTCTCTTGACAGGAGCCATAATTTATTTCCTACTCCCTTTCTTTTCCCACCTCCTTGCCAGAAAATGGCAGAGGGGTGTATTTGGTACTGGGGACAAAATAGAAAGACAGGCTAGAGAGGGGCAATTATGATCCCTTAACTTTTAAGGTATTGCTGGCTAGTAGGTCTGTATAGGTTCTTAAGCTTGTAAGAGCCTGCTGTTGAGTGCCGGTCTAGAGAATTTTACTGCTATGTGTAGTTGAGAGGCCACCCAGTCTTGAAATGCCCCTCACAGGTCACAGAACTGAGCTGGAGATATAAAGAGATCCCAGGTTAGTTTGATCCTTTTTACCTTTTCTGAGGAATTCTCTTGGTTGGCTTGGACCAGCCCCAAGGCTCTGAAGTTCCCGTTACAGTTGCCATTTTCCTAAGGATGTCTGTGAGTCTGGGGTGCCATGTGGTTTGGAAGACTACAGGCCAATGGCCAGAACCAGGGGCTCTGAGCTGAGTGTCACTGCATGTGGGGACCACAGGACATTGCAGGCAGCCACCTTCAGGCGAGGGGATGGACATATCACTGGACTCCTGACAAGGTCTTGGCGGGCTCACCACTGGCAGCTGGGGCTGAGTTTTGGGCCAACATTTCTGCTAGCCCAGATCCCCGGTCACACTTTACACAGTCACTTCTTATAAACACTTTCATTGGTGATACCATGCTTGGGGTAAAGTTCATGTTTCCCCCATCTCAGCACCAAAGGAAGAGAGTGTGCATAAAAAGTGGGTGTTTCCTGAGGATCTCATTGGACCACCTTTGTAGGCAGAGCTTCCTGTGTGTATGGCTATAATCCAGCATTTCCCAAATCATGAAATGGACCAACTTTGTGTTCCAGATTATTGCTCTTAATAAAACCAAAGAACGAATGCGACCTTACCAAAGCAACCAAGAAGACGAAGATCCAGACATCAAGAAGATTAAAAAGGTAGGGCCTGGAGGTTTCCAGCTTTGTAGGAGCATGGTGACCAGTCGTCTGTTCTATGGTGGTGTCTTTGCCACCCTGTGCGTGAGCCGGGAGCAGCCTTGGTGTTTCTGGGCTATGGCTCCCAGACTTGCCCTGCAGAGTGATCCAGACATGGCTACTCTAGAGAATTTCTGCTTGAGATTTCTTTACACTGTCTAGGAAGGATGCCAAAACCAGGCATTAAGACAATAGTGTTCTCCAGTGGGGTTAATTAAGTGCTGTTCAACCTCTTGATTTTGTGCGGCTTTCATATTTTGGGGGAATATTTTTTAAATTACATTTCAAAAATATTTCTTTTAGCTTTAATCTTTAGTGTTATTTAAGAAAGATTTTTTGGGGGGCATGTGTGAAGATTGAGTAAATCAGCACATCCGCTTATATTTCTGTTTTATTATTGCTTCTTGTTTAACATCCACACAATCAGCAGATTTTTCCCTCTTACTGCCATTTATAATTGCACAACTTTTGCAATGAACCAAATGCTGGCTCTCGCTCTCACTCTAGTCCACTGTGTTTTGATTTGTCATTTAGGTTTTGATCCTATGATCTTGATTGTCTTATATAAAGCACTACTCAGCTTTGTTAATAATAAGTGGAAAGCATCATATTTGAGGAAATTTCCCTGGATATACATCTTCAAATCTTATTTCTTTTTAATTTGTTATTATTCCTCTTATTTTATGCTAATAATCTTTCCCCTTTCACTGTAACAAAACTTTAATGTGCTCAGCATTTACCTGGACACTTTAAAGATGATCAGCAAATGTTTGTTGATTGGCTAAAACACACAGGCCAGTGCACTTTCTCAGGCTTGCCTATTATTTTTCACATCATCCCTATGGAATTCAGATCAATTTTAGAGACTATCATGTTTTCTACAAAATTGATTTTAAATTATATTTTATATTCTTTTTTACAACTTTAAATATTGCTCAGAATTTGAAATAGAAATGATTCTTAGGACTAGTCAAATGTTTTCAGTTTTCCAGAAATAAAAAAGTAAAATAACACTATTCATTTCTTAGAAATTAATTTTTTTTTGAATCAAGCTTATGCTATTGTGTTATAAGATTAATTAGTTTTTTTAAAAAAAATCCCATCTAGTCAGTCTGGAGACAAGATTAATTCTATTGCCTTTCCTTTAATAGTATGTAGTTGCATGTAAAGAAAAAATTAATAAAATTCAATTTTCAGATGTGTGGTAGAAACTAGTCTATTACTAAATAAGTGAAGCATCTATTGGTCGGCAAGCACCCCCTGCCCAAGTAAATAGAAAGGTTTTACTTAACACAAAATCCAATTAAGTTGATTTTTAAAAATATTTCTGTTAAATGAAAGAATACTGATAAAATTTTAAAAATATTTTTCTACCTTCTTGTTTCTTAATAATTTTTTAAACCAATTTTTGTACTTGTTAAATAGGTTTTGAGATTAATTTTTTGTTCTTTATGTCCCATTTCAAAATAATGTCTGCATGGAAAAAAGTGTTAACAATGAATGAATCGTTTCTCTATTTTGGTCTTGGCAAATATCAACCTAATTTTTGTTTACCTTGATAGACTAAAACTTAAAATTGGTTATAATTCATGGAAATTTTTGTTAGATTTCTTCAAATAATCTGAATATAATTTCCCCACATGATTGTGTTAAAATGTGGTTAATTTTTATTGAGGTAGAGTGAGTTTAATGCCTGTATAAAAACTGATAACATGGTGACGACACTGGTAGGCAGGCAAGAGAATTTTAGACATTGCAAAAGAAGGGTCGTTGTTTAATACGTGATCATTTAGAACATAGTGTGGAAAAAATAAAAAGTGTAAGGATGTGTTAAATAGATAATAATGATACTTTGGTAGTGATTTAATACTTTCAATTATATGTGAATTTACAACCTACTTTGTTGCTGAATCTGCCACATCTAAAGTGAGAAACCCTAGTTATCATAAAACAAATCCTAGTTAATTATGTTATAATTTTTTATATTTAGAAAGGACTTTAGATTTTTTTGTTAATCATTTTATTTTAATTTCATGAAAAATGAAAGCAGTCTGGTAACACGAGATTAAAAACAGAGAAAAAAACAAAACAAACAAAAAAAACAGAGAAACACGAGATGGGGTCTTGCTGCGTTGCCCAGGATAGACTGGAACTCTTGGGCTCAAGTGATCCTCTCACCTTAGCCTCCCAAATAACTGGGACTACAGGCCTGTGCATGTCCAGCTCTGTCGGTTATTTTATAGATGAAGAAACAGAGAATCAGAGGTCAAGGTGGTTGCAAGTAATGGCAGAGCCTCTGAGTTAAAGGTTTTAATATATACTTGACTGCTCAGTACCCAGCATTTACCTGGGCATTTTAAAGATGATCAGTAAATGTTTGTTGATTGGCTGAAACACACAGGCCAGTGCACTTTCTCAGGCTTGCCTGTTATTTTTCACATCATCCCTAGGGAATCCTTATCAATTTTAGAGGTTATCATGTTTTCTGCAAAATTGATTTTTAATTATATTTCATGTTCTTTTCCATAAATAAATCACCATTGTAACTAGTCAGATTCCTTTCTGATTTTTTGTTCTGTAGGTTCAGAGCTTCATGCGAGGATGGTTGTGCAGAAGGAAATGGAAGACCATCGTGCAGGATTACATTTGTTCTCCTCATGCTGAAAGTATGAGGAAGAGAAACCAGATTGTGTTCACCATGGTGGAGGCAGAGTCAGAGTACGTTCACCAGCTCTACATCCTGGTCAATGGCTTTCTCCGGCCCCTGCGTATGGCCGCCAGCTCCAAGAAGCCCCCCATCAGCCACGACGACGTCAGCAGTATTTTTCTTAACAGGTTTGACATTGCATAAATCAAAGAGTTATGAGAAAAACCCCTTTGTATTTCCAACAAGAATTTTTACTTAATCTTTAAAAGGGTCTCATAAATTCATCTCTATTAGTTTATGATAGTAAAAATAAGAAAGCTATTACTTGTGTTCCATTGTTATTTTATTTTATTTTATTTATTTATTTTTTTTGAGATGGAGTCTTGCTCTGTCGCCCAGGCTGGAGTGCAGTGGCACAATCTCGGCTCACTGCCAGCTCCGCCTCCCGGGTTCACGCCATCCTCCTGCCTCAGCCTCCCAAGTAGCTGGGACTACAGGCGCCCACCACCACACCTGGCTAATTTTTGTATTTTTAGTAGAGACGGGGTTTCACCGTGTTAGACAGGATGGTCTCGATCTCCTGACCTCGTGATCTGCCTGCCTTGGCCTCCCAAAGTGCTGAGATTACAGGCGTGAGCCACCACACCCAGCCTGCATTGTTATTTTTACATCTTTACTTGAATCTTGGCATCTAATGTTCTTAATTTTTTCTTCTCTATTTGACCTACATTGTCTTATCGCATGGAGATGTGTGTTGGGGAATATAATCACTCATAAACTGAAGAAAATGGAGTGATTATGGGTTTTTACATGTTAATTATACACAAGTATTTTAGGAAGAGCAAAAGCTAAGACAGGACCTGAGAAGCTCTGGTGAATTTATTTGCTCAATAAATCATTAGTTTCCTTACTGCTGAGGATTCATCAGTGAAAAATCAGAAAATGCCTGCCTTTATGGAACTTAAATTTTGATGCAGGAAGATAGACAATGAACAGCATTAGTGAAATAGATAGTATATTATATGGCCATCAGAGCTGTGGAGAAAAATAAAGAAGGGAATGGGAGAAGGGGGTCAAGGGAGGGTTTAGTGTTTTACTTAGAATTTTAGCTATTTGTTTTTGAGTAGATAGTACACTCACATGGTTCAAAAGTCAAAATAACATGAAAACAGCAGTTAGCAGTTGCACTGTCACCCTGTCTCTGTCCACCCGATTCCCCCCACTTTCTATACGTAATATCTGTACTAGTTTCTTATCTATCCTTTCAGTGTTTCTCAATTTTGATCTAAGAAACTATGAATATAG
Organism: Homo sapiens; assembly: GCF_000001405.40. Taxonomy (NCBI): domain Eukaryota; kingdom Metazoa; phylum Chordata; class Mammalia; order Primates; family Hominidae; genus Homo; species Homo sapiens. Next base: position 81,074,570 of record NC_000005.10, read on the forward strand.
AGTCTTATTTTCCCTCTTCTTACACAAAGGCAATGTACTTTAACATGTACTTCATTGTTTCACTTAACATTATTTTCTGAAGATCTTTCCATATTGATACCTAAAGAGCATTCTATTAAAAAAAATCACGACATGGTATTACAATCTGTGAATGTACCATAGTTTTTTTATAGCAGGTTTTCAGAAAAGTTTCAAGGATACGGTGACATTCGAGCAAAGGCTTGAAGTTCCTGGAGGAAGAGTGAGGCAAGCAGAGGGAGCTGTGCGTGCAGGGGACATGGGGCTTTCACGTGCCCGGCAGTCCAGCTTGAGGACCTGCCCTGCTCAGTGTCAGTGAAGGGAAGAGTCAGGGAGTTATCAAGGTGGGACATGGTACAGCCATTAACTTTTGCTCTAAATGAGATGGGGAGACATTGGTCAGGTTTTGAGCAGAGAAGGGGTGTGATGTGACTTCTGTTTTGAAATGCTCTCTCTGGCTTCTCTGCTGAGAATAGTCTGTAGGGAGATCAATTAGGTGGCTATTCAATAAACAGAGTGAGAGATGAGACACCTGTTAGGTAGCTATTTCAGTAATCCAAGTAAGAGATGATTATAATGGAGGCAGTATAAGTAGTTGGATTCTGGGTGTATTTTTAAGTCAGAGCCAGTAGGTGTCACGGATGCAACTAGCTGGGGCCAGTGTCACGGAATTTACCAAAACAGTTGTGGATAAAGCAAGGCAGATTTGTTAGAGAATGTGTGAAAACATGTTGCAAGGGTGCAATGGGCAGCACAGCAGAGAAGGGGCTGTCTGCAGAGAGGCAGGGGCTGGAGGGAAGTTTTATACGGTCGTGCAAGAGCGGGCTAGGTGTGGAAAGGTCATTCCTTGTGCCAGCGGGTTGTGTTTCTCAGAACAATTGTTCATTCTTCTCCCCTACCTGGAGCCTTCCCCCATCGGAGGCCCCTTCCTTGTTGCTTACTTATCCATCAGGACTCAACAGTTGGGATTTGTTGATGGGTTTGATGTGGGTTTTAAGAGAAAGCAAAAAGGTAAGATTGCAACGTTTTTTGGTCTGGACAACTAGAAGGATGGAATTACTGTTTACTAAATGGTAAAGATTGAGTGAAGAACAGGCTGAGGGGAAAAGATGACTTTTCTCTTGGATCTGTTGAGCGTGAGATGCTATTAGCCATCTAAGTGGAGATGTCAAGTGACTAGGGATCAGATATTTGTTTGGAGTTCAGAGGAAGATTCTGGGCCGAAGATAGAAATTTGGGAGTCCTCTAGCATACAGATAGTATTTAAAGCTGCTAGTCTGAATGGTATTACCAAGCAAGTGAGTACAGATGGATAAGAAAAGAGGAGCATGGATATTCCAACATCTAGAGGTCAGGAAGATAAACAGGAGCCAGCAAAGAAGAGTGAAGAGGATCCTTTGAGTTGTCAATGAAAACCAGAAGAGTGAGTTGTCCTGGAAACGAAAGCAAGAGGGAACCAACAACGATGCCAAAAAAGTCAAATGAGCAATAACTTAGAATTGACCATGGGTTTAACAACTCGGAGTTTAATGGTAACTCTGATTAGAGACCAAAGCCTGATTGGAGGCTTAGGAGAGAACAGGTGGTGGGGCGGAGGGAAGAGGATTTCAAAAGGGTGGGTATAGAAAATTCTTTTGAGAAGGGCTGCTGTAAAGAGGAGAAGAGAAACAGGGTGGTACCTAGAGGCAAATGAAGAGGGTAAAAGAAGGATGGAGGAGAGAGGGAATTGCTGAGCAGTAAACTTGCAAAGGCGAAAGTGGACAGAATGTACTGCTCAGGTCAAGAGATTGTCATTAGCTGGGAGCATGGCAGGGAAGGAATAGTACATGGACACTTCTGTAGTTAGGAGGCAAGGACATCCGCTGATGGGGCAGATGGGAGGGAAGTGTCGGAGTTGGAGAAGAGAGAAAGAGGTGTGGAATAGTGATAACTAGGGCAGGGAAGGATTAGTACATGGACACTTCCGTAGTTAGGAGGCAAGGACATCCGCTGATGGGGCAGATGGGAGGGAAGTGTCGGAGTTGGAGAAGAGAGAAAGAGGTGTGGAATAGTGATAACTAGGGCAGGGAAGGATTAGTACATGGACACTTCAGTAGTTAGGAGGCAAGGACATCCACTGATGGGGCAGATGGGAGGGAAGTGTCGGAGCTGGAGAAGAGAGAAAGAGGTGTGGAATAGTGATAACTAGGGCAGGGGAGTAAATGGATTCAGGAATGTTGTATTAATGCTGGGAAGCACTGAGAGCTTGTGTTAGCTTATTAGGCTAGTGGTTGTGACTTTCCAGTGAGATCAGTCAGGATGGTTGCATGTTTTTCTTTAGCCACTTTCAGCTGCATGGATGCAGGTGCAGAGTGGGTGGAGGATTGGGATTAATTAGGATTGGTGTTGTGGCTGCTGTGGTGAAGTGAGAAAAGAATAAGGAAGTTGAAGCTGTATACAAGGAAGAGATTATAATAATGAGCCATGGAATCTAAACTGAGGAAAGAAAGTAGTGCTGGTATGAGAGGTTTTTGCCAATAAAAAGGTGGTGGGATCTGGGGATTTAGGTCATGCTAGTGTGAAAGAATTTTGGAGTCAGGGTTCTAAAGGCAGTGAACTGAAAGATTAGGAGTAGTCAGAGAATGTTGTGCTTGAAATTGAGACAGGGAAGGGATGCAGCTATTGACAATGACAAGGTCTAGAGTACAATCAAAGGGGTGTTGACCGAGGTCAATGGAGGACAAGATCTTTGGAGGAAGAGTTCAAGGTCCTGTGAGGCCAGGATATTGAAATGTTGTTTGTGTGCATATTGGAATCCCCAAGAATTATGACAAGAGTAGTGTTGGAGAAAAGAGCAACTGTGAGCTGAGAGCTCAGATCTCAAGGCATCAGGAAGAGCCACTGGCGTGTCTGTAGATGAGTGCAGAAAGGAAGGGTGATGAGTGGTAGTCTGATAATACGAGATTAAAAGCTAGGCTTTCTTTTGTTAAAAGGAAGGAGGGAGATTTCCCCACCTTGCTGGCAATGGCTCCTCTCAAGTGTGTGGGACATCCAAAGGAGCCTGGGGGTAGCCCTTGATCCTCAGGCAGTACAGCATTCTGGTGATACTTCAGTCACCAAGTGTGCAGTTTCAACAGGTCTGATGGCAGTGGATGGGATTGTGTACTGAACTCTGATAATGAGAGGAACTGGAGAGGGTGGGTATTGAAAACTCTTTTGAGGAGAGCTGCTATAAAGAGGAACAGAGAAACAGGGTGGTACCTAGAGGTAAATAAAGAGGCTGTGCCACATTCTTTTAGGTTGCCTCTGGCTCTTTGTTTCCACTGGATTGCTTGATCTGAATCAGGAAAGGCCAGGTTTATCATATTGTTTAAATTCAGAGTCAAGATATGCCTCTCTTTGGAAGGTAAAGCTATAAGCTCTTCATATAGACTAGCAATTATTTACCACATCTAGACTTAGATGGAGATTTGAAAAGAAATTTTTAAAACTTTTTTATTTTTAATTTTTATGGATACATTTTATGGTTACATAATACATATACATAATATGGAATGGATATATAATAGCTGTACATATTTATGAGGTATATGTTATAGTTTGATATAAGCATATGATGTAAAATGATCAAATGTGGGTAATTGAGATATCCGTCACCTCAAACATTTATCATTTCTTTTGTGTTGGGAACAGTCTAAATCTTCTAGATATTTTGAAATAAGTTATTGTTAACTATAGCTGCCCTATTGTGCTATCAAATAATAGAAGTTATTCCTTCTATCTAACTGTACTGTTGTACCCATTCACCAAACCCTCTCTTCATCCTTTCCTTCCCCACTACCCTTCCTAGCCTCTGGTAACCACCATTCTATTCACTACCTCCATGAGATTAACTTTTTTAGCTTTCAAATATGAGTGAGAACATGTGATACTTGTCTTTCTGTACCTGGCTTATTTCACTTAACATAATGTGAAGAGGTGTGTTTTTAAAGGTGAGGCTTAAAGAAGTTTTATATCATTACTGTTGTTTAACTAGATTCCCTTTACATGCCTTTGAAATTAAGCCCTAGGCAGCTCAATAATTTTGAATTTTAACACAGGTTTATAGTTAAGAAAATGCAATCTTCCTATTTATATACAGAATTGTTTCATCTGTTTTCTAACCATCCAGGTATCAAAATATGAAGGTAGATGTATCCATTAGTTTGTGTTCAACATAGGACAGAGAAATCCCTCGCTGAGTGGAGGGAATTCACTGCTTACAGAATCTGTTGGAAAGGCTGGGGGAGTAAAGTCAGGGAGCAGCCCTTAAACTGTTGACTTTCAGAGAACATAGACTAGATCCAGAGGTTAGGAAACCACTGCCACCACTGCTGCTGCCACAGATGCCTCTCAGACTCTGGAAGCTGGTTCCCAGAAACTAGAATCCTAAAGCTGGGTGCTGACATTGCCCCAAAGCACTCACATCGCCATGACTGACTTTCAGCCATAGGAAGATGGCCCCTACTTCCGCCTTCTGTGTCTTTCCAAGTGCATCTATTAGTGGAACTGAATTTACATCCAGAACCATAGCTGCAAGGGAGTCTGGGAAATGTAGTTTTAGTTTTACCCCTCTCCACCTAGAAGGAGGATGGAATACAGATTGAATGACTAACCTATAATACCTGCCAAAGTAGATTTGGTTGAAATCCTTGAACAACAAACACTACTTAGTTAAATTGTTATAAAAGAAAAATAAATTAGAATCTCATGGAGCCATTTCTGTTTTATTTCGTGGACCATTTGAAATAGTAAGGATTTCTTGATGTCTGTTGTAATGGAACTTGACTAATAACAAGCCAAGGGATCTCACTGAGATGAACGGTTCTGTATTTGATTGTGTCACTGTGTTAGTTCAGAAAAGGCTTCAAAGGCTCATTGCAGTAGGTTAATTCCAATGAGGAGAAAGCAATGATGTTTTGACTTTGGTAATTACCCTTCCTGGCCCTTTTAGGAATTTAGATCCCTAAGTTATGCATCATCCTTATTTTAGTATCTCTGTGTAGGCTTCACTCTTTTCAGAAGATTCTTTTGCATTTCTGTCTTGGGTATCTTGGGAGTGGTTATAGTGGAGTTCTCTCAAAATTTTTGCTCTAGATTTTTTTCAACCTCTCTCCTTCTGTCAAAACTCATTTTACTGACAGAGAAACTTTCTCCTGAGTTATCTAGAATCACATATGAAGAGAAAAAAGGATCATAACTTTAATTTTCTGATTATTGATTGAAATACTGCATTCTAATAGCAGAAAGCTCACTTAAAAATTGATGAAGAAGGTTATGTGACAATGATTTGGTGCTTTCTGTCCTCTAATATTTGAATGTTATATCAGGGTTTGCTGAGGCTGTCATAATTGCTTGATTGAGGATAATATAATCCATGTTATTATTGGGTATAGTTTGGAGGCCCTATGGGACATATATATTATGTATATATTAAGGCTTTAAGGACTCTGGATTTTAAACAAAATAAACACATTATAGCAACTAAATTATATTATTTTTCCTTTTTTTATAGTGAAACAATCATGTTTCTTCATGAAATATTTCATCAAGGACTAAAGGCAAGGATAGCAAACTGGCCCACTTTAATTTTAGGTAAGTGCATTCTTTAAAGGTGTAAGATTTTCTTTTAGAGTGGCTGCAATTAGAGTAAAATAGCTCCAACATTATTCAGCCTAAACTGTTTGCATCACCCTGTTGACCTGTGAGCTTCTGTATCCCGGGACCCTGTCTCCTTGCCTTTTGGGTACTTTGGGCCCTGCCTCAGTGTTACCTTTTGATTCTTTCCCCTGGCCTGTCATAGTTAATTTGGGGCTGGAGTCAAGTGCTGCCCATGAGTGCATTCTACCAGATCATCATTCAGGCATCAGGGTTGCGGCTCCATGCATGTGTGACACCTGGTGCTGGGACCCACTCTTTGCCATTCCTGCCCAGTGTAGGTAATTTACCAAGCAACAAGGGAAACAGCCGTGTTTACTGTTTCTTTGCAGCTGATCTGTTTGATATTTTGCTCCCCATGCTGAACATTTATCAAGAATTTGTGCGTAATCACCAGTACAGCCTGCAAGTTCTCGCCAATTGTAAGCAAAACAGAGATTTTGACAAACTCTTAAAACAGTATGAAGCCAATCCAGCCTGTGAGGGGAGGATGCTGGAGACATTCTTGACCTATCCCATGTTTCAGGTAAGTCACTTGGGATGCATTTTGTAAGTCAGAGTTTCCAGCTCAATGTCACTGATACCTAGCGTGACCAGCGTGAGATGCTTAAGTGTGCCCTGGGAGGAATTATGGCACAGATGTACCATCTGTTGCTGTCTTGAGCTTGACCCTGAGATAAACAAATATTGTGCCACACATTCTCTGTGTCTCATGGATATAAGAAAACCAGGCATTTTTGAAGCAAAGAATTCAAGAATGATTTTTTGAAACGCTGCACAATTTTCTCTTTACAGAAAGATTCCACACAGACCTCTTTCATGGAGTCTCCTCCTCCAGCATGTTTAAAAATATTATTTGGTTTACAGAAATAGGATTCTGTGCAAATGTTCCAGTTTATGCTAGTTGCATAAAAGATTCTTGGGGACGGAGTGACTGCTGGGAAGGTTTCTGTTTTCCAGCCCATCCTCCCTTCCTGTCGCGGTTGCTGTTGAGTCTCCCCTCGGCTGGAGCCCTGGAGAACAAAAGGAGGACCTCCCTGGTCACAGAGGCTGTGGAGACTAGGAAACAGAAGGCACGGGTGGGACCTGAGGACTCTTGGCAACTAGTCAGGTGGCCGCAGGGGCTCCCTTTCTGGGACTAGAGCAACCCAAGGGGTCAAGAACACTTGCATTCTTTCCTGGATCTAGGACTTTACCGTTAAGCGCCCAGAAGTGAGAACCAGGGAGGCCAAAATGTGCATTGAATCTCCTGTTGTTTTGAAAAGTGTCGATTCTGTTCTTTTGGAAGAGCATTGAGTGTTCCCATTGTGGAATTTAGGTGGCTTCTGGCCAGGCCTCCAAATTGTCATGTGGTAAACCGATTCTACTAATCATGTGTGTTATGGTTACTGTGGAGCGCTTTGTCCTCCTGCGCAGGCATCTCTGACCCTGGCTAATCATTTTGCAGCCTCAGAAAGAAATGTGGCTGTGGTGCACAATTGTTTGCCTTGAAGTTTGTCAGTCCTGCTCGAAATCCTGGAAGTTGCCGTAGAAGTTTAGTCAGATTTTTAACCGAAAGGATGCATTTAAAACCACTTAAGTATAGTGAAACTTTATAGTGTTTTTGTTTTTGTTTTCCTTTGGAACTGAATTGTTTGAACTCTTTGCCTCTCTTAGGAAATATTTCACAAGAAAGATTTCAGACTTTTAAAACAACTATCTACATAATTGGAATTTAAGATTTTATTTATAATGAAATATATAGTATAGCATTCTTCTGAGATTCTATGTGAATTTTTGACAATTATCTTTAGGTTATGATTCAGTACCCCAAGTTGTATCTGTTCCGTAACCCCAAGTCAGTTGAATATACAAAGGTAGAGTCGTGAAAGACACATGGGGCATTCAGAGAGGAACCAGCTTCCTACCTGACAGCCCCCTGATGTCTTTCTTCGTGCTATTTAATTCCCTCTTGGTGTGATTTTTTCAGTATTTTGAAATGGCAGAGCTGTACTTTCGCTGTAGATGAGGTGTCCAAATACAGCGAATGTAGGTCCTTGGAAAGGTCTTTGGATTTCTTTAAAATGCTGGGATACTCTCCCACCACCCTGCCCTTCCTCTCCCGAAGACTATGCCTGATAGCAATGACTGAGCATTTTGATTGACCCCCGGGAATTTTTATAATGTCTTGAAAAGAACATTGGACTGGGAATCTTTAGGAGACCTGATGTCTCACTCATAGCATCGGGGAAAATAATTGAACCAAACTAAATAGCTATTTCATAATTTGTAAATTGAGGCAGCTGAGCTGAGCTCTAGTTATCTCCAGACTCTCTAGCTCTCTGATGTGGTGATCCTAGAGTGACTACACTAGTTCTGATGTTTTGGATTGGGTAACTATGTGGTGTTTCAAGGAGCTTGGTGTTAGTCTAGGAGCCCCCTCCCCAAGGATGTGGTGACCTCAAACCTTAGAATGTTGGGTCAGATATTGAGGCTTTCTGGCTTTTGCCAGACAAGTCTAACCAGAGGCTTCAGCTTGTGGGAGGCTTTGATCTGGAAGAAGCCTCAAAGAGTTGAGCCAGAATTGTCCAACTGCAAGAAATGAGCAAACTGAAAGAGCACAGAATTGTCTTTGCTTGCTTCCCCATAACTATTTTGAATAGACCAGGAGAAGTCATTGGAGTTCTGTGCCCAAGGGCCTTATGCTCGTTGGTGTCTCCCTTCTGTCTTCTTCACTTGATGCCTCACTCTTCATCCTTCTCTCTAGAAATAACCCTAGAAAACACTTGGGGGAAATTGCCTTTTCTAGAAGCTGAAGCTGAGAGGTTTTTCCTTACTAAGCTCACTCTCTCCTTCTTGTTCCCTTGCAGTTCTTTCACTAATGAAGTGAAATAGTCATGGAGGTATTTGAATCCCTTGGAGGGTCCGGTTGTATCTGCTTCTCTCTGTATTAGCAGTGGTACTTCTGCATGTTTGCCTTGCTCCCTTGTAAGGGTGGACGCCTCAGGATGAGGCTAGGGTTCTCACTTTTTTTTTTTTTTTTTGCTGGAGGCCAACAGTGGAAGAGGTGACCCTAGTTTATACTGCCAAGAGACCTCTGTCCAGACTTTCTTGAGCCCAGATATGGAGGCAGAAGTTAGTGTAGGGGAAGAGAGAGGAGGAGAGGCAATTGGAAGCCTTTAGCTTGTATGTGTAGAAGAGAGAAGGTGATTGTCTTCCTCCTTCTCGGCCCTTTTTTGAGTTAGTCAGTTGCTGCTGTTATCAAGCTATGTTGAACTATGGAAACATGGAGAAATTGTAGAATTTGGATGATGCAGTAAAATTATCCCCAGTTGAACTATCAGAACAGTAAGTCCAAGTATTGCCAAGAAATTTGTTATGGAAAATAATGTTGTCATTAACATAATTTTTATTTATTAAAGACAGTGGCTTGGCTGGTACTGTTTAAATTGGCTTCAGCTGCTCATGTATTTATTTGGATATGTATGTGTCGAAAGTCCATTGGTAAGCCAATCGTGAAATCTGCTCCTGACAAGAACAGCAGTGTTAGATGTTCTCCAGAAAGTAGCTACTTGCTATTCTATCCACTTATTTACTGTAATTGGAGAGCAAGCTAATTAATGTCTATAAAGTGACAAGTATTTGCTCCATAATTGAAAGCAGAATTATGATTCATTTAGACAGTTCCTATGATTCTTGGTTTTGGGGGAAGAGATTTATAATCAGCTCTTGAAGATACAGATGAGCCCTTTGGAGAGCTGACCACTTCTCTGCAGAACTTCGTTTGCCTGCTTTTTGGCAGTTTCAGTGCCTGTTTGTTCCTTCACCATAAGGCAGAAAGGGCCAGAGACTGAATTCAAATCCATCTACCTGAATCTTAGCCAGCGAGCACTTTAAAAGAAATTTAAGTAATGAGGAAGGATCATGAGAGTATTGACCAAACTCAGTTTTGTGGATTTTCAGTGCATTATAAGTACTCAAGCTTTCCTACACCTGTCCTGTTTGCTATGAAAAATTTTGTACATTAGCTATTGATTGCCTTGATTTTCTTGTGGAATTACTAATTAGAGGCAAACTTTTATCAGTCATGCAATTATGCCAGCGAAAAAGATATTTGAAAGCACACTTATCCCAGGAGACTTCATCAAGTGGGACAACCCTAAGGGCTGTATTAGTGAGAAGTTCATGGGAGAAGGAGCAGAAAATCTCCTCCATATATCCTAAAAAGGGAGGATTCTCCTGTTTCCCACCCTTCCACGATGAAGGGGGCCTATTTGTGCTTCCTGAAGCCTTGATTTGATGACATTCCTTAGGGTGTGATCCCAGAGCTGAAGTTCAATGTCTGTGCTAATGGTGGCTGTGTCTATGCATAGTGTGTAAATGGACACACTCAATAAACATTGGTAAGCAGCCCAATGAAGGCCACCACTTGCACAAGAGCCAATGCAGATCCCTAGGTAGGGCCACTGACCCTTCAGGACAGAATGGAAGAAACTGCACACAGGGTCCTGGAAAGCTGTTGTAGTTTCTTCATTCTCAAAGGTACTTTCAAGTGCTGAGTGAGACCTCAGTCCCCGCAGACGAGAGCTCCCAGGGTGAGTTCTGAGAAAAGACAGTTAGTGCACTGGTCAGAGCTGGGATTATAGTTGACGCTCCCATTTACTGTGAGGCCACCAATGGGGCAAGTTTGGGCAAGTTACCAAACTTCTTCCCACTTTAGTTCTCTATCTGTAAAAGCCTAAAACTTCTTCCCATTTTAGTTCTCTATCTATAAAATGGAGACATAATCCTTATGATGTTAGAGGACTGGACACATTGGCAAAGCCTGGAGCACCCAGTCTAACCCCCGAGTGGGTAATGTTGTGGTAGATGTTCATGCATGTTATTGTTAAAATTAAGCCCACAATAAATAAGTTGTGTCACTAGAAATTAGGTTGAATCTCTATCATGGTTTATTAAGATCTTCCTCTGGTTGGTGGAGTTTCTGTCTTTGACAGAATTCAGATAGTCTGTTAATAAACAAAAGTACAAATAAATAACCTAAACAATACTTTTTACTGCAAGGAGGTGAATTGAGATAAAGTAGAAACAGAAAGTAATAAAGGTGAACATGTCTTCTCCCAAGTTTTAATTCTTAGGGAGAATAGTGCAGTGGGATTGTTGATTTAAAAACATTGCAAATGGACTAATATATCTAAAATACAGACTCAAGTGACTTGATGATAGCTGTATCTGTTTCCCTCTGAACCAGTTTTCAAAAATTATGATTCAAAAGTGTATGATTATGTAAAAAAAAATTAAAGAAACAACCATCTCTTTGTACCATAACACTTCAATAATTTCCACCTTTTCATGTGTTCTTGGTGAAGTCTTTTTTTTGGTGTGCATGAAGTGTGAAGTGTAGTTCATTTTATTTGTATTTCTTTTTTAAAAAATGTGTAAAACAGTAAAAAGTGGGAGAGTAGAGACAAGCTTCTCGAAGCAATGATGGCCCTGCGGAGCATGTGCCCTGTCACCCATCCTGATGTCTTGCTCATACTGGCCTCTGTTTGCATCTAGATCCCCAGATATATCATCACACTCCATGAGCTCCTTGCTCACACACCCCATGAGCATGTGGAAAGGAAAAGCCTGGAGTTTGCCAAATCAAAGCTAGAGGAACTATCCAGGTATGCCAAGAACTTATAACAAAGGCTTGGGAGAGGAAAGCAGCAAGTTAGTCTCTTGTGGAAACCTCCTGTATATGTTCTAAGGAACAAGAAGCAAAACAAATCCAGCTTCTCAGATTCACCTGAAAGTTAAATAGTAGCTTGTGAGGTGATATTGAATCATCATTCACATTCATTTGAACCAAGAAAAATACGTATCTTGGAAAATGTTCTTATAGCATGTGAATTTATGTAATTCAGATTAGGTGTATTTTGGTTTAAGTTTGGAAATGTTCATGTTTCTTTCAGCATTAAAAAAAAAATGATAGCCAGGTGTGGTGGTGTGCACCTGTAGTCCCAGCTACTTGGGAAGCTGAGACGAGGGTGCAAGGGGTGATGATTATTTGACCCCAGGAATTTGAGACCAGCCTGGGCAACATAGCGAGACCCCATCTCAACAAAAAAGACTCTCAGTTGCATTTTGTATTCATATTTGGTAAGAAGCTAGAGAATGTACAGTTTGCATTTCTCAGTGACTTTTCATTGTTACAAGCACTTATTTATGTCTGTGTTACTTTAGCTTATATGGGATAAATGGTCTAAAGGTCTCTTATTTAGTCTGCCTCCAAGAAATGGCCCCCTAATCTCAATGACGGGAACTGGCCACAAAATGACATGTTGCTTTCCTGTTGCACTTAGAAGCAGACATGCCCAGGATGCTCGTAATTGCTGACCCATTTACTGTTTAGAATTATGAGGCACATTGGCTTTGTTTTTGGTCATGACCTGTTGAAGCCTGGAAAGATCCAGCCTATTTCCCCCAAACCCCCGGTTCAATCGATACAAGCTTGCAACCGAGCTTCTCAGATGGAGCTCTTCTTTGCCTACATGCTAGGGCAAGAGAAAATCTCTCTTACTGTGATCCTGTCTGTGTTGTGTCACAGAGTAATGCACGATGAAGTCAGCGACACTGAAAACATAAGGAAAAACCTTGCCATCGAAAGAATGATCGTGGAGGGCTGTGACATCTTGCTGGACACCAGCCAAACGTTCATCCGCCAAGGTAAGTCCCTGTGAAATGGACCCGCGACCTGATGCGCTGTGCGGCTGTCACATGATCTCGGCACACCCCGGAAGGCGTTCTGAACAGGCGTGACGGGTGCGGTGCCCGAAGGACCCCCCCACGGCCTTCGCCGAGGCGGTGGTTGAGGCCCACCTTTGTGCTGTTTCTTTTCAGGGACCATGAAAAACAGCAACACAATCATAGTAAAGCACGAGTGGGGCAGGCAGTTACATTCTGACTGGACGCTCCTCCTCAGCGGCCCGGACATTCTCTGCAGCTCCAAGGAGGACCGGTCGGCCTGGCCCACGGCCGTGGCAGTGCCAAGTGCTGACGATACCCAGGCCAAGGCCCAGGAGAAACTTGCGTTGCTCAAAGCCCTTTCACATAAGACTGGGGACCATGTCCGAAGTGAAAACAGCTGTCTGTTGTTCCCATTTTTCATCAGCACTTCCGGATCCGCCCCACACGATATAATTTGATTCAACTGGTAACTCCCGTTGCCAGATGAAATGTCTCTGATGGACACTTGCCACGCTTTGGTAATGCAGAAGCTGTCGTGTTTGCGAAGTGTGCTTTGGGGGCATCACTCGATAAATTAAGCTTTTGAAGAGTTGAAGATATTTGTGCCGGAAACTGTGGAGAAGCAACAGCCTGACAGTGCCTATTTCTCCTCGGCTGTTATTTCAAAATGCAAGACGTAAACCACATCCCAAGTTATTTTTTTAGTGCTTAGGTCCTCTGGGGGAGGGGAGAATGCCCCAGGCAATTGATTTGAGACAATATATTGCACACATTTATAATTTTGAATTTGGTGAGGAGTGGAATATAAATTTGGAACTCAAATTAATCGTTAATGTAGTTTCTGTTTATAATGTGCCAATACATTTGAAGATATTTGTGTTGCCATTGCCTACCATAATGTACTGCTTAAAATCTCTTTTTACCTCATCAAGAACAAGACAATGTTTTGTGCACATTAATTTTTGCACAGACTACTTTAAAAGTTTAATGCATGCCATTCTATTTTCCATTATTTATTTACAAGGAGAAACCACACATATGTTAAAGTTTGGGAGTGTATTTTAGGAAATGATTCCTTTTCTCATTTTTGGCTTTAGATATTCTTTTTTCTTTAAATAAGGGTGGAATATAATGCTGACAACATCAGGCCCTTGTAATGCCTCCTCTATTCCTCTGCACAGACTGTGTCCCCACATTGGCTTCCTGCCTGCCAGCCTCTGTGCCTTTCCTTGTGCTGTCCCCAGCCTGGGGGCTGGGAATGTCCTTATCCATTTCTTTTGTGCCTGTTGAAGTTCTGCTTGTCCCACCAGGCTCAGATCAGATACCTCGAAGGAGCCTTTTATAATTTCCTCTTCTTCCTCCTCCCCTCTCCTCCAGTTAGAATGGATTTACCTTCCACTTGTTTCCAAGGCACTTTACTCCTGGTGCGTGTATTTCATCCTCTTGCTTGTATACCTCTCTCTCCTGGTTACTGTAAACTCTGAAGGGCAGCACTTAAGGAATTCTCTCTGCCTTACCTTGTCTAGTATGATGCTTTTTGTTACAGATACCTGGAAAATGGGCGTTGAATTAAATTATTTACTGAATTGCAATTATGACTGTAAAGTGTTTTATGTTGTATTTTTCTTGTATTGGAGTTTCCTGAAAATGTCTACTAATTGACTTGTGCTTGATAGTATGTGAGAATGGAGACGAAAGTTTCTATAATGTACAATTTCTTAAAGGATTTTTGATTGGGAAGTATTATAACCCACAAACATACTATATTGCTAAAAAACGTAAACTTTTTTAGGTCTGAGCTTGAAAAAACATTCAATAATGAAAAATGCTGGAAGGTCAAATACTGAATGTCATTTTTTTTCACTGCAATTGGAGAGAAAACAATCATGAACAATTTCTCCCTTTATTCATGCCCATATGTTATTAATTCCTTGTTATGTACCACATGTTTAAGGCACTTCTGTCAGCTATGAATATTTCTGATATTATTATCATGTTGATGTCAATATAATGATTTGCCTTTTAGCAGTATTTTTCTGCATGTGTGGTTTGGTTAGTTGTTTAAGAGTTATACAGTAAAGTTGGTTTCTAAAATTCAGACCTCAATCTGAAATTAGGAAGTAATACAATCACAGACAATTTGGAAAGTTTGCATTGTTTTGCTTTGGTTACTCCTATTATCACTTTTACATAGCACCCTTAACGACTTTAAGACCCATTGAGGCGTTTTCAAAAATTATTATTTTAAAAAAATTTAGAGGGATTCTTATTTTCTATGAAATGGTCTACAATTTATCTCTAAAGGTGTACTAATATTTGTGTTAATTACTTTTAGGGATGATATGTGGTCTATTTCTATGTGCGTGTGTGTGTGTGTGCATGCGTGCATGTGTGCATGTAGTTTCCACCTTATGTGAATTTTTATTCATAAGAACTAGAAAAATACGTCATCCAGATCATCTGAAAGATCACCTCAGAATAAAGGCATCAGCAACTCTTGAATGTTTTTTGATGAGGATTTAGTGATTGAAATAATGAAAGTTTTATTGTAAATGGTTTCCCATTATTAGTCTGTTGGATAGGATACAGAAGACTATATTATAGAAATGGTCTGATATTATCATTGTTTTCTAAAATCTATTAATAGTTTGTTGAATAAATGTGTGAGTGTCTGAGGCAATGATAGGAAAACAGTCTAGCTGCATCACTGGAGGTCAAATCCTGTCTCCCCTACTTCCTTGCTGTGTGATATTGGGCAATTTACTTAACTTCTCTATGCCTCAGTTTCTTCTCCTTAAATTGGAGTTAATAGTAGTAGCTATCTTTTAGGATTGTTGTAAAAATGAGCTAATGCTCACAAAAGCACCTAGACTAGTACCTGCAAGATTATGATAAACTTTAAAAGCCAAGATCCAAATTTTGGAATGACTTCCTATTTTCAATAACATGAAATATGTATGAATATTTAGTAGAAGATAAAGGCACTCTAAGCTGACATTTTGTACAAAATCTATTATGCATTGTGAACAGTGTTTTGTGGAAATGTAAGTCAGGAAAATGAAATATAGGTGACTGAATACAGGACTAAGTGCCTTGAGAATAAGACATGGACCTTTCTGGTATTTTAATCATTCCTAGACTCTAAGTCATGCGCTTTCAATGTACCAGTGTTCTCTGAAATTTTAACTTTGGGTCTAGAGACAGTTATATCTTCTCAAATGCCTAACCCAATAAGCTGGAAATGGTTCTTCATTCTTTTTCATTACTCAGTAGAATTAAGAATAAGGGGCATAGTCTTGAATGCCATTCTGTGGGAATGAAGTGATTGAATTAACAGAAATTTTGTTGGAAGTTGACCCCAATTATTAGAGAGACCGATGACCAGGATGCAAAGAATCATGCTATAGCAATGATCTGATGAATTACTAAATGAATACTAAGTATTTCTCTAATTTGTATTAGCTAGCGAGGAATCCTTTCTTCATATCTCATAGCTGTATTGAAACATCATGTCAAATGCAAGAGAAAATGTGAAAAAATCCTCTTAAAATGCTTTTTCCAAATATGATTATTTCACAAACCATAGTGTTGCAATTTCTCACTTTTAATTCAGATGTATACATTTCTGTATGTACCTAATGTACACAGTCTCCTATGTCTCCCTTCTACTTGGATATAAGGTAAACAATTATAGATTAAGCATATTAGTGTATGGTTGCCAAGGAAACATTTATTTTTTTTGTCTCACAGCTGAAATTCACAGTAATTGCTAATATATGAGCTAACAGCGTATTCTGTAATTTCTTTCTAAATTGTATTTATTTTTATGTATTCTATAATTTCTGACATAGAAAATCACTAAATTGCTAGAAGCATTTACTAACGAACACATTATTATTGAGTTTTCACAGCTTGCTTATAGCCTTTCTGAAAATGACTCCCAGAGCTATTTGTCCACCAAGATTATTTGTCCAAGCCTCAGTCTTTCACTCAGCCCTAAGTCATGGGCCTGATGGCTCATGGCCCCCATGGCAGAGCTAGAACTTACTCTCTTCCCATCTGTCTTCTTTCTGAGTCTTATATTTTATGTGGCTGAATCCCCTGGCTACATCACTCCCTTCTCACTTAGGCATGACCTTAGGCGAGCTACTTGGCCTCAGACCTCAGTTTCCCCATCTGTGAAATGGGAGGCATTAAACCATGTCCTCTGCAAGGCCTCTGGCTTTGATTGCATCCTGAGCCCTATGAGCCCATCCTTCTGCTGCTATGACTTGCTCATAGACTTCCCTAACTTCTGCCTCCTGCTTTCCCCTGCCTCCAGTACTCTATGTCATTCCTTGCTGCCTGGGCTGCCAGCCAGTTTGCTCCCACCCACCTCACCTCCTTCATTCACTCTCCTCTTGCCCATCCCTTCGTGGGAGTCAAGCCGTCTCCTGGCCCATTGTTCCCCAATCCCACACCCTCACCCAGGACTTCTTCCTTGCTATTCTTTAGGCCCAGAATAGCTGCCTACTCTGTGTCTGTCAAGCATCCCACTGCAGCACTCACCAAAATAGACAGTGTGAGATCCAGGCGTGGAAACTTGGGTCTCTTGCCACCCTGTACACCTTTCAATTTCTGTTAAAAAGTAGATGCAATTTGCAACATTCATATGTTAATATGAACATTTTGTGACTCACAATCATAGTTTTACCAACTTACATATATATATTATTTATATGGAGAACTTTAGTGGTCTTTTTCTGCTTATTGAAGTAGTTTGTGCTCATTAAAAAAATCAAGAAGCTAGAAAAATGTATGAAGAGGAAAATAAGGTTGTCTACAATCTCATCTCTTAGTGATGACTGTTGTTAATGTTCAAGGGTTGGATATGCACTTAATGATTCTTCTGAGGGTAATATGAGCCTGCAGAAGGCTGCATTTGGGGTAGGTGGTAGGTTAAATAAATGTAAGAAATTTGACTATCTCAGGGCACTTCAGAAGTCAGAATCAAGAGGTTGGCAAGAATCTTTGTTAGTACTTTTTGGTTTGATATTTAACTTAGATTGGAATTTTATTTTTGGGGTAGGGGGAGGTTGCTATGAGGGTGAAATCTAGAAATAATCAAAGGTAATGTTGGTATTATAAAGTCTGTGTATAGCTTCCCACATTAAATGGAAGGTAGTTTTGCTCCTAGGAGTATACTGGGTATAGATTTTATGTGGATTATTTTCTGTTTAGATTCCACAAATAATTTTTATCTCACATAATTTAAATGTAACTTGAAATAGGTGTCCTTTAAAAATAGTTCTTAGCTAAATTTCACTGAATTATATAATTTATATATTTTTATAATATACATGTATTGTACATTCTATTTTTAAAATACAAGGTAAACTGTATTAATATGCTATTTATCTACATTCTGTGCTTCAGGAAGAATACATTGCATTTGCTTTTTGTTATCATATTATTCTATATAATTATGCAATATGTATGTTATTATTAAATACATAAATTGATTGGATCAGATCACTAAGGACAGATGGCAGAAGTGCTTCATTCTTTGAATTCAATTTTGCCATCTTTCAAACTTATTTTCCAGTTTATAGATGAAGAATCAAGTCTAAAGTGTTTCACAAAAATATTAGGAACAGTTCAGCCCTTAAAATACAATGCATTGTTTCTTCTGCTCAGACTGGAAGAGAGTTACTTGTTCTGATGATGTGTCACATAAATCAATCCCTGGTATTTTGGGAAACAGACCTTAGTGTTTATTGCCGTGGACATGGTCCTCACTTGACAGAATTTTAATTGCTGTGTATTCTTCATTTTTGTAATCACCAGGTTCTCTTATTCAAGTACCTTCCGTTGAGAGGGGGAAACTTAGTAAAGTTCGCCTGGGTTCGTTGTCTTTGAAAAAGGAAGGAGAGAGACAATGCTTCTTATTTACAAAACACTTTTTAATATGTACAAGAAGTTCAGGAGGGAAGCTTCATCTGCTCAAGGTACTGGTTTTCCATAACTGTTCCATTTATCTTCCAAGCACTTACAAGTTATTGAAGTTAACTCATTTGAGACTTTCCCATGCTTGGTATTATCATAAAACAGATTGTCATGATTGCATAATGAGTGAGGTAATGTACTGTTACCAACTCTGCCATTTAATTCGTTGTCATTTAAATTCAAAGTAACAGAAATGTATTTTAAGTATGCATCACCATAAAGAAATACAATTAAAATCGTAACCTGGACAAAATTATATACTGTACTGTATCTGTATAATCATATACAAAGTTATATACTAGTTGACAACTACTGAGCTACAAAAATCTTCTCAAATCACTACAATGTACCAATGCAATATTTGCTAAATCCTATTTTATCTTTCTCTGTACTAGGAGTCAGCAAACTATGGCCCATGGCTTAGAGCCTGTTTTTGTTAATAAAATTTTTTGTTTTGTGTTTTTTTTGTTGAGATAGGATCTCACTCTGTTGCCCAGGCTGGAGTACAGCAGCGTGATCATAGCTCACTGCAACCTCGAACTCCTAGACTCAAGCAGTCCTCCTGCCTCAGCTTCCCAAGCTGCTGGGACTACAGACATGCACTGCCATGCCCATCTAATCTTTAAAAAATTTTTAGTAGAGACAATGTCTTGCTATGTTACTCAGGCTGGTCTTGAACTCCTGGCATCAAGTGATCCTCCTGCCTTGGCCTCCCAAAGTGCTAGTGTGAGCCACTGTGCCTGGTGTACAAGTGTGAGCCACTGTGCCTGGCCTGTTAATAAAGTTTTATTGGAACACAGCCATGCGCATGTCTTTGTGTCTGTGGCTGCTTTTATGCTAAAGTGGCAGATCTGAGTAGTTGTGACAGAGATCATATGACTTGCAGAGCCTAAAATACTTACTATCTGACCCTTTATGGAAAAAGTTTGCCTAGATAGGCAAACTTTTTTATTATTGCTTATAAATATTATTCAACACCATGATGACAGCTTTCTACTGCTTAAGCCACTTCCTGGTTGGTGAGTTCAGCCCTTTGCTAAGGTGCATTACTCTCTAAAGCCACTGTGGTACCATCTAAGTCTCCCATCAGCCGACTTGCTAAATTTTATAAACAACTGAGTGAGAGTGGGTTGAAAGGGAAGGATTTTACTGAAGTTAAATGAGTTCACTTCCTTTTGCACATCTAAGTTTAATTTTGGGCTCTATGAAAAATTATTTATGATGCAGAATTGCTATGCTTTCTTCCATGGCAACTTGAATATAGTGTTTACAAATCAGAGCTTCCCAATCTACACAAGACCTTCAGCGTCTTAGTGAAAAATTGGTTTGTTTCCAGACAGGTGGGGTTCTGTCTCTAATAGACTGCACATTGATTGAGGAGCCAGATGCAAGCGATGATGACTGTAAGTCACCTTCGATCACTTAGGATTCTATTAGAATTAGAGGCGGGAGAGAGAGGCTGAGGATAAACTCCCTAAAGTCATTTATGTATGAAAAATTGAACCATTTAGCCCATGAGCCTTGTTAAACCATCTTTGGGAATTCACATTTTACTGAATTTGTTTTGTGATAGTGACTATTCAGTGGCAGATAGAGAAGAAGGAAGAGTTGAATTAGAGTGTTGGAATTCTATAAATCATGGGAATTTTTTTTAAAAAAAACTATGAAATCAGAAGGAAACCAGGATTCTAGTCTCAAGTAACCTACTGACCTCAGCTTCTTCATCTGCTTATGAGCTTAATAAAGCCCTCTTCATGCCTGAGAAGTACGATATTGCTGAAATGAGAGTCCCGATTTGAGTGCAAATGGATTGTATAAATAGAATAATGTGAAGGCAGCTATCACTCTTTGTTTTTTTGTATTCTCATCTAATTGTTTGCTTTACATGTGTTCAAGCTAAAGGTTCTGGGCAAGTGTTTGGGCACCTGGATTTTAAAATAGTGGTGGAGCCTCCTGACGCTGCCGCCTTCACTGTTGTCTTGTTAGCACCCTCACGCCAGGAGAAAGCTGCCTGGATGAGTGACATCAGTCAGGTAAGAAAGTGGCTTTTGCCAAATTTTTGTTTTTTAAATTTCACAACTCAAACTTTTGGAGATAGTTTTTAGAGGTTTTTTATCTTTATTAAAAAATTACACTCAGTTGCTATGGTCACTGCCATAATCACTATGTATCTTGATAAGCTGTGATCATTATCATTTTTGTTGTTGTTGTTTCTCTTCTTAAGGTTAAAATTTGCCTGAAATGTAGTAATTGGATTTTAGTTCCTGGGCATTTTACACCAGCAGCAAATGTAATCATTTGTGTTGAACAGTATTGAGATTGCCCTGTTAGTAATAAATTCTCTAATGACTCCACTCCATATTTTGCTTATTTGTTTCTGAAGCAGAATAATGGTGAAAGATACAAAAACAGCCAACATAGGGCTATGGCAGGAAATCATGAATTAAAGAATCAAAAGAGACACCGTCTCTAGTATGAAACCTGAAAATAAGCTCCTGTATTTCGTATATTAAAAAATTAGGGACAGAATTTTTACCTTTCCTTGATCAGCAGCGCCAGTTGGGGAATTGCTCCATTTATTTAGGAAATAATATGATTTAGAATATGTCAAAACTAGTCATGATTGGACTTGGACATTCTTATTCAAGCTCCATATGAATTTTGGCTCTGTAGGGGAAAAGTGTTGCTATGTAAGAAAAATATTTTTTAAGGACTTGATAATTATTTTCAAAGTTGTTAACTCAAAGAAACTGGGGCACATGAAAAAGGTATATATTGTAGTTTTCATGCTTTTTTTTGGAAGAGCTTATAGTAATTTATATATAAGACAAGTGGAAACATGAATTCTATCATAGTTATTTGGAACTTAATTCTTTTTTTGAGTGACTGAAAATTGAGGTGAAATAGAAAATGAATGTCAATAGTAATCATTTTTATTTGTCAAAGAAGTTTTACAGACTTAATCTCATTTGACTCTTACAATAGTATTCTGAAGGTAAGCAGAGAGAAATTAGTCCCATTTCACAGGTGAGAAAACTGAGGTCTGCAAAGTTAAGCATTTGTCAAAAGCTGCTCAGCTGCATTGAGTCAGAATGTGAACCTAATTTGGGTCTTTTTTTCTGTTTAGCGCTCTAAACATCCTCTACAAGAGTGCCTTATGCTGGACTTTTACTTATATACCCTCAGGATGGCTTCAATGGCAAATAAATAGCTAGAAAAGAAGCCATTTCTTTTCTGCCTGACAAGGAAATGAAAATATGGGATCTTCCATTTTTGTGGACTTGCATCCTTGTGGTGATTTATTCATACGTTCATTAGCTCTATGCTATATCAATTAATAGCATATTAAGTCTCTCCCTATTTGTAACACATCTCTTACTTTATGAAACTCTGGATCATTCATTGACTCTTTGAACATTTATTGAGGAATCACCATGTGCTGTCAGGTATTGTGCAGGTACCAGGAATACGACCATGGTTCTTGCTCTCAGGGAGAATAGGCAGGCTCATAGGGAGCAAAAGGAAGTAAACAGCTAAATGCAAAAAATTGTGTGCGTGTTGTGAAGCCAAGATATGTAGGAAGAATGGGGAGAATAGGAGTAGGCAAAGGTGTTTTTCCACCTGCTTCTACCTTCTACCTTATGATATAATTAGGGCTCCTAAGATACAGACTTGATAAAAGCTCAGGTGACCTTCTTTAGCATGACTGGGGAGACATTGTTAAGAGAGAAAGACCCTTGGAGTGCGTGAATAATTCTGTGCCTGGTCCTTTAAAGAAAGGCACCCAATGCTTTGCCTGTCACTAGCAAAGGTCTAAGTGAGTCTTTCCCTCTGCTTATACTAGATGTTAAGGTAGAAAGAAATATACAACTTCCTCCTTATTTCTCCAAGATGCTATGGGTATTATGCTGCTTAGCAAAAAAAAATTGTACTAGATTATATCTTCAGTGGAAGGAGGCTAACCAAAAGTTGTATCTGTTTTTTCTGTTTTTTTTGTTTGTTTGTTTGTGTTTTTTTTTTGAGATGGAGTCTCGCTCTGTCGCCCAGGCTGGAGTGCAGTGGTGCGATCTCAGCTCACTGCAACCTCCACCTCCCAGATTCAAGTGATTCTCCTGCCTCAGCTTCCCGAGTAGCTGGGATTACAGGTGTGCACCATCACACCCAGCTAATTTTGTATTTTTAGGAGAGATGGGGTCTCACCATGTTGGCCAGGGTGGTCTCAAACTTCTGACCTCAGGTGATCCTCCCGCCTCGGCCTCCCAAAGTGCTGGGATTACACGCGTGAGCCACTGCACTCGGCCAAGTTATCTTTTTTAGTGATGGGGATACCATCACACAAAATGACTATGGCATTTTGTGGCTTTGACATTTGTGGTTTTATTCATTCAACAAATATATTTATGCAGTGATATATGCCTGGCACTGTTCTAGAGATTTGTGACATATCATGAAGAAAAGAGACAACAACAACAAAATTTTCTTAACCTTTTGTAACTTCCATTCTAATTTGGGGAAGACCAAAAATAAATGATAAGGGT
This sequence comes from Homo sapiens, assembly GCF_000001405.40. NCBI lineage: Eukaryota > Metazoa > Chordata > Mammalia > Primates > Hominidae > Homo > Homo sapiens. The sequence goes on from NC_000005.10 coordinate 81,097,498, forward strand.
AATAACTAAGCATATACTATTTTATATTAGAAGGTAATAGGGCAAGGTAAGAAGGATTGGGCTGCTGAAGGTGGGTGGGTTGGTAGAGTTTTTAAATGGTGGTCACCTCATTCTGAAGGAGACTTTTAAACAAAGGCTGTAGTAGGTGATGGAGATACCGTGTGAATATGTGATGCCATGTGAGAGGGAACAGCAATTGCAAAGACTGTAAAGTAGGAGGATGCTGCATGTTTCAAGGAATACCATGAAAGGCAGTGTGGCTGGAGTAGGGTATGCGAGAGGGAGAATAGAAAAAAAAAGAAAGTCAATGAGGTAACAGGGGCCAGATCAAGAATGCCTTTCTAAGCCAATGAAAGGGGCTTTGGCTTATACTCAGTCAGATGAAAGCTATTAAAGGATTTCAGCAAAGGAATGCCATGAACTGTCTTAGGTTTCGAAAGGATTGCTGTGGCTGCTGTGTTGAGGATGGGCTGAGGGCAGAGGGTGAGAGTGGAAGCAGGGAGATGAGTGAGCAGGCTGCTGCAATAGTCCAGGCGAGAGATGTTGAGAGCCTAGGCCAGCATGGCAGGAGTGGAGTTGGAGATTAGGGATCTGAGCCTGGATTCATTTTGAAGGTAGAACCAGCAGAGTTTGATTGTGGATTAGAGCTGAGATGTGAGAGTAAAAGGGTGAAGGATGACCTCAGAGGTTTTGGCCTGAGCAACTGGAAGGATGGAGTTGTCATTACCTGAGATGGAGATATCTGCTGGGAAAAGAGATTTGGGGGTGAAAAGCAGAAATTTACTTTTGAATATATTGAGTCTCAGAAGTCTGCTAGACATTTGAGTGGAGTTGATAAATAAGCAGTGGGATATAGAAGTCCAGCATTTAGAGAGAGATCCGGGTAGGAGATACTGCATCATTTGGGTGGTATTTAAGGCTGTGAGACTGTTGAGATCGCCAAGGGAATATGCATAGGTAGAAGTAAGAGGGCTGCAGACTGAGAGAGGGGTCAAGTCAGGGAGAATAGTGAAGAGGACCAAGAAGGAACCACCAGTGCAACCGGAGAACAGCCAAGAGGACATGGTGTCTTAGCAGCTGAGTGAAGAAAACGTGTCAAGGAGGAGGGAGTGGTCACATGTCAACTGCTGCCAAAGGCTGAGTGAAGTAGTGATTGTTCTAGTATACTTAGTGATTTTGCTGCTGTGGAGTTTGAATGGTGGGTGGGTAGGTGGTAGGGACAGAGTGCTGTGCTCTTGACTGAGCCTAGCCTGCTGCCCAGAAGCCTGTATCTCAGCTGGCTTTGTTCTCTGCTTCAAGCATTTTCCTTTTATAGGAGAGATTTCGTATCCATTCATGGAATTAGTCTCTCAAGTGTATCTCTGGACATATCCATTATTAATAAGATAAGCTTACTGAATGCTTGAAATGTACTATTTAATATTTTATTGTGTATATGTGAAAATATGGACACACAAATGAACTAGAAATATTCCCAACACCCAACACACTAAAATGTTTATCAAAATACCTTCCACAGATAACCTACATTAGAATTACGTGAGGACTGTTTTTAAATGCAGATTCCTTAACCCACATTCCAGATGCCATTCTAAACTCCATAAGCTCCATAGATCACTTCTGCACAATTAAAGAACCTCTGTCCTGAAGAGTGAACTGTTTCCATCTCTAAAGTCTCCACAATCTTGCCATATAGAAATAATTGTACAGTTTGCCTCTCAGTGTATACATACATCATGTTTGCTTTTTACCTCATTTACTTCTTTCTATATTCCTATAAACTCTTCATATTCATATTGGCTATCTATTATTCAGCTGCATTATATTAAATATATTCAGCTGCATCAATTTACTGCTTTTATAGCTTTTTCTGAATAATTGAGCGTTGAGTGTATGAGCTGTTTCCAAGTTTGAGGATTAATATATAATGAGGTGCTAAACATCTTCATGCGGGAGTTTTCCCCTTCTTTTAAAGTCCCTTGTTGGTGTATAGTTAGAGTATAAGGCTGGTGTAAAAAGCCTGATCACTCTCCTTATTTCATGATTCCTAGTGTGACAGACTGCCACAATTCCTTCAAGAAATATGTAAGTTATAATTTCACTACATCATCAACAAGGTATCTATGTAACTCTCTTCTAAGTCTTGCCAATGTTAAATTTGTCACATTTATCACATTTTTCTATTTCATGGAAAAGTGTTTTTGCCTTCTAGTGGTTTTAATTTACATTTCTGTAATTATCAATGAGATTAACATTTTCTACTATTTCTGTTTGTCTTTTTATACTAGGTAGACAGTAATTCACTGGCACTACCCTTATAGACTAGGGATGTGAACATTTTCTATTTAGATTATGAATATGTTCTCCATTATTTTGTCGTTTTAATTTTTGTCACTATTTTTCTTTTTTCTTTTTTTTTTTTTTTTTTGAGACAGAGTCTCGCCCTGTCGCCCAGGCTGGAGTGCAGTGGCATGATCTCGGCTCACTGCAAGCTCCGCCTCCCGGGTTCACGCCATTCTCCTGCGTCAGCCTCCCGAGTAGCTGGCACTACAGGCACCCACCAGCATGCCCAGCTAATTTTTTGCATGTTTAGTAGAGACGAGGTTTCACCGTGTTAGCCAGGATGGTCTCAATCTCCTGACCTCGTGATCCACCCGCCTCGGCCTTCCAAAGTGCTGGGATTACAGGCGTGAGCCACCGCGCCCGGCCACTATTTTTCTAAATCTTACTTTTTCTGGCTTGATTTGAAGCCACCTTGCTAAGCTACTGTATTGTATTATACTAATCATAGGTAGCTCTTTTTTTAAGATGATAAAGTGGTTCCTGAGTATTGCTACAATCCCAGTTTCCCATAAGAAACTCTACAAAACTTAAGACTTTTAGCTTTGCCAGGTCTCTCTCTCTCTGAAGCTGTAATTTTTAGAAGGAACGATTGCTTGAATGATTAATCACACTCTTAGTTACACCAGTAAGGCCATAATTAACTGTTGGCGCCTCTAGCAAAAAGTGCAAGTGGCTAATGGTCTCAACCAATAATTCTTCCCCTTTTTCATCTATTTATAGGGAACGATTTGAGGCTGAAGATTTGACTATTTATTTCAATAAAGCACATTCATTTGTGCTTGTCTCAGTGTCATACATAATGGTTTATTAAACAGATCCACTGTAATTATGGCTATTAACTAAAATGCAGAATTAAAATTTATCTCTGAGCTTCTTGGTTTGGATAGATGTCCCAAAATATAGACCTGTGTAGACAAATTTGTAGCACACTGGACATGCTTTCTCCCTAAAAATAGTTTTTCGGAAATCAAGAGGGAATTTTCTACTTTAACATAAAAAGGTGAATTAAAAAAATTGACTCTAACCTTTCTTCCCAGTACTTAGAAGTATCAAGAAGGTGGAAAATATGGCAACACAGTAGACCGCTGGTCTTTAAATAGGTACTGCCTTAGGTAAAACCCTGAAAAACTCTTGGTGGAGAAGTCACTCGCAACACTTGTCCAAAGACCAGCTGCTTCAAAATCACTTGGGGCTTTTGTGAACATACGTACTCCCAGATCCCATCCCAGCCGTTACAAACTGAACTAGACTATCTATGATCTAGGAATCTAATTTTGTTATCCTGTTAATTTCAAGGTTTATTGTAATTCATATAAATTCAAGATGACATTAAAGATATCTGAAACCCTGCTTATTTGAATATATTTCTTCTTAACTAAGTGAACTGTATACAGGCACCACTTCTTCCCAACAACCAGGGTACATGCTTACATAACCATAAATATTTACCACACCTTCCTCTGTAAGTCTGTTCATGTACACACTCACATATACCAATTCTATTATAGTTTAACTTTTTTTTTTAGAACAGAACTCTTTCTTCATTGCAGCATTACTCCAAGTCCCAAATGGAAGTAAGATAAAAGCAAAATTCTCTGGTTGAAATAAAATTGGTAGACCTAGAGACTCCAGGAGCCATTTTTTTTTTTCACACTCCTGTTTGTGAAGCCTGGGGATGTCCCTAAAGTCTGGGGATGGGAACTCATTTTGAAAACCATTCCCCTATTTTATATAAATGTATCATAATAAGATCGATCTATCTATCATCTCTCTCTGTCTCTCTTTCTTTCTCTCTGTCTCTCTCTCTCTCCATCCATGCATCTATCCATCCATCCATCTCATGGATAGATTAAAGGTTGTGTACCAATTATCAAAGACATTTTTATATAATTTAAAATATGACTTCATTATATGGCCTTTTGACGTATGGTTTGGATTGAATGTATATTTTGTTCTCCTGAAACTTGAATGAAAGTGAAAATTTCCTTTTATTCCTAAAATAATTTTGATGCTTGACAATGACTCAGAAAGATTTATGAATGAGACTTGACACTGGATAATGAGATGTGCAGAAATGGTCACATAAATCTCCTCTTTTGAGTTTAAAACGTTTATCTCAAGTTCCAATTCTGGTAGTATGGAGGACTGAGCTGATTTAGGTTCCCCTCTAGCTATAAAAACAGAAATGTTTAACATATAAAATCATTAAAATTAAAAAATTTTAATGCGTAGGTATATTTATAGATAGGAAGGGAAATCTCTTGTTGCCAGAAACAAGGGAATTTAAAGCCATAGCAGAAAGCTTGTAAGCTAAAGACTTACAGACTTGGGAATGATTTTAGACTAGCTATTAGTTCCACATCCTAGGAGTATTAACATATAAAGAGGGCAAGAGTTGGCCTAAGGCCCATTAATCAAGTTCTCTATTTAAAGTCTGGGCATTGAAAGGGTGTTCTCTTTGTGAAAAAAGAACCTAAAAAACTGTACCCATTGACCCAAGGAAAGAAATAAAGAAGTTTGTCTTTGTTTTGGGTTCTGAATTTTTAAAAATCTTCTTTTTAAAAATGAATGTGGCCAGACACGGTGGCTCATGCCTGTAATCCCAGCACTTTGGGAGGCCAAGGCGGGTGGATCACTTGAGGTCAGGAGTTTGAGACCAGCCTGGCCAACATGATGACACCCCATCTCTACTAAATGTATGAAAATTAGCCAGGCGTGGCGGCACATGCCTGTAGTCCCAGCTACTCAGGAGGCTGAGGCAGGAGAATCACTTGAGCCCAGGATGTGGAGGTTGCAGTGAGCCGAGATCATGCCACTGCATTCCAGCCTCGGCGACAGAGTGAGACTCTGTCTCCCAAAAAAAAAAAAAAAAGAATGTGTCTGTGGCCTACATATTTGAAATCAGACTTATTCACATGGTGTAAAGTGCCAAACTGAGAAATTGTTATAAAAATAACTTTTGAGTGTTGAAATCCCAAGCATGCTTGCAGCCCGAAACACAAAGCCACTCCATTAGCAACACTTCTACAATCTGGGGCTCGTGACATGTGCTCAAATTAAAAATTACAAATCTTGTGAGTAAATTATGTATCATGAGTGAGACTCAGCAGGCATGGAGAGCAGTAGAATTAGCGCTACAAGAACCTGAAGTAATAGGGTGACAACTTGGAAAAGACCATAAAATAACAAGGCTTAAAGTATAATAAAACTATAAAAGAAAGAAAGAAACCGTAAGGAAAGAAGAGATCACTATGCAAAAAATCCAGGCTGACCTGTCAAAGAACCACGTAGAAAAATCTAAAACTAGAAACTACAGGACCACAACATTACATACTCATTAGAAATTCACTGAAAATTCATTAAAGACAGTGAGTCAACCATAGCTAGTGAGATGATTAAGAGCCAGGTTATATATATAGGTATGTGGTTCTATACCTATATATAGGTATAGAATATAGGTATAGCTATATTCTATATAGCTATAGATAGATATAGATATAGCTATAGCATATATTCTACATACCTATAGAATATAGATTCTATATTCTAGGAAATTACCTCAAATACAGCAAAGAGGGTTAAAGAGATGGCAAATATGAGAAATTCAGATGGAAAATAGAGTTAGAAGGCCCAATATACATTTCTGGAATGAGAATTGCAGAAAGAAAGATTCAAGGGAATAGAAAAGATGCAGTCTCCAGAGAGAAAATGAGTAGGAATTTTAAAAGTGGATGAAAGATATGAATCCTCATACTGAAGAAACATACCAAATTCCAAGCTGCATAAACTCAGATAAAAACCTCATCTAGACACGTCGAGGTAAAACTATGGAATATAAAGCACAAAAAGAAAAATCTCAAAAGGTAAAAAGACAGATTGCCTTTGAAAAATTAAAAGATAGGAAAAAAACTTTTTCACAAGGAGAAATTTGTAATGGTCACTGTATCTTTGTTATAGCAGAAAATGAAAACCTCTTAAATGTATACATATATGAGATTGACTAAATAAACTGTAATTTATGTTTATATAGTGGGATATATAGCAGTTAATATGAATGAACGAACTATGCATATAAATATGAACAAATCTTAAAAGCAGTGTTGTGTGAGAAAAATACAAGCATCTATATAAAAAATTTAAATGCAAATAATATTGTAATTTATGATGGGCAGATACACAAATATATAGTAAAATAAGAAAAGAGGAATGAAAGAAGGACAAATGGATACCCATCAGCTTCAAGATAGTCATTACTTCCAGAGTAGAGAGAGTATTGGAATGGAAAAAAAGAGGAGGATTTAACTGTGTTTATAGTGTTTTACATCCTTAACAGAAAAATGATGATCTGTAGAAAATATGGCAAAGTGTTAATAATAGTTAAGTCTAGTGGCTGGTATGTGGATGGCTCATTCTTTTATGTATATTTGAATTATTTCATAATAAAAAATAAAAACATTAAGATAAATAAAAGTCTATATCTATTCATTTTTGCCTGTATCTCTTAAATTTCTAACTATAAAGTCCTATATTCGTGAAGAGAGAGAGATGAGAAAAAATGAAGACCTCTTCTTTCCTATTTCGTAGATGAATAATTTATTTAAAAAATAAATAGCTTAATAGTAATAAAATTCTTTACTCTTCATTTTTCATCGTTTTTGTGATAATTTTCAGTGTATTATTTCCCCTTTCCAATTCTCTTTTATATAATTTCATGGTTTTTCAAGTTAAATATTGTTCCATCCAAAGTAGTACTCTATGTGTATTCATATTAGGTATGAAAAGCCAGATATATTTTATATTTTCTCTCTCAAATTTTATGCAGTATTCTGACTAAGCTGTTTATATGTAACACTGTAGCTGATCAAAAATGTCTCAGTGTGTCTCTTCTGTTTTTCTCCACAAAGCCTTTCCAGATCCTGGAAAACAGAAGAGACACACAGCTAAACCCTGGATTGGCACCATAGATGAAGGGTGGAGGAGGGGAAAGCACTTGCTTCTTATGTTGGGAACAGGAGAAAAAGTTCTATTTCAGCTCCCTGGAGTGGGCTCATCTCTCACTCCTTGGCACTTGGGTTACACATCGTGGCTTGTGGACTATGGAAGCTGACTGTCTTCCCTACTCCTACTTTGAACCCTGCAGAGTTTCCTGGACAAGTGAACTGGGCAGATTGGTCTTGAGACCCCCTTCCTCTTGGTTCCCTCTTTCAAAAAGCAAAAACTGCTTCCCTTCTTGTCTCTAAGAGGAGGGAAGTGGACAAAGTCAGCCCCCAGAGAACTGCATCTTAAGATACCCTGATTGTGGGTATCCTGTAGCTTTGATGGGCTGCCAGGTAGCTCTGCCCTTCCATTCTCTGACTGTTAGTGCAGGTAGGATGACAAGCCCTTTGAACTCATCTCCAGTGGTGCATTTCCTGGATTTTCAGACCCAATTCCTGTATTCCCCAGGGGTTTGGACTATGAATCCCTAAGAAACAGGTTAAATCTCTGCCTTCTGACCCCCTGTCCAGGACGAGACAGAGATGCTTCTTTATGACCCAGGTCTGTGACTCTGGCCACCTCCAGCGCCCGTCCCCACCTTGTCTGGGCTCCACTTAAACAGTGTGGTTGTCTCTGGAGCTGTGTGGGAGCTCTGGGCTGAGTTTAAGTGGTCTCCCCATTACCTCACCTCTGTTCTTGATGGTGCAGTCATTCTAAGGCTGTTGTCTCAGTAACTATGCCATTTGCTTAGAATATTAAAGGAAATTGAAGGAACATTGTTCATTTCCCACAGGTCTCACCAAACACCATGTCTACTTTCCCACTTCCTGTGTTGGTTACCCAAGGGGCTTCCTCAGTGTGATTCAGAAACACTGAGAGTGAAAAGAAGTCTAAGGAGTAGCTAGAAAGGTCGCTGGGTGAAGGAGCACTTACCCTTGTCAGTGTGCAACCCCTCTCCCCATCCAATCCTTTTCCTCATTACCCCACCCCCTGACCCCGCCACATAGCTTGGGAAGAACAGGGATGATGTTAATCTGTTTTGTCCCCATCAGGATTAGTAAAGTGAATTTGAAGTGACTTGCCTTACTCATCTTCAAACTCTTTCATATATTACTTTTCTTCTCTTTATCCTCATTTCCCAGTACTTAGCCCAGTGTCTTCACATAGTAAGTACTTGATAAATGCAGATGTAAGACAGCCATTTAGTAAAATCCCAATGCTGTGTAATCAATGCATCTTCTTGGTGCTCTTGAGAATTCAAAACATAGACTGTCTAACTTTGTTTAAACTCTGGGTGATTCGAAAGACATTTGGCTATGTTTTTTTCCTTTTAAATATATTTGCATCAGAAAATTTAAAATTGCCTTATAACCATGGCCATCTTTGATTTTACCTTGTTTTTTTCTCTTGCTTTTATTCAGTAGTTCATCAATTTTTATTATTCCTTTCTTCAAAATATGTATGTCCACCCTTTCCTCTTCATTCTCACAGTCTGCCTTAGGGGAGGTATGAATCATTTCATTTACTGATTCAGTATTATTCTGATCATCCCTTGGGTCTCCATTCATTCTCCCCTCGTTTCCATTGAACGAATACCACCATGAGGTCAGTTTAGATCTTTCAGCGTAAGTGAGCTGCTTAGAAACCCTCAGTGGCTTCCCATCTGCCTATAGGATAAAATTAAAATTCAAGACTCCTTTCTCTATAGCCTGCCTCCAACTGATTTCTCTGTCCTCTCTCTTACTTTCTTCTCCATTATGAATGCGTGCACCAGCCAGCCCCATCTCTTCATTCTTCCATGTATGTTCCCACTTTGAAACAGGGCCCTTGATGTGTATTTTCATCAGGTCCTGACAGAACTTTCCCATAGAGAGGTAGTGTGGCCTTTCTTGGGGCACAAGAGGATATCCCACTTACTGGCAGCTTGGCTTGCTGGTTGAAACACTGACTCTACATAACTGGACACACAGGATGCAGCAGTTTCAGGATTTCTGGGAAAACACTATTTCCAACTTCCTGATGCTCACGACTTACACGAACTAGGATAAGAGAAGCAGCATTTCTTCAGTGTGAAGAAGAGCAGCCCCTGCTTTTTTCTAGAAAGTGTGAAACCTGTGCTTGCAACCAGACCAGCAGAGGAAGGATGGGCCTCTGAGTCACATTCTTTGGGGTCCACTACAGGGTTGTGTGTTTGGAATTGTACTTTCAGCTGTTTATACAAAACAGTTTGCCAAAACTTGTAGTTATTTAAAGATATTGTTGGCCAGGTGCAGTGGCTCGCACCTGTAATCCCAGCATTTTGGAGGCGAAGATGGGAGGATCGCTTGAGCCCAGGAGTTCAAGGCCAGCTTGGATAACATAGCACGAACCTGTCTCTACAAAAAAAAAAAAAAAAAAATCTCACTGTGGTAGCACACACCTGTAGTCCCAGCTACTCAGGAGGCTGAGGTAGGAGGATCACTTGATCCTAGGAGTTTGAGGTTACGGTGAGCTATGATTGTGTCACTGCATTCCAGCCTAGGCAACAGAATGACAGTGTCTCTAAAAAATAATAATAATAACAAGATATTGTTGAGGACATTGTTCACTACATTATTCAATATTTCTCTTGATGAGAACCCATGAGATAATTGTCCTGTCTGGTCCTAGACCAGGATTAATTGACTTTCTACTAAACTGTGAATTTCGTAGCTAACACTGAGTCCCTCTTTGAGTTGACTACTCCACAGCCCTGCTAATTTTGAGGCTCACTTCTGGCAAGCGCTCTCAACATAAAGTATGTGTGGTGGTTCCATTTCAGGCTTCGTCTTATTGTTTGCCATCCTTTATCTAAATCATCTCTGATTTTCTCACTTATCTTGACTCTGTCTTATTATATGTGTTTTTGTAATCCACTCGTGGGATAAGGTGGAGCATAAATTCACATATAAGCAAAAATGGCCAAATTTATAGGTAGATGATCATAATTATTTATATGAAAATATAACTCCAAATTACTTCCAGATGCTGTAGCTTAAGGAAATATATTGAAGGGGAGCTTAAAAATATTCTACTTACTTGCCACAAGTGGCATCCTTTATGCTTTGTAGTTGAAATAATGGCATAAGACATGAGGAAAACAAAGTTTTAAGGAAAAACAAGTATGAAAATGGCTGAAATACTAAGTAGACTGAATAGTCAGAATTCCAGTGATCTAAAGTTTCTTACCGGCATATTCACTCTTTTATTAGAACATTGGTGTTTAGGGTAGACCCTGAGTTCAGGACCTATGTGAGGTCACGTTGCAATCAGCTTCACTGCACTATTTAATTATAGCCACAAAACACTATATAGTATCATAGCGACTAGAAGCTATTTTTTATTTTAAAAATTGATTATATTTTTTCATTTTCCTGTTTTGTTCAAAGGGAATATGTATAAGTCAAAATAAATTCTTCTCTAACCCAAAATAATTACAGAGAGAAAACGCAAATTGATAAGGCATAGATTAAATAATGAAGGCAGAGAAAATTAGCACAGCTTCCTGAACTCTCCTCTTGGAAAAGAGAAAAAGATGATACAAGGCTTTAAGCATGCCAGAGACAGGAGAAATTACACACTGTCCCTTCACCAAACAGCATTAGTATCAGTAGGGGCTGCCAGAGGTACTAGTAAAATGTGGGAATTTATTGGCAAAGAATACCTGAGAAGCAGAGGCAGAGCTTACTAGTGAGACAGAAGATGAATTCCATCCTAGGAAGCCACTATTTCCAATCTGACTACTCTACACCACCCCCTGGTTGCAGAAAATGAATATAGCAAGAGCAATCATGGTCAGGTCCCAATCACCTCTCAAATAGCATTGGAGCTGCCAAAGAATTGTGACAAAGTGACATTGTGGTCAGAATTCTTGGGAAACACATTCAGGGGAAGTACAGCTGTTGTATCTGTCCTCAGGTATTTGTCAGGCATTTAGTTGATACAGTTTTGGTGTCTGAATACTGAATCTGTTCATCAGTGTATAATATTTACCTACTCTGTGTGTGTGTGTGTGTGTGTGTGTGTGTGTGTGTGTGTGTGTGTGTAAGAGACAGGGAGAGAGAAATTGAATGGATTCTTTTAGCTATAAACAATTGTGGGAATATATGATCTGCCTAGGCTTTCATGTGGGTTGTAATTGTCAACTTTTTATTTCACAGTGTGTGGACAATATACGATGTAATGGTTTAATGACTATAGTGTTTGAAGAGAATTCCAAAGTCACTGTGCCACATATGATTAAGTAAGTGTGAGAATCCTTTCCTTTACATTTTAATCAAGATTAAATTGGCGGAACATGTAAAACCTTGAATAAAATACTGTGTCAATAGAATTCTGCTTCTTGTTGAGAATATGTTTCTTGACAGGAATGCAGTGATTCATATGATTCCATTATAAATGAGACTATCAAAATGGTTTTTCACATTCACAGTTTATTAACTCATAGCATAGAAAAATTGTTTTTTATACTGTTACATATGTCTTCACTCAGGACAAAATCCTAAGATGTTCAAGTTCCATATAAAAATTAAAATAATAGGCCAGGTGCGGTGGCTCACGCCTGTAATCCCAGCACTTCGGAGGCCGAGGCGGGTGGATTACCTGAGTTCAGGAGTTTGCGAACAGCCTGGCCATCCTGGCCAACATGGTGAAACCCCATCTCTACTAAAAATACAAAAAGTTAGCCGGGCATGATGGCGGACACCTGTAATCCCAGCTACTCGGGAGGCTGAGGCAGGAGAATCACTTGAACCCAGGAGGCAGAGGTTGCAGTGAGCCGAGATCACGCCATTGCACTTCAGCCTGGACAACAGTGCAAGACTCCATTTAAAAAAAAAATACCAACGAAGACTTCAGTTTTGTGCCTGATCAGTTGTTGCTGGCACCCAAATGCATCTTTTGTCCCCCACTGTGGCAGTTTACCAGTGTCTACGTCCAATCTCATTTGTGTAACCACTTACATACAGACCAGGACTTTTCTGCCTTTGGGTGCACAGAGGTGACACTTAATGAACTGGAATTGTTCTCCTGTTAGGACAGAAACCTGTATCTTGGACTGTAAAGATTTTCTATTAAATCCAACATATCTATAGTACACTAGATTTATTCCCAAGGCAGAGTGAAGTTTTATGTATATACTACTATTTTTTCCCAGCCTTATTGAGCCTGATTATCCTCAATCAGAGGAAAGAGATTTTTGCAATCTCTGTTCCTTCTGATGGCTCTATTCTTCCCTGAAGTTTGTATTCCTCCCTATGTATCTATTTCCCTATCTATAAACTATGAAGAAAAATCCCAATGTTTCTCAGAGTTAAAAGAAAAAAAATTATCTTATTGTAACTGTGTCTTCTTACTGACAGGGCGTCACTTTGTAAGCACTCACTTCCTTTTAAAACTTACCAATTATAATAGATGATTTGGGTTTGATCTCTCAAGATTGCTTTTTAAGTGTTTACCAAAAAGGAGTTGCTGTTATCATAGGAGACTTCAGTAATGTATTATATTTTTCTTGAGTGTCTCTTAGGAAATAAAGTAAGATTCTACTCAGTGTAATAAAAGAAAGCTAAATAATTTCATAATATTTAATTTCTTTACTTAAAATGAAAATGTAATCACGATTTTGAAGGAAAGTGGTGTAATTAGTCAGTTTTATTTTAATTTCATGCTGGCTTCAACACATTTTTTGTCCTAGTGTTTCAAATAAGCTAATTATAGTCAAAAGATGCAAAGCTCAAAACTACAAATAGAATGTGAAAATCATGACGCTTATTAGGTGAAAATATCCCTTTATAGGGTATGTAGACTATGACTTCTTTTAATAATACTTGATCTCAACTTTCTTAGAAATTAGAGATTTTTTGGTGGAAAATGATGGGATAACAAGTGATTATCTAGCTCAGCCATCTTCTGGACAGGGTGATGAATTCATAAAATTTTCTCAGATCTTTTTACGAATGAGCAAATTAAGAACCAGAAAAATAAAGTTGGTTGAGGGACACATAGTGAGTGGAAGAAAGAGCCTTGTTATTTTCAAGAATCTCAAAAGATGCACTTGGGCATTTCAAGATCAGTAATGTAACTCAAGCTAACGGGCCACCCCAGTCAGCTCCTTGGCAGGGTGAAGCTGCTCATTGAAAATGCTCTTTCAGGCCTGCAGATGAAGTACTTCCATCTGCACTGAGCATACTTTGGGCTGGGATGTTTCTAAGAGCAAGCTAAGAAAGCAGTTGATTCCTTTTTATCCGAAAGAAAATAGATATATAATTTCAAATCCCTCAAAGCGCTGAAAGGGCTAATTAAAGGCATTCACAACTGATTCTCAGCCAACAGATTCTTAGCAAGCAATTGGCTCACTGAACGTCACTGACCCTACCCTGTAGCATATCCTTTAATCAAGTGGTGAAATTCAGGACTTCATTGATCGCCGGTCCTGAAATGCTGCAGTGAAGGTGAACAAGGGATCTCAGAAGGGGAAGTGAAAGCTACTGGTGGTCCTCGTTGTCCACTTGGAGAGGCTGCCAGTGCAATGGTCTGAAGGTGAGGGGTTCGGGGCAGCCAGATGGGAGGTTTTACAGAATGACAAAAGCAGTGGATTGCAGGATGGCAGTGGTAGGTGCTATTCAGGGGAATATCTTACACCCATTACTTTTTTTTAAGTGAAGACATTTTTAATACCACAGAATTTTGAAAACATAATAAAAACATAACATGTCACACTTGCAACTTATGGATTACACAGTATTCAGAAGATAGATATCCTTAAAAGGCATTAATAAGCCAGGAAGAATGAAATAAATGAATTAGGCACTCAAATCAGGAACTTAGAAAAAGAATGAGAGACTAAACTGTAGGAAAGTGTAGGAAGGAAATAAGAAGAGACATTAATACAATATAAAAAACAGTAGAAGGGGTAAATAAAAAGAGCTGATTCTAGAGAGCAAAATACCTAACCCTATATCCATCAGTTTAATCCGAAAAAAATAAAAGGGGAGGGGTGAGGAAAGCACAAATGTACAAAATTAAAAGTCAGGAGAAAGAAATAACTGCGGATATAGCAGTGATATCTGTGTCCCCCTGTTTGGGAGGTGTCACCCACTACTTTTTATGCACACTTTTGATATTTTGCTTTAAGGGCATAAGCAATGCTTTCCCCCACTCCTAAAGAGGGCTTTTGGCTTCATCTTCCTAATAAAACATGACTGAATTAGAGAGAAGGAATCCACAGAGTGAGACAAATTATTATTTACCTCCTCCATTATTAATTCTGGCTTTCCAAAAACTTGATATTTTCATAGCCCTGCCTATGCCTATATGTCTATATGTCATATAGACATACACAATCAGCCCTCTACCTACCAGTCAACCGCAGATCCAAAATATTTGGAAGAAAGAAAAACAAAAAATAGCTATACAACAATAAAAAATAATACAAATTTTTAAAATACAGGATAACGTTTTACGTAATATTCACATTGTTTTAAGTATTGTAATCTAGAGATGATTTAAAGTATACAGGAGGATGTGCATAGGTTATGTGGAAATACTATACCATTTCATATCAGGGACTTGAGCATCTGTGGATTTTAATATGGTGGGGGGATCAAGGCACCAATCCCCCAAGAATACTGAGGGACAACTGTGCAATTATCTCTCTCCTATCAAATGCAGTGAGAAGCCCACTCCTGAGTGTGTGATTACAAACGCTGAAATATTCAGTGGCCGAGGGGGAAGCCTCCTCCTGGTTTTACCATCATGTTCCTGCCTTTGCACGTAGGTCTGATGCCCGTCTTCATAAAGACGACACTGACATTTGCTTCAGTAAAACACTCAACTCCTGCAAAGTGCCCCAGATCCGTTATGCCAGCGTGGAGCGCCTCTTGGAACGACTGACAGACTTGCGGTTTCTTAGTATTGATTTCCTCAACACCTTTCTGCACACCTATCGTATTTTCACTACTGCCGCTGTGGTGCTGGGGAAACTCTCCGACATATACAAGAGGCCTTTCACCTCCATCCCTGTCAGGTACACCTATTGCTAGAGGTTAGCCTGTCATTCGCATATGGCCCTCTTCGTTCCGGAGTCACCATGAGGATGAGCAGGCCAGCTCTGCAAAGCAGCTCCTAGGGTGTACTAGCTTGCCTCTGAATGTACCATGCCCCTCCAGCAGAAGGCCATATGTAAAGGTCACACAGAGTTCCCCAGGCACGAAGTTGAAAACCTGAAATTTCCAGTTGGCCTTTGCTTGTTCTGTGATTATTTGTAAACGAACTCCATTGCTTTCGGCTTTTCTTTTTTCTTTCTTTCTTTCTTTTTTTTTTTGACAATTATGATTTTAAAACTTTAATATGCATAAGAATCAGTTGCGTGTGGTGTGGGGAGGGTGTCTTGTTAAATTGCTGGCTCTGATTCAGCAGGCCTGGTGTGGAGCCTGAGTTCTGAACGTCTAACAAGCTCCCCAGAGATCTCAATGCTGCTGTTTGGACCACAGTTTAGTAGCAAGGGATTAGACGATGCCTAATAAGTGTCTGTGCTTCTTTGGCAGGTGGAGGGTATACATGTAGCATTTAGATTAACGGAAGTCCAGCAATAGAAGTGCAATGAGATTGTGACCTATAAATGAAGGGAACATGTTCTTGAATGACATCTGGGAATTCATTTCACTTGGCTACAATCTCTTAGCCACTTTTGCTCTCATTTTTAGGTCATTGGAATTGTTTTTTGCTACCAGCCAGAACAACAGAGGTGAACATTTGGTGGATGGCAAATCCCCACGTCTGTGTCGCAAATTCTCTTCCCCGCCACCACTGGCTGTGTCCAGAACATCTTCCCCAGTGAGGGCCAGAAAGCTGTCTTTGACTTCTCCCTTGAACTCAAAGATAGGAGCATTGGACCTGACAACTTCCAGCAGTCCCACCACCACCACCCAGAGTCCCGCTGCGTCTCCACCACCACACACTGGTCAGATACCACTGGATCTCAGCAGAGGCCTCTCTTCTCCAGAGCAAAGCCCGGGAACGGTAGAAGAGAATGTCGATAACCCACGCGTGGATCTGTGTAACAAGCTAAAACGAAGTATTCAAAAAGGTATTATCTAGCACATTTGCATAATTACACCCCACATTTGCTGGCCGCCTGCCTCCTCACCCTTCCTTTTGGAACACTGGTTCCCTTTCTTTACAACTGTAATACTTCTGCATAGAAAGTAGAATGAGCTCAATGGTTAGTTAGAAGAGAAAATTCCTGTAGATTCTTCTGGCCCTTCTGGAACAGAAAGCAAGATTAGTTGTCCTTATGCCCCTGTAGTAAAAGGCTTATTGTGGTCAGTTGTCTATGGGAGAATAGCATATCTGAATGGTATTGCTAGAGAGTTCTTGGAATTTGGTTAAGACTGGTTGGCTGAAGAGCCTAGCATGGTGCTTTGCACACTGGGAGGTTGTGGGTACCCTCACCCGTGAGCTCAGGCTGCAGAGCTTTCTCCTCCTCCCTTATTTGCCTTAGGTACCTGTGTACCTCCAGCCTTTCCCTGCTGAGGATGAGCTAGGCTGGAAGTACCACAATGGCTTCTTTAGTTTAGTTATGAGGACAGTGCTCCATGTTATAGCAGAGGTATAGGAGAGAAACCAAATTGGAGACAGTGTTAATTGCTTGTGACGTAGCCAAAATAGTTTTTTTAAAATGTTGATTAGGTCATAGGGTTTCTGGCTTCAATTCTCTACTGACTTCCTGTCACACTTAGAATAAAGTACATTCTCCCTGCCAGGGCCTTCAGTTCTGTGAGACATGGATCCTGTCCCCCTCTCCAGCCCCTGCTCCTGCCACGCTCCCTCATCTACTAGGCTACTGTTACATTGATTTCCTTTTTGTGTCAAAAGCATTTTGGTCTTTCCTGCCCCAGGGTCCTTGCACTTGTTCTTTCCTCTGCTTGGCCACTTTTGCCATGTAAGCTCCATGAGATCAGCAGTCTGTCTTACTCACCTCCATACCCTCAGTGTCTTGGCCAGTGCCTGACAAGTAGTAAATTTTTGTTAAATGAATGAATGAAATAAAATATACAGTGAACTGATCGAGGGTCCTCTCTCCCATCATTTTAGCTTTCTCAGCTTGGTACGGTGTAGGGTTGGAAGAGGTGATTCTTGTTGCTTTTAAAGTCCAATGTTTCTGTAATGAAAATAAAAATGATTCACAGTGAAATTACAAACAGCTTTTAAAAAACTGTATAAGAACTGACTTATTGATAATATAATAAAAATTGGGCAATAAATCAGACAAAGTGTCCAATTTCAAGGTGGATTGCCCAGATGGATGCATAGAGGCTTGCCTTTCTACCTGCTTGAAGCTTCTATGTGCTTCTAGCTCAGATCATTTAAATAAGCTTCCTGAGTGAAGTAGTTAATGGAATTTTAACTGGAGTGGTTGTCATAATCAAAAGTTGCACTCTTTTAAAGTCTTTAAATTGACAAGTTAGCAACTAAGGAGGAGGAAAGGGAGAAGATAATTAAAAAGTCATTAGAACAACAAGCTTAAGCAAAATCATGATGGATTCTTATCAGGAATAATGAGGCAGCGCACAAGCTGACAAGTGCATTCAGGGTTGCACCCAGCGCCAGTGCTTGGGAAACCCTGTGGAGGGAATGACTGGAATGGGGCATGGGGGTATGGGAAGTACAGGAGCTTTCAGATCATGGCAAGTTTTTTCACCTTCTTTACTGCACTGCGGTAGATAGGAGAGGAGAAATCTGGAGATAAGTCGGGATTCTCTCTTTCTCTCTTTTTATTTTGTTTTATTTTGTTTTTGTTGAGGAAACCTTTAGGAACAAACATTTCAGTGTCCAACACCAGTGGCTTGGAGGCTGTGGTTTGATTGCTCATGGGGCTGGGATGAGGATACAGTAAAGTCTGTTCAAGAATCATTGAGTGAGCCTCTTCTCTGTGCAGGATACTGTGTGTGCTAGAGTCCACAATGGTAAATAGCACCTTCACTGTCATACTCTAGTTATGTGGATAATACAGACACAACATAACTATATGGGCAAGTGGTATAAGAGGTGTAGATAGAGTGCTCTGGAAGCTGAAGAGCAGGGAGATCACATCTGGTTGAGCAGAATTAAGAAGTGTCTTTGACATGAGCCAAAACATATGTGGGTTGGAAAGAAGAGATGGGAGAATTTCTGGGCAAAGAGAATATATAAGTAAAGGTGTGGTGGTAATCACTAGTGGTGAATGCCATTTCTTTTTTTTTTTTTTTTTTTTTTTTTTTTTTTTTTGAGATGGAGTCTCACTCTGTCTCCCAGGCTGGAGTGCAGTGGCACAATCTTGACTCACTGCAACCTCTGCCTCCCAGGTTCGAGCTATTCTCCTGCCTCAGCCTCCTGAGTAGCTGGGATTACAGGCACGCACCATCATGCCTTGCTAATTTTTGTATTTTTAGTAGAGACGGGCTTTCACCATGTTGGCCAGGCTAGTCTTGAACTTCTGACCTCAGGTGTTCCACCCGCCTCAGCCTCCCAAAGTGCTGGGATTACAGGCATGAGCCACCATACCCAGCCAGTGAATGCCATTTCTGCAAGTATCACAAGCATCACTGCTTCTGAAAGGACAGGCTTTGTCCTGTTTTGACAGCATGGGCAGCCCTGTAGAGCAGACCTTGTTAGTAGTCCTCTTAGGGCTTTCTAGCACGGAGTAAACTTCAAAACAACAACTCTCCTAGAGAATCTTTCTTCTCCTCCTTCTTCTTCTTACCATCTTAAGTATCTTTAAGTGTATAGCTCAATAGTATTGTTGAACGACAGACCTCTATAACTTTTTCATCGTGCAAAACCGAAACTCTATAATCATTGAATAATACCCCATTTTCTTCTCCCCCGGCCCCTGGCAACCAGCTTTCTACTTTCTGTCTCTACAGATTTGACTGCTTTAAGTTTAAGTACCTCATATATGTGGAATCATTCAATATTTGTCCTTTTTTGAATGGCTTAGTTTACTTAGTGTAATGTCCTCAAGGTTCAACCATATGATAGCATGTGATAGAATTTCCTTTTTTAATAGGTAGAATAATAAGAAAATGCAGTATGCAGATACTACATTTTCTTTATGCATTTATCCATCAATAGACATTTTGGTTGCTTCCACCTCTTGGCTGTTTGAATAACGGTGCAATGAATATGGTGTGCAAATATCTATTTGATATCAGCATGATTAAGTGTTCCACTTTAACTTGTTGTGCAGGGAATGTTCCACTTCGATCACCAACTTCCCTAGTTTTAGTCTTCAAGGTGATGATCCAATACCTTATCATGAAAGCTGCTTGAGCTACTGTCTAGGACAAAGTAGAAATCAATAGTTTTTTTCCCTGGAACAATAAGCTGGAAAAAAGTTAGACTTGGGGTATCTTACTTTGTTTTGGGCTGTTATAGCAGGATATTTTAAACTAGATAATTGTACATGAATAGAAATTTATTTCTCACAATTCTGGAGGTTGGGAAGTTCAAGATCAAGGCACTGACATCTTGTGAGGCCCTTCTTGCTCTGTCATAACATGGTGGAAGGCAACACATAGACGTGAAAGAGAGGAGAGGGGGCCAAACTTAGGCTTTTATAAGGAACCCACTACTGCAATAATGGCATTAATCCATTTATGTGTGTAGAGGCCTCATGATATAATCACCTCTTAGAGGTCCCACCTCTCAACACTGTTGCATTGGGAATTAAGTTTTTAACATGGGAACTTTGGGGGAAACATTCAAACCATAACACTCTGTCCCTTTTCCCCCAAATTTATGTCCTTCTCACATGTAAAATATATTCATTCCATCCCAATAGCCCCCAAAGTCTTAACTTGTTTTGGCATCAACTGATAAGTCCGAAGTCCAGAGACTTACCTGAATCAGATACGGGTGAGACCTGAATCAGATATGGGTGAGACTCAAGACATGATTCATCCTGAGGCAAATTCCCTTCCAACTGTAATATGGTGGTAGGACCAGAATAGGATAGATATTCCCATTGTAAAAGGGAAAAGTAGGCAAAAAGAAAGGTATAACATGCCTCAAGTAAGTCTGAAACCCAACGGGGCAGACATTAACTCTTAAGACTCCAGAATAATATTTCACTCCATGTGCTGCCTCCTGAGTACACTGGGGTGGGGTTGGGTGCCCAAAGCCTTAGGCAGGCCCACTCCCATGACTTTTCTGGGCTCAGCCCACATTTCAGCTCTCATAGATTAGAGCCTCTTGTCTGCAGCTCTCTCAGGCTGGTGTTGCATGCTGGCAGTTCTAGGATTTCTGCAATGGCCTCACTCTCATGGCTCCACTAGGCATTGCCCCAGTGAGGACTCTCTTCAGTGTCTCCATCCCTGCAATAGGTCTCTGCCTGGGACCCTAGGCTCTCTGCAGCATCCTTTGAAATCTAGGTGAAGGAAGCTGTGCCTTCACAGCTTGTGCATTCTGTGCACCTGCAGAATTAGCACCACATGGATGCCACCAGTGCTTTCCATGTGCACCCTCTGGTGCGGTGGCCGAAGCTGTACCTGGGTTTGCCTGGGCCACAGCTAGTGTGGCTGAGGAGCACTGCACAGGAATGTGGGGAGCAGCCCTGGGCAGCAAATGCTGTGGTCCCTTAGATTCCTCTCTGTCAACCTGGCCCTCAAGGTCCTATCTTGTCTGAAAGATCTCTGAAATACCTTTGGAGTCTTTCTCCCATTGTCTTAATGAATAACACCTGGCTCTCTTTTAGCCATACTCTCTTTAGTACTAATCTTTTTAGCGAAAGGTCACTTGGCCACAGCCTTGGTTTGCACTCCCAAAAAGGCCTTTTCACTCTTTACGTGGCTGAGCTGCAAATTTTCCAAGTCTTTCTGCTCTGTTTCCCTTTCAGTTATAAATTCTGCCTTTAAACCATTTCTTTCCTCTTGCATATATTTAAAAGTAGCCATGCAGCTTCTTAATATTTTGCTTATAAATTTCTTCCACCAGGTATCCTAGTTCATTACTCTGAAGTTCTACCTTCCATAAAGCCCTTGGGCATAAACACAATTCACTCAAGTTCTTTGCTACTTTGTAACAAAGATGGCTTTTATGCCAGTTTTCAACACCTTGTTTCCCATTTCCATCTGAGACCTCACCAGAATTGCCTTTACTATTCATATTTCTACCAACATTCTATCATGACCACCTAAGTAATCTCTAAGGAGATTCAGACTCTTGAAAGCTCTTCTCTTCTTCTGAGCGCTGACTATTAGTAGCATCATCCTTAACGCTCCATCCATGGCAATACAGGCTTTCTCTAGCCCATTCCTTCAAACTCTTCCAGCATCTGTCCATTACCCAGTTCCAAAGCCACTTCCACATTTTCAGGTATTCGTTATAGCAGTAACCTCACTTCTCAGTACTAATTTTCTGTCTTTGTTTTGTGCTACCTGAGACTAGGTGATTTATAATGAACAGAAATGTATCTCTCACAGTTCTAGAGGCTGGCATCTGGTGAGGGCCTTCTTGCTGCATTATAATATAGTGGAAAGTATCACATGGGTGGGAAAGAGAGTGAAGTAGGCCAAACTCATTCTATTCCCAAGATAAAGGCATTCATTCATTCATGAGTGCAGAGTACTCATGATGTAGTCACCTCTTAGAGGTCTCACCTCTCAACACTGTTGCATTGGAGTTTAAGTTTCCAACATATGAACTTTAGGGGACATATCAAATCATAGCATGGAGAGACCAAGATAAATGAGAAAGAGCTGGATCAAGCTCTTAGGGAAGGACACTGACACAGGCTTCGAAGACCTGTCAGTACAGATATTGGACAGAGTGGGATCATGTGGACACAGCCAGTGGCTGCTGGAGAGCTTTGTCATGTGGCAGCACTGATCATTCATGGCCTGGGGCCAGCAGATGGAGGGAACCTGTGAATAACAGTATGGCCGAAATATTAGGCTCTTTCTCATATTAGAGAATTAAGTTGAAGGCTTCATGCCTCTGCTTCTCACTGGATTTCCCCAAAACAAGTGATTTAGTGTTATATTTTTTTCAGTTAATTTATCCAGATGGTTCATAGGTTAGAAATATCATTTTAGAGTTCCAGTACTCTAAAATAGTTAAATGCTGAGCTCTTTCCACTCTGGGTAATGGAGAAAGTCCAAGATTGTATGTATCTAGGAGGGGCCCATGGCACTTGGTGAAGCCCGTAGAGCCAACCTTTACTCCAGAGCTGTCAGCTCCTCTGCTCCCCAGGCTTCTTAGTCACATTCACCACCTAATGCATCCCCCTTAGCTCTCATTTTACCCTGATCCCTCCCTTAATCCTTCCATTAAGCCACTTCTTTGCATCTTTATTTCTTTTCCCTTTCTATAGCTGTCCTCTAATTTCTTTTTAATGCATTTATTTCCCATCTTATACTTAAAAATATTTAAGGTGGTCATTCAGAGAGATACAGGGTACAACTACATTAAAATGAAATAGGTAGCTGGACATGGTGGCTCATGCCTGTAATGCCAGCACTTTGGGAGGCCGAGGTGGAAGGATCGCTGGAGCCTAGGAATTCGAGACCAGCCTGGGCAACATAGTGAGACCTTGTCTCTACTAAAAATAAAAATAAAAAAAATAGCCAGATGTGGCTGTGTGCACCTGTGGTCCCAGTTACTCAGGAGGCTGAAGCGGGAGGATCACTTGAGCCTAAGAGGTCAAGGACGCAGTGAGCTCTGATCATACCACTGCATTCCAGCCTGGGTCACAGAGTAAGACCCTGTCTCAAAAATACAAAAAACAAAGACAAAAATAAAATAAAATAGGTAAGGAAATCAGACAATGGGAGAAAAGGAATAAGTTGTGTGTGGCCAAGTGTATGGTTACTGAACAAATGAATACTGTGTGGTCTTCTGCAATTCCTAGAGTCCCCTGACTTTGGTTCCAAGCTCCTCTGCTGGCACAGTAAAGACAGGAATATAATCAATTATTGTGATTCATATTGAAGGCTAGGAATAGATTGGTTGTGCGGGCACATGCTTGCTAGTTCTTGAGACTGAGAACAATTTATCCTGTGGATCCCTGCGAAGGAAACACTCTGGGTAGAAAGTTTAGAATTAAGGCTCGGGTTGAGGTAGCTCTTTGGCATTTTTCTGAATAAGTGAAACAAATTACAGACTCAGTTGTAGGGTTTTTTGTTTTTGTTTTTGTTTTTTTGTATTGGTGTATGGGCAATACTGGTCGTGAATAGTTTTAGGAAAGTCATGGATGAACACTACTTCAGCATGAGTCTGAAAGTTGTGTGTGTGTGTGTGTGATGTCTGTAAGAGCCAAAAGTGCTGCTGTGTGAACCCTGCTGTCTAGTCTTAAAAATTTGAGTTGACAAAGAAAAAGGAGACATTGATCCATCTTTAATTTGAAAGATGTTTGCGTGTATCACATAATGTTAACACTTAAAACAGTTGGCAAACTTGAATATGAATCCCGTGCCAAGAACTTACACATTTTCTGCTTTTCACTTAAGAATACAACCCCACACCACCTCATTGTATAATATCAGTTTTGCCAATTAGGTCCCTATTGATGCCATACGTCTCCCTCACTGCCATCCAGCTATTCATTTCAGGGCATGTTTTTTGAAAAGTGCTAGTGACCTTTGTCCATTTTTATTGTCATTGCAATGATAATGCCAGCCTTGCAAAATTTTCTGGCAGGAGAACGTCAAACAATGTGAGGAGAAAGAAGCGAAATAGGAAATATCCTTTAAAATGAGTGAGGCAATGAACTTAGGGAAAAAATAATTCAATTTAATTTCCCTCCAACTCATTCCTCACGTCTGTTCCAGACTCATCCAACATTCACTAATACCCTCTCTTCTCATTACCAGTCAGTTTCTATCTTCTTCAACCCCAGGTGCTTCTACAAAACACAAATATCAGCCAGACTCAGATATCCAGATTCCACCCAGTGATGGGTTCTCAACAAAAACCAAACCAACAGCAGGCAAGAAAGGCAAGCCAAAGGGTCGCTCACTGTATTCAGACCCCATTACTCCCTCAGTGTTCACTTAGACCATGGCCGTGCAACTTAGCCACCTGTGTTGCTGCACAGCCCACAGCACTAGTGTCTGTTTCTGTGTTCTTAGTTTGAAAATTGCCTGCCTGTGGGCTGAAAGTGCTCCCGATTTTAGCATTTGTTTTGAGCCACATCTGCCCACTCGTCCTGCAGGCAAAGCTGTTTGCAAGGAGCCTGATCAAAAGTGAATATGCCAGAAGGAATTCTCCCCTCAGCCCCCAGTGCTGGCATGGTTTCTTCTCTCTGTAGGTGCCTGTTAGCTTACAGGATTCTTCTTTGCTTTCCTGTTCTTTCAGAACAGTCAGGGTCCATCCAGCTTTTCTCATTGGGAAATTTCCTGGGTTCAATGTAATTGCTGTCTAATGATTTTCTCATTTTCCTGAGATGACTGAATGGTTGAATCAGACCAAGGACATGTATTTGATATTCTGCTCGTTCTTACAGAGCAGATGCCTTCCATTACTGAATTTTGGGGCAGTTATTTAGAAAATAATAAAACCGACAGCTAAGCACTGATTTTTTTTGTCTGCATCTTGCATCGTTGCCAGCTTTACTGTAATTATGTCATTCAGAGAAAGATTCTAACCATTTCCTTTTCCTGGCCCCTTTGTGTTTCAAAAAAGCAAAATTGTGGCCATATTTCTAAGCGGATAAGTCACATGCAAGTATAAAAATGGCCTTAGATGAAGTCATTAGAGATTTTTGAAAGTTTGTTGAGTGAAATCTTGAATGGAATGGCAAAGCAAAGTAGTTCTGCTGACAGGATTAATGTACAATTAGTGGAGGTGACACTAAGCTGTTATCAATGGGAATTAATGAAAAGCCCAAGAAGAATGGAAGAATCGTTGGAAATGTATTACATTTTTGTGGTATTTTTCTCTGAAAGAACATACACAAAGTTGTAGTCTTACCTGCTTAATAAATCAGTGGGAGGGGCATAGAAACATCATTAGTAATGGCCTAAGGGTGACCCTAAAATGATGTGTGTGTTATTCTTGGGATGTTAGCTGCAGCAAAGAAGCTCAAATGACCTTAAACCCTCCCAATGGTTCATTTAAAAGATTTTCACGTGTTTCCTGCTGATCTGTAGCTCTAGCTCAGAGATACCCAGTAGAATTTTCTGGGAGGATAGAAATACTGTATATCTGGGCTGTTCAATACCATAGCCACTAGCCACATGTGGCTGCTGAGCACTCAATGTAGTGCAAGTGGGAAGCCAAAATAATAATTTAACTTTAGTTAATGTAAATTTACATAGCCACGTTTGGGTAGTGCTGTCATTTTGGACAACATAGCTTTAGATCTCTGGGAGACCCAGAGATCCCTGGTGAGGGCCACATTATAGAGATTCAAACTTTGGTTGGTTTAGGGGGCAACACAGGCAAAGAACTGGTGAAGTTCCGATTTGTAATCCCAATCTGATTTTTGACCTGACAAAGTTATCTTTCCCCACTCAGAGAAAGCAAAAACATTTGGAAGGGCAGGGGATCCACCACATACCCCCGTTTACTTTAACATCTGCTGCTGCATTTGACAGAAGGGGCTGGCCAGGGTCAGCTAGGGTCAGCCAGGCCCAACAGGGTCATCAAGACAGGGTTAGAGAAGATCCTTTTTTAGATTTAGTGTCATTAGTACTTGACTTGATTTCATATTAAAGCCCTTTAATGAAATGCTTATTATCTGTAATGAACTTTTGTTTCCATGCATGATACTGACAAGAAGCTCTTGAATTCATGGCCTGGTTGTTAAAATTCATGATGTTTTCAAGCAGCAGTCCTAGAGTCTGCACCAGCGGACCGAGCAGGAGTGGAAAGCTCCCCTGCAGCGGACACCACAGAACTTTCACCTTGCAGATCCCCCTCAACTCCTCGGCACCTCCGCTATCGACAGCCTGGAGGTAAGAGCTCAAGAGGGACTCAGAAATAGAAACGTGAAAAATGATTTCTAGCTTCTGAACCTTTCCTTTGCCTAATTGTTTCACTGCCAAAATAATTTTTTTAGTCTCACTTATTGAAAATTAATTGGAAGCAAATACAGTCGGCCCTTTGTATCTGTGGGTTCCACATCCATGGGTTTCATATCTGTGGATTCAACCAATCACCCATCAAAAATATTTGGCAGAAGAATAAAGCTTCTGTACTGACCATGTACATACTTTTTTTCTTGTCATTATTCCCTAAACATTATAGTATGACAGCTATTTACATAGCATTTCCATTGTGTTAGTTATTATAAATAATCTACAGGTGGTTTAAAATATACAGGAAAATATGCATAGATTATATTCAAATACTACACGATTTTATATCAGGGACTTAAGCATCTGTGGATTTTGGTACCTGAGGGAGATCCTAAAACCAATACCCTACAGGAAACAAGGGATGACTGTAATGTTACTGTAGGACCAAGTGGTGGAAAAATAAATGATTAGAGAAGATGTCATTAGTCTAACCAACATTTGTTTAGTTCCATCATTGCATTGCATTTTGTGAGGAGTAACGTGAATCAAAAGGCTCTTTCTTTAGATGTTAGCTAGCTGAAGAATCTCAGTGCTGGGTTTACCAAAATGTTCCCAGTCTCTGATATATTACCATGAGTCCCAATGTAGTCTGTATAAGTGGACTCCTCTGGGCATCACAATCTGGGGAGACCCTATTAATAATATTATTTCATCTAAAATAAGGTCCAGGTACATGGGACCCCAGTCATCATTATTGCTAGTGGCAGAAACTGGCATATGTATTTTGATATATAGTTAAGAAAATTGTAAAGCATTACTCCATAATTTGTTTGGGAACATAATAAATGTCCTCTAATTGGAGAAAAAAAACTAATCAGAACAAAAGGTAGAAATATTTTAATTATCTCCCATTTTCCCCACTGCTCAAATAAATATATCCAAATAACAGTTGTTTTGAAATGTTTGCTTTTCTCTTCTTAAGCCAATTATTTCAAGTCAGAACAGAAAATTACACAATTATGAAACCGGATTCACCCCAAGTAACCCAAATGAAAAGGCTTTTTTTTTTGGTTTGGAGACAGAGTCTCACTCTGTTACCCAGGCTGGAGTACAGTGGTGCAATCTCGGCTCAGTGCAACCTCCACCTCCCAGGTTCAAGTGATTCTCCTGCCTCAGCCTCCCGAGTAGCCAGGATTACAGCCGTGGGCCACCACGCCCAGCAGTTTTTATATTTTTAGTAGAGACGGGTTTTCACTTTGTCGGCAAGGCTGGTCTCAAACTCCTGACCTCAGGTGATTCACCCTCCTCAGCCTCTCAAAGTGTTGAGATTACAGGAATAAGCCACTGCGCCCAGCCTATAAAGGCATTTTTGACTCTCATAGGCATGCTTCAAATAGGGCATTTTAGCAAAAGGTAAAGTATATGGCTCCAAATGGTTATCGGTGGCCTTAGCAGCTTGGTAGAAGCTGTTGTCATTGCCATGAGCTCTGAGAGCAACTAGGAAGGTCTCAGTCTGGCTGTTGTTAGATGTCTGCCTTTGTGGATATTAGCCCTTGGGGCTTTAAGGCTCCAAGTCAGTTATGGGTTATCCTGCCATTTGGGTGTTTCTGGTAAATGAAGGTGACAAATTAGACTTTCCTGGCTTGTCATAGTACTACTATGGAATTAGCCAGATCTCTCTATTCTTCTTAGAGCTTTGGTCAGTCCAGGTCTTGGCAACTTCCTTGACCATTGCCACATAGGACAGATCCCTTTGACTTCATTGTAACCTGGAAGAGTTTGGGACCAAAATCTATGGAAGTAAGGCTCTACCAAGGCAAGAGTTAAATGCTGTTCAAGGCGTTACAATTATTAGAACTCTACTTTATATTCTCTTTTCATATGTTTATATTCACATATAAAATTTTTAATTCACATAAGGATTATTTGGAAATCCTCATCTTGTTTGTGGATTAACTAAGCCAAATCCTTTGTTTCTTCCCTGATATAACTAAATCATAGAGACATAGAAACATGGGAAGGAGGCTGAAACCTGTGATAATATGGAGGAACTGAACAAGGACAGCATCACATATTTCTATCTAGCTGAAATTTTGCCTGTGCATCTGTCTACTTGCCACCTTGTTCCAAAATGCAATAAGTCTGTTGTGGAAAGAGAAGGTAGAGCTGTTTTATGCGTTTGTGCTTGGGCACATTAAGCAGCTCTTTGCTTCCCCTCTTAACGTGTGTATTTATTTTAGGCATGATTGTGAAACATTAGGGCCAAGCTAATAAAAGCCCTTCAGGTCAGAATCACAGTGGACTGTTTTCACTAAAAGCCTGAGCGAGGAGAAGCAGCGAGCTTGGCACCAGCACTGCCAAACGCTGTGTGTACAGTCCGAGGAGTGAAAGGGACTGCAAGGTTGCTCAATACATCCTTTCGATTTTAAAAGGGCCACACTTAAACCATCTGTACTGTTAAGGGTGTTCTGAGAAGGAAATTCTGTCAGAGGGAAATTCTATCAGTAACATGATATGGTATCTTTTTTAAGAATATTTTTATATTAAGATACAGTTTACATACCATAAAATTCACCTTTTTAAAGTATATAGTTCAGTCTTTTTTTAATTTAATATATTCACAAGTTCAGGCAGCCATAACCACTATTTAATTCTAGAACATTTTCATCACCCAGAAAGAAACCCTATAAATATCAGCCATTCTATACTCATTAGCGGTCACTCTCCATTCCCCCTCCAACCCCAGCAGCCCTAGGCAACCACTAATCTACTTTCTCCCTCTATGGGTTCACCTCTGCTGGACATTTAACACAAAGGGAATCATATAATATGTGACCTTTTGTGATTGGCTCCTTCTTTAACTTGGCATGTTTTCCAAGTTTATCCATGTTCTAGCATGCTTTGGAACTTCATTCCTTTTTGTGGCTAAATAATATTCCCTTGTATTTTTCTGTTTATCAATTGGTGGACATTTGATTGTTTCTACTTTTTGGCTACTATGAGCAATGGTGCTATGAATATTCATGTACACGTTTGTGTGTAGATGTATGCTTTCTTTTCTCTTGGTTATAGACCCAGAGTGGAATTCCTGATGTGCAATCTTGTTGTTTGCCCATTAACAGAGATAATACAGGGCATTTGGCCCAGTCCTTCATCTGGTGCAGGAAGAAAAATGATGATTTTTGTTACAGAATATTATCCATTTGCCTCACCATTCCATTTCCTTTCTTTTCAAATAACCAGGACAGACGGCGGACAATGCCCACTGCTCTGTTTCACCGGCTTCTGCTTTTGCAATAGCCACAGCTGCAGCAGGACATGGGAGTCCACCAGGTGAGTAGGGGAGCAGCTATGTACAGATATGTGACCATTTATATTAAGTCAGTGGCCCGTGTCTGCCAGTGTCTTGATGAGACACTCGGCAGCTCTCACACTGGAATCCCAGCATTTTGGGAAGCCGAAGCAGAAGGATTGCTTGAGACCAGTAGTTTGAGACTAGCCAGGGCAACATAGAGACCCCATCTCTATAAAAAATTTTTAAAATTAGCTGGGCATGGTGTTGCATGCCTGTAGTCCCAGTTACTCAAGACGCTGAGGCAGAAAAATCACTTGAGGCCAGGAGGCTGAGGCTACAGTGAGCTGTGATCATGCCACTGCACTCCAGCCAGGGTGTTAAAGTGAGACCCTATCTCGACAAAACAAAACAAAATAAAATAATAATAAGAGAATGCACATTCCTAGCTCTTTCTGAGTCAGTGCTTCTGGGAAGAGACTGTCTTTTAAATGAGCATCTTCAGAAATCTCCTTATTTGGCCAGGCACAGTGGCTCACACCTGTAATCCTAGCACTTTGGGAGGCCGAGGCAAGCGGATCACCTGAGGTCAGGCATTCAAGACTAGCCTGGACAACATGGTGAAACCCTGTCTCTACTAAGAATATAAAAATTAGCTGGGCATGGTGTCATACATCTGTAATTCCAGCTACTCAGGAGGCTGAGGCAGGAGAATCATTTGAACCTGGGAGGCGGAGGTTGCACTAAGCCAAGATTGTGCCACTGCACTCCAGCCTGTGTGACAGAGCAAGACTCCGTCTCAAAAAAAAAAAAAAAAAAAAAAAAGAAAAGAAAAGAAAAAAAGAAATCCCACCATTTGCAACAGTATGGATGAACCTGAAGGACATTATGTTACCTGAAATAAGCCAGGCACAGAACGGCAGATACTGCATGATCTCACTTATATATGGAATCTAAAAAGTCAAATGCATAGAAGTAGAAAGTAGACTGGTGGTTACCAGGGGCTGGTGGGGAGGAAGGGAAGCGGGGAGCTGTTTGGTAAAAGGATAAAAGGTTCAGTTGCACAGGAAGAATAAGTTCTGGAGATCAATTGTACACCATGGTGACTAGTTAAAAATGTACCGCATACTTGAAAATGGTTAAGAGAGTAGATTTTAGATGCTCTCCCCACAAAAAAATGGTAAGTGAGGTAACAGATGTTAGTTAGCTTGACTTAATCATTCTTCAGTATATACGTACATCAAAACATCACATTGTACCCTGTAGGCATATACAATAAAAAATAATCAAATAAATAAATAAGCAAAAGCTCCTTCAGGTGAGTCTCACTCAGGCGATCTGTGGGTTACAGCTCTGAGAAACTCTTTATCAGAGAAGGTTGTTATTCCTCCTGTGTTGTTTGACAGAGTTCTTCACCCTTTATAACTCAATTACTGAGAACACGTTTCCATTTTAATTGAGTACAATGCTAAAAGCATATGCAAGGTGGGAGGGAGGGCTTGTGGAGTGCGGGGAGCCGAGCGGTGCAGCTATTGCTTTAGCTGACTCATAATTCATTTCCAGTAGCTCCACGATTCTTTCTGAGTTGCTGTCAGTTAATTTTCAGGGTAAAGAAAAAGTACTTAAAATAAAAGCACAGTATTTTAATAGATAAAAATTATATTCATTATCTCTTTCCTCTTCTCTCACGTGCAAGGAGGATATTATGTTAAAATAAATCTGTAAGTGGTTTAGGGCTGGGCGTGGTGGCTTACACCTGTAATCCTAGCACTTTGGGAGGCCAAGGTGGGCAGATCACCCAAGGTCAGGGGTTCAAGACCAGCCTGGCCAACATGATGAATCCCCATCTCTACTAAAAATACAAAAATCAGCTGGGCGTGGTGGCGCACACCTGTAATCCCAACTACTTGGGAGGCTGAGGCAGGAGAATCACTTGAACCTGGGAGGTAGAGTCTGCAGTGAGCCGAGATCATCCAGCCTGGATGACAGGGTGAGACTCTGTCTCAAAAGTAAATAAGTAAATAAATAAATAATAAATCTGTAAGTGGTTTAAATAGCCTTGTTGCTGTGTCTTCACCTAAACTAAACCTATGGGCTCCAATCGTCATGATTTGTAGAAACATGAGAGATGGCATATTTTGCTAATTAGCCATTTTTCACCTTTGTGGTAACAAAGGAATCCTTTCCAAAGCTTCTGAACCAATATTCACAATAGTAACTAGTAGGTATTATCTGTGTGATTTTTTTTTTCCAAATTGAGGACCAAAAAGAGATGTTCTCTAATGGACATTAACTACCATAGTACTTTATATATTATTTATCATTATATATATTTCTCTAAATAAACATTTTGCAAATTGACCACATTCTGTTTCTTTAGCATTTTGCCATATGTGCTTCACTGGAGATGTGGTCAGGCAAATTGGGATGTGCTTTGCCCCAAATATTCTTAAAACCTTTCCCCAAAAGTCCCATCAGAATAACAAAAAGCAGTCTATAATGGTCAAAATATCAATCTTGTCGATACAGTTGGCTTCTATGATTGATTACCTTCTGTAACAGTCAACATTTTGGGGGGAAATAAGGGAGGCTTTTCTAGGCTTTCAGCAGAGTTATTGTCGATTGTGATTTGCTAAGACCTTCTCCTGTCTTCCGTTCTCACTCGCTAGTCTGCCTTTGGAAAAAGTGAAGGACAAGAACATCTCACAGATTTCCTAATTTAAATATGGTTTGTGAGGGAAAATAAATTTGGGGTTTATTTGAGATGAGCCCATTCCCCATTTGCTGGAGGGTAGGGAGAGGTCCTTTTTTCACCTGAGATTGCAATGAAGATTGAATCGTTTGAATGTGCTTTAGAGAATGGCTTTCTGACTAGCTTTCCCAGGCATATTGGGCCAGAAGGAAAAAGTAACCAAAACGGCCAGCTCTTTCTCCCTTTTTGAAAGCCTGCTGCTTTTCTGTTGCCTTTTTTCCTACTTCTCCCCTGCAGCTGAAATAGTCTTAGGAAGAAAACCCTTCTTCAGCGAGCTGGCTCCTGGTGGTGCTTTCTGAGGAGGGCAGAACGGACTTGCTAACAGACTCAGTCAATGTTGCTAGGTGTTGGGGAGCCTGAACCCTGTGTGAGCAGACTGCTCTTTTATGACAGTGCTGTTGATGTTGCCTATCATGCAGTCTGAAGCCACATGATTTGATTTCAGAAGTAGAGGCAATAAGGGATTTGATTCAACAGTGCCCATGGCTCTGCTGTGAAGGCAGCAAGTTGCACAGGGGTCAGTTTCAATGGCTAGTGGCGGTAAGAAAGGGGGTCTCTTTTGGAGTGGAGACCAGTGCATTCCTGGGGCTCAGCCACTCAGAGGAACTGGTCCCTTAGCAGATTTCACCTGCCTGGGAGAACTAGGCAGAGAGCAGAAGGTGTACTCAGAGCAGAAACAGGGAAGGGCTAAGAAGATAATCTGGATTTATTGGCTAGCCAGGGAGAGCATGGTGTTGCCCGAGGAGGGCTAGACCTAGATACCTGGACAGGTGTTCAAAGGAAGAGAGTGCTGGATAAGAGTCAACTCCCAAACAGACTTTGTATCTCCTCTGGGAATCAGGAATTGCCAGCCCGGATGCATCCAGGTGAGTTGCAAAGGCAAGCAGAAGAAAGATTGCATAGACAAATAAACACCCCATGCTTTCATCAGTGTCTGCAGGCTTCCTGTCTGCTTATTCAGCTGTGATACAGATAGACTTGGGGATGCAGCTCTGCTGTGTCCTTGCTCCTAACAGGAAACAAGGTA
This sequence comes from Homo sapiens, assembly GCF_000001405.40. Taxonomy (NCBI): domain Eukaryota; kingdom Metazoa; phylum Chordata; class Mammalia; order Primates; family Hominidae; genus Homo; species Homo sapiens. The sequence goes on from NC_000005.10 coordinate 81,130,902, forward strand.
TAGCCCAGCCAAGCCAGAGGTCTGCGGAGTGGGTTTCCATGTTTCAGGTGCCTCTGCAGATTCCCTCTTGCTTTAATACTCTCCCAGCCCTTCCCTTGACCCCATCTCCATCAAAATATATAGGAATCTGGCACCTCTGGGTTATAACTGTCAATTAATTATTATGCTCTCAAACATTAACTCTAGGCATTTGTATATTAAACCATGTCTCTTTAAGTATTGCTTAGAAAACTTCCTTAATGCATTAAAAGGAATTTCAAATGCAATACAAGGGAGGACAGCAATTTTTTTTGCAAGGAGGTCAAGACAAGATGTTCCTGCCTGACCCCGGGGGCAAGGAAAACTGATTTTATTTGTGGGTGGTGCCCTGTGATCTGTTTGGGATTGCCTGCCCTGCTGCTGGGGTCTCAGCCTGCCTAATTTCCACATAGACTGGAAAAGCCTGGTTTTCAATCTTTTTGGGGGGTCGGGGGAACAAAGTCTCGCTTTATCACCCAGGCTGGAGTGCAGGGGCGTGATCTTGGCTCACTGAAACCTCTGCCTCCCAGGTTCAAGCGATTCTCCTGTCTCAGCCTCCCAAGTAGCTGGGACTACAGGTGTGTGCCACCATGCCCAGCTAATTTTTGTATTTTTAGTAGAGATGGGGTTTCACCATGTTGGCCAGGTTAGTTTTGAACTCCTGGTTTTGGGTGATCTGTCTGCCTTGGCCTTCCAAAATGCTAGGATTACAGGTGTGAGCCACTGCGCCTGGCCTCAATCTCTTTTTCTTCCTTTAAAAGAAAAGAAAAAAAAAAAAAAGATCTAGAGCCTTCCCTTCCCAAAATTGGATGAGTCTTTTCCTTCCATGTCATGCTCCCTTTGTTTACCTGAGTCACTGCTATCCAGAGAATCCATATCCTGCCCCTCAAAACTCGAGATTCGGATTTTATGCTTTCTGTGAATGTGGTAACCTTTCAGGGAATTTTTAATGGATTTTTATGTAGACCCATAGGTGATACCCAGGATTGTAGTGTTGTGCTTTCACTATTACTTCTCTGTCTGTTTATAGTGTTTCTCTGACAAAGAAACACATCGCAGGAATGCAGCTTTTAGCAGAAGCATTATTGTCTCACGTTCCCTGTTAATTTCAACTCCCTACCAACACTTTCTATCCTTGCTTTGTTTTTTTCCTCAACACTTATCACTATTTGACACACTATTTTTTTTACTAATTTATCTTGCTTTATTATCCATTTCTCCAATAAATGTAAGATCGACGAGGGCAGAGATTTTTATCTATTTTATATACTGCAGTATCCCCAATATCTAGAATAGTATTGTATATGTAGTAAATGATCCATAAATGCTTACCGAATTAATGAATCAATGATTGAATCTTCATACTTGCAATAGGGAATATTCAGTGCAGAAAAGAAAAAACTGTACTGTCCATATATTTTTATAGTGCTGTGGTGTTTTTAAATTGTTTGTTGTTGTTGTTATTTCAAGGTAAAAGAGTTTTGTCTTATTTCTCCGACTGATCTGGGGAGGTGATACCAGTCTCTTCAAGTCAGCAAGCAGGTTTTGAGTGTCTTTTGTGTTTAGTATCACTTTTTTGGATACCCACAACCCTGAGCTGAGCACCTGGTAGACTTGTAAATAAGCCTCATTGTCTTGTTATTCATTTGATGTAAGACTTTTCCTCACACTCATGATTGGAAAGTCCTTGAGATATGCCTAGACCTGAGGCCTAGGGTCACTGTAAATGTTTGCTGCCAATCAGAATGCAAGCACTAACTAAACTGTTAAAGCTTCATACTGTGTGATATTAACAAGAATGGGTTTTGTGTTGCACCCATACCCACAGAACCAGGCTTTTGGTACCATCATTGATCTACAAATTAGGCCCAGTTACAGATGGATCCTGAATTTGTAGGCCTGATGTTTATACAATTTGGGGAAACACACCTCAAGGAAAATAATATAAAATTATAAATATAAACTTTTAGGGCACCTCCCGGGGCTTTGGAAGAGGCCCATACAAATTGAGAAGGCCTAAAGCTTAAGCTTTCTTGACTTCCTGATAAATCTGCTTTTGAGTCCAATCCAGAAAATTCTTGGAATCGCAACAGCTACAGGAAATTTTGTATGCTGGGGAGTGAGGGTGGGGGCATCAGTGATTGTCAATGAGTCATTAGCCATCTTTCTTCTAAGTTAGCCCAGAGTCAGGTGGTATAATGAAAAAAAGCAGAAGATGGCATCAATTAAATATGAACAGTTGACCAGGTGTTAATATGCACACTCTTCTGGTGACTAGTTGGATAAGTTGGTAGTGGTGAGTAGAGCAGCATGATGTATGTATTGCCACCCCGATTTCCTTTTCCAATGTCAAACAGTCCTCCTTTTCATAGGGCTTTAACTCTATACAGGATAGGACTGAAACAAAGGATGGTTGATGGTGTTCTTGTGTGCCACCACACTGATTGAAATGTATTTGCAGGCACCTGCTCAAATTGAAGAGCTCTGCATAAAGTAGAAATATAAATGTGTGCATTTCAAATGGCTGCTGATACAGGGAATCTGCAGGTGCAGTTTGGATATAGTTATGATATGAATAGAAATGCAAATTCAATGAATAAATATATCAGAGCACATCATTGCACTTACTATACACCTGAAGTTGTAGGATTAATTATAGAGTTTGTGAAATGATATAAAATGCAGTATGAAAGTGTGAGGTGGGTTATTTTTATGAGAGTAGAAATCATGGCAGTGGAGGTACTATAAGCAACTCCTGGTTATCTGTGAGCAGATTATATGTTTTACTGTTCTATGCAACTCAAAGTAAATTAACAAAGTAGAGGAATAGTTGAATGCACTTATAGGAAAATTAATGACACTGTTACAATTGCTTAGATAAATAGTGAATCTTTTACTGGTAGTTACCTGGTACTTGTAAAGTAGATAATTCATAATCTGTTTTATCTTCTGTAAAACCAGTCATGGCATGTGTGGTAAATAGTAGATCTGAGGTTAATGTGAGTTGGGCTTGGATCGGTTTTTTAAAATACTGATGATATCTGGTCCTATACCTAAAGATTCTGAGTTGATTGATCTGGGGGTACATCGTGGGATTCAGGAATTTTTTAAGTTCCCCAGGTGATACTAATGTGAAGCCAAGTAGGAAATGCTTGTGTGCGTGTGTGTGTGTGTGTGTGTGTGTGTGTGTGAGTGAATATTTTACTGAGGTAATGTCAGTTAAGGGTAAAAATTTGGATTTTCCAAATTTCATGTTAGATTTGGATGTAGATGGATTTCATGATTATTTGATTAATTCAGTAGAAGAATGTGGTTAAAACAGTTGTGTAATCTTAACCCACACCCTCAGGCAATTTAGGAAGTATGTCTGGATTTCATTCTACAGTCTAGTATTAATTTACATATTCAGTGTTTTAGGTGTAGATATGGTAGGTGGGCTGGATGTGAGGAGTGCTAGACTGAGTCCTGTGTGCATCACCTTGGACGGTTTCTCTCTGGGCCTGTTGTTTCATGGTGGAAGCCTGAGAGCTCAGCTGGTGCACTGGCTCTCCAGGTGTGATCTCTGGGCCTGTAGCATCAGCATAACCTGGGAACTTACTGGAAAAATAAATTCTCGGGCCACACATCATTCCTACTGAATCAGCATTTCTGAGGATGGGGCACAGCATCTGTCTTTTACAGGCTCTTTAGTTGATTCTGATACATACTAAAGTTTGAGAAGCAGTGAACTAGTATAATGTCTGAGCTGCCTTCCCTGTTTAAAAATCTGACTCCATATTACTTGTAGTAGACTATACAGTAGATGAAAAACCTAAATTTGAATCTCTTCCTAAGCACTAAGTACAACTCAACCTTTATCTTTTGGTAGTTTTTGCACAGTATGCATAATTGATGTTGTTCCAAGTTGTACATTTAAATTCTCACTTTTCTTCATCATTTAAAATATGGAAGGTTGCCTAGAGTTCTGCATCATGTTAGAAAATCTTTTTATCTCAAAGTAATAAAAACTGTTGTAGTAATTATTCTCTAGTTACATTTTTATAATGGCTTTATTGAGCTATAATTCACGTACCATACAATTAACCTGTTTAAAGCCTACAGTTCAAGCTGGGTGTGATGGCTTATCCCTCTAATCCCAACATTTTGGGAGGCCAAGGTGGGAGGATTGCTTGAGCCCAGGAGTTCAAGACCAACCTGGGCAACATAGTAAAACCCCATTTCTACCAAAAAAAAAAAAAATAGCTGCATATGGTGGCACACGCCTGTAGTCCCAGCTACTTGGGAGGCCAAGGTGGGAGGATCTTTTGGGCCTGGGAGGTGGAGGCTGCAGTGAGTAATGATCGTGCTCCATCCCAGCCTGGGCGACAGAGCAAAAACCCTGTCTAAAAAAATAAATAAATAAAAAAGTCTACAGTTCCATGGATTTTAATATATTCCCAGAGTTGGGCAACAGTCACAATACATTTTAGAACATTTCCCCAAGCCCTTTAGCTGTTAGCAGTCACTCCCTATTTGTCTCTTCCTCTAGCCCTTTGCAACTGCTAATCTCTTTTCTGTCTCTATAAACTTATTTGTTCTCGATATTTAATATAAATGGAATTACTCATACAATATGTGCCCTTTTGTGACTGGCTTCTTTTACTAGCGTAATGTTTTTGAGGTTCAACCATTTTTGTAGAATGCATCAGTCACTTGATCCTTTTTACTGTGGAATAGTATTCTATTGTATGGATATACCACATTTTATTTATCCATTCATGAGCTAATGGACATTGAGGTTATTTCTGCTTTTTGGCTGCTGTGAATGATGCTGCTATCAATGTTCATATACAAATTTTTGTGTGTTTGTTTGTTTGCATTTATGTGAGTACATACCCAGGAGTAGATTTGCTAGGTTGTGTGATAAGATTATGTTTAACTGCTTAATAAACTGTCAAACTGTTTTTGAAAGTGGCTGTACCATTTTGCATTTCCATCAGCAGTGTAATTGAGTTCCATTTGCTCCATACAACAGAGTAGTCCCAATTCTTCCCTTGTAATATTACTGTGAGTTATTTTACTTATCCATATCCTATAATCATCCAATACATTGTTATTATTATTAATATTTTGAGATGGAGTCTCACTCTGTCGCCCAGGCTGGAGTGCAGTGGCGCAATCTCGGCTCACTGCAACCTCCACCTCCTGGGTTCAGGCAATTCTGCCTGCCTCAGCCTCCCGACTATTATTACTTTAAGCAAAGTTATCTTTTAGATCATTTAAAAATAAGAAAAACAAAAGATTTTCCTTTATCTTCATTTTTTCCTTCTTCAGTGCTCTTCTTTTGTTTATATAGATCCAAGTTTCTGACCTATATCATTTTTCTCTGCGTAAAGAACTTCTTTTAACATTTCTGGCAGGGCAGGTCTGCCAGCAATGAATTCCTCCAGTTTTTATTTGCCTGAGAAAGTCTTTATTTCTCCTTCACTTTTGAAGCATAACTTCACTGAACATAGAACTCTAGCTTGGTGGTTTTTTTCTTTTAACACTTTAAATATTTCACTCCACTCTCTTCTTGCTTGCCTGGTTTCTGATGTGGTGTTGTCATTCTTGTCCTTGTTCCTCTGTTGGTGTTTATTTCAAGAACTTCTCTTTATCTTTAGTTTGCTGCAGTTTGAATATGATATGCCTAGATGTGATTGTCTTGGTATTTATTCTGCTTGGTGTTCTCTGAGCTTCCTGGATCTGGGTTTCGTGTCTGTTATTAATTTTGGAAAGCTCTTGCCATTATTAATGCAAATATTTCTTTGACTCAGTTCTTCAGTACTCCAATTACTTGTTTGTTATACCCTTTGAAATTGTCCCACAGTTCTTGTATGTGCTCTTCTGTTTGGGTTTTTTCCCCCTTTCCTTTTTCTCTTTGTGCTTGAGTTTGGAAATTTTGATTGGCCTCTCTTCAAGGTCACTATTCTTCCCTCAGCTATGTTGAGTCTACCGATGAATCAGATAAAGACATTCTTCATTTCCGTGTCTGTGTTTTTTTATGTCTAGCATTTTCCTTTGATTCTTAGTTTCTATTTACCTGTTTACATTACCCATCTGAACTTGCATATTGTCTACTTTTTCCATTAGAACCCTTAACATATTATAGATATTTACCTACTTACAATGGCTCAACTTACAACTTTTTGACCTTATGATGGTGTGAAAGTGAAGCACTTTCAGTAGAAACTGTGCTTTAAGTATGCATACAACCATTCTGTTTTTCACCTTCAGTATGGTATTCAATAAATTATATGAGATATTGCACACTTTATTGTAAAATGGGCTTTGTGTTAGATGATTTTGCCCAACTGTAGGCTACTGTCCTGAGCACATTTAAGGTGGGCTAGGCTAAGCTGTCATGTTTGGTAGGTTAGATATATTAAATGCATTGTTGACTTACACTTTTTTTCATTTAAGATGGGTTTATTGGGATGTAACTCAGTCATAAGTTGAACAGCATCTGAAATCATAGTTATTTTAAATTCACTGTCTAATAATTCCCAGGTCTTTGTCATATCTGAGTCTGATTCTGATGCTTGCTTTATATCTGTTATGGGCTGCACTGTGTCCCCACTAAATGCATATGTGGAGGTCCCACCATTACCCTAGAATATGACTGTAGTTGAAGATAGGGTCTTTAAAGAGGTCATTAAGGTTAAATCAGGTCATATGGATGAACCCTATAAGGAGGCTATTAGGACATACACATAGACTAAGGCGTGACCACGTGAAGACACAGGAAGAAGACGGCCACCTACAAGCCAAAGAGAGAGTCTCAGAAGAAACAACGCGCTGACTCTGAGATCTGGACTTCTAGTCGCCACAGCTATGAGAAAATACATTTATTTAGCACCAATTCTGTGGTATTTTATTATGGCAGCCTGAACAAATTACTAAAGTCTCTTTAGACTGTGTTTCTTCTTGCCTTTTGGCATGCCTTGTAGTTTTTTGTTGAGACCCAGACAGGTTATATCAGATAATAGAGACTGAGAATGATAGGCCTTGAAGTGTGAAGATTTATGTTATCTGGCTAGAATTTGGGCCGTGCTTGATGTTTGCTGTAGCTATAGGAACCAAGGGCTTCAAATTCCTTCAATGCCCTTTTTGTTTCCCTTCACAACTTGGGGCTCCCTAAGTACTCCTTCTCAGAGAGAATCTGTTTTCGAGCTCTTTCTGCTGTAATCTACTGTTATCTTACTGGGTCTCTGTTAGGGTGGGGTGATGGTGGGGAGGAGGAGTCTTCTATATCTTCCAATGAAACCTTAGTGTTTTAATGGACTGGCATCTTGAAGCTGTGACCCTTACAAACGTTTCTCCAGTGATATAGCTTCTTTTCCCACTGCCCCCTGCTTCCCTGGCTGCTGCATTCCCAATTTATTTCCTTGAATCCCTGACCCCTGTAGACTATATTATTTTCCCCGTAGCTAAGAAGAAGGCGAGAGGGGACTGGAATGGGAAAAATGTCTTTTTCCAAGTGGGATAAGGCTTAGGCAAAGCCTTTTTCCCTGAAGAGCTGGCTTTCATTGTAGAGAAGGCCCTGGGCATATTTCCAGTGTTACTCTTCCCCTCTCCCTGCAAGAGCCATGAAGAGATCTTTCTCCGGTGTTTACTGGGAGGACTTGGTGTGATTCCTGGAGGTAAAGTCCCCAAATATGTGGCCGCCCTCCTAAGAATGTGGTTCTCAAGAGCGTCTCACTGTCATGCTGGTCCACACTCAACCTCCAGAAGTTCATCAATACAACCATTCAAGTGCTGCTACCAGGTCCCGGTTCCAGCGACTTCAGCTCCAGGTAGGCAGATCTGTGTCTCTCTGGATGTGCTTGTTTTTTTTTTTTCCAGAGTTTGTGATGACCATTTCCCTTGAAACCTCAGTTTTCTGGTGTGTCCAAGAAAAGTTGTTGATTTTCAGGCTATTTCATTCCTCTTGTATTATGGATGGATATGGTAACTTCTAAGTTCTTTATGTGTCAGAGCTGAAACTCAGATTCTCAACTTGGTGGGATCTTTATTGTGATCTATTAATTTTGTAGGTCAAATTGGGGAGAAATGCACATCTTAACAATACTCAGCCTTTCAATCCATTAACTGGGAATGTCCCTTCATTTACTGAGATCTTCTCTCACTTCTCTCAGCGATATTTTATATTTTTTAGCATACAAATCTTACATTTGTTTTGTTGCACTTATTCCTAAGTATTTGACTCTTTTTGGTGTTATTGTGAATAGAATTGTTTCCTTTTATTTTTAGATAGTTTGTTGCTAATATTTAGAAATATAATTGATTTTTCTAGGTTGTCTTGTTTTCTACAACTTTGCTAAATTCATTTATTAGTTCTACTAGGTTTGTTTTCAAAGATTCTTTAGGATTCTCTACATATAGAATCATTTCTTCTGTGAATAAAGATAGTTTTATTTCTTCCTTTCCAATCTATACGCCTTTCATTTTCTTTCTTTCTTTCTTTCTTTTTTTTTTTTTTGAGACAGAGTCTCGGTGTGTCACCTCCACCTCCCGGATTCAAGCGATTTGCCCACCTCAGTCTTCCAGATAGCTAGGATTACAGGCAGCTGCCACCACACACACTAAAATAACTTTTCGTATTTTTAGTAAAGACAGGGTTTCACCATATTGGCCAGGCTGTTCTTTCTTGCTTTATTGCACCGACTAGACAAAAATTAATTTTTATAAGCCTATGTTTTGAATTGCAAGCGCTTCTTTGAAGTCCTTGTCAAGCAGGGGAACTATACACTGGTGATGATATAGTTGGTGCTCATATTTTACAGTAATAAATATAATGATATAAACATACAATCAGCTCACAAAAGGCGCCTATCAAAATAATCCCACAAAGCTCTTTCCGTACACATCCCATTGGAATTCAGACTTTTTTTATTTTTTGAGAGATAGAGTCTTGCTCTGTCACCCAGGCTGTCATGGAGTACAGTGACACAATCATGGCTCACTGCAGCCTTGAACTCCTGGGCTCAGGTGATCCTTCCTCCTAAGCCTCCTGAGTAGCTGGTACTATAGTTATGCACCACTAAATCTGGCTAATTTTTTTTAGGTTTCGTAGAGATGAGGTCTCTCCACGTTGCCCAGGCTGGTCTCCAACCCCCGTCCTTAAGTGATCCTCCTGCCTCGGCCTCCCAAAGTGCTGGGATTACAAGTGTTAGCCACTGTGCCTGGCTGGAACCTGACTTTGAAACTAGATTAGCTGTACCTTAATAGGCCTTGTTCAGAATCACTGGGTAATTCCCGAATAAAAGTATCCAAGGATACTTCTTTTCATCTACTTGTTCTTTCACACCATTCTTCAACAGATTCAGGACACCTTTTTGTTTTTTCCTACTGGAGGGTATCCTAGTTTGGGACATATTTTCTATTGTTTTTTTCCAAAATATATTAAAAATATTTAAACATTATTTCACTAAAGACCAGTACTTTAACAATGGTCCCAAGTCCTATTTTTAAACACACACACACACACACACACACAGACACACACATGCACACACGCACACTCACTCACATTTTGCTTGGAATTAGAATTGTGGAACTGCAAAGCTGCAGCTTTCACTGGTGTGAGTACACTCCTGAGCCTGCGAAGCAGCTAGAATGCTCATGGCAGGTGGGCTTTGCATTCTCTTCCTGGAAACATGCCACGCAGCAAGCTAGATCACAGAGATATCTTTGCTGTGCTTTCCAAGCAGACCCAAATCCTGTTCCAGCTGGCCTGTCCACCTTCTTCCCTGATGGTGCTGCACTGCCGAGTTCCTTTTCTTTGCACTTTCCCTTCCCAGGCTCCCTGCAGGCTGCTCTCTTCTATTACTGTCTCTTCTCAGCAAAGGTACAATGTAGTTGATTATGCCTCACATGGCTTAATTGCTGCTTGATTACATTACTGTTTCATCCATGTCAGGGCCAGGCAAGTAACCTAAGTAGGGATGGAGAGGTGCTGCCATGTTTGAAGGACACAGCCACTGCCCAGCCCCTGCAGATTGTTGCCATGAGGGGCTGCAGGACTAGGGCTGTCAGATGTGTTTTCTCTGGTTTTTTTTTTTCTAGCCAGAAATCTTGATATTTATGTGAAATTTTCTGTTTTGAAATGTTGGAAGTGAATTCACACTCTTTAAAAATACTGTCCAGGCCAAACACAATACTTTCATGGGCCACATTTGGCTGTGAGCCACCAGTGTGTGACCTCAGATTTACTGTAATCACTTCCAGCTGGAGTTGTAGGTTGATACAGCTAAGATTTCCAGAGACACTCCTAAATATTAGCAGTAAACTCCTGAATCTCTTCAGTGCCACTCCCATGTATCTTCTATTCCTTTTACTGGGTGATTTTACAGAGAGTTGATCTCTTCTCGGGCACTGTGCTTGACCACATTTGCTTTCAGAGGGTAATCTTATCTCAAAGGTCTGAGCCTCCCTCACTATGTCATCCCCTCACTATGGAAGGGGCACAGTGGGGACCGTCTCTCTTCATCTCACGTTATAGATTCTGAAGCAAGTGTGGCATCTGGAGTGGTGAAGGGTCTTGCCCAGGTTCTCATAGTTATTGAGAATGAGCCTCAGATCTCTCCACTGCTAAACTGCTGCTTTCTTTGCCCTGATATAGCCTCTAATCCATATTAACTTCAAAAACAGCAAGAGCTTGGGAAGCTTGAATTGCTTAATTTTGTTATTAACTCTTGCTTCTGCCTTTCTCTGCAGCACGTCCATTTCTTTCCGTCTTTTTCCCACCTCTGTATCCACCTAGCATTCCCCTAAGTGATAGACACAGCAGTTTGGGGACTCCAGAGAGATGAGCCTGGGGGAAATTAGTAGTCTGTGGATGGGTTCTTAGTTGACCAGCAGTTAGCATTGAAGGATCTGTGATTTCATTCACAGCATTGTGGAAATCAGGGCCTTAGTACAATGGTATGATCTGGTTAGAGGAAGCATGTATTTCTGTATTGAGAATTGGATTAAATTTGCAGTGAGATATTGATTACTGTGAATTAAGTTGATGTCACATATATACTCTGCTGTCTACAGTCTCAGGATTTGTGAGAACACTCAGCACTGTTTAAATAGCTTAACAGCATGCATAAACTTATAAGAAAGGCACAGAATCTGGGCTTTTTCCAGGGTCTAGATTACAAGCTAAAATGTAAAATTTGGGCAGGAATTACATATCAATTTTCTGTTTCAAAATCAGAAGCTTAATATCATGTAGGTGTTGTACTGCATTGATTTCCAATGGAGTGTAGATGGGGTAGAATAAGAACAGCCGGGGACTTCCTCAAAATATTCCTGTCCCGGTGGGGATTCTGAGTGGCCTCCCAGAGGCAAGCAGTCCAGAAGAGAGATGTTATTGATGGCAATGTGCTGCACGTGTGAATGGTGTGAAAACAGAAGGCTAAACATCACTGCTCTGCTATCTGCCAGCCCTAAAAAGAACTATGCTCACTTTCTGAATGCAATTCTCTATCTTCTGGTTAGTCAGAGGATGATGGGAAGCAGGCTGCCTGTGTAACCTGTTTTAGCAATGACATTCAGAAGTCTAAGGTCAAAATGTTGGCTGCATGCAATGTTTCTTATATGGGGCCCTCACCATCTTTTCATTTTGGTGTAGCCCACCCTTGCCTTATTTCTTATTCATCTCCTCTTTTTCTGTATCATGCTGTCTTTTTACCTTGCTAGGTTCTCACCTTTTGGAATTCTGCTCCTATTTCATGGAGATACATCCTCTTGCTAGGACAGGCTATGTGCTTTGCAGCACCCAGTGTGAAATGAAAATGCAAGTGTCCCTGTTGAAAAAATTATTAAGAATTTCAAGAATTCTTATTAAGAATTATTAAGAATTTCAATTAAGATGCAGGGCATCTAACCAAGCATGAGACCTTCTAAGCATGGGCGGTGTGTGACACAGGCTGTACACCAAGAAACTGGCCCTGCCTCTTGCAGTCTTGTCAGGAGTCCAGCAGTCTCTTAATGCATCCAACTGGGTCCTGTAGTAAATTGCTCTCAGGATGTGGCCTCCAGTGCATTTCTAGGATTATATCTTGGTTCTGTAGAAGTTTTCTGTGGTGAAAAATATATTCGTAGTATCCCTTTATTTTAAAGACGAAAAAATCTTAGGCTGGGAAAGACCAATTAGAAAGACAAAAGCTATCTGAACATAGGACTTCTGATTCTTTGAAGAAAATACACATTTTTTATTTTTTATTTTTATTTTTTTGAGATGGAGTCTCACTCTGTCGCACAGGCTAGAGTGCAGTGGCGCAATCTCCACTCACTGCAGCCTCTGCCTCCTGAGTCAGGCGATTCTCCTGACTCAGCCTCCCAAGTAGCTGGGATTACAGGCGCATGCTACCACGCCTGGCTAATTTTTATATTTTTAGTAGAGATGGGGTTACACCATGTTGGCCAGGCTGGTCTTGAGCTCCTGACCTCAGGTGATCCACCCACCTTGGCCTCCCAAAGTGCTGGGATTACAGGTATGAGCCAACACACCTGGCCTGAAAAAAAATACAAATTTTTTAATAATAACATACAATGAAATACTTTTAACAATGCAGGAATGCTGAAAATAATCTCTGATGAGTCAGAAAGACTCTCACTATCTAATGATGATTCAGAGTAAGCATAAAAACAAAAATTATCATCATATAAGATTAAAAAGGGCAGGCACGGTGGTGCACGCCTATAATCCCAGCACTTTGGGAGGCCGAGGCGGGCGGATCATGAAGTCAGGAGTTTGAGACCAGCCTGGCCAACATGGTGAAATCCCATCTCTACTAAAAATACAAAAATTAGCCGGACGTGGTGGTGCACACCTGTAATCCTAGCTACTCAGGAGGCTGAGGCAGGAGAATTGCTTGAACCTGGGAGGCAGAGGTTGCAATGAGCTGAGATAGTGCCACTGTATTCCAGCCTGGGCGACAGAGTGAAAATGTCTCAGAAAAAAAAAAAAAAAGACTAAAAAAATTCTGTTTCCTGGACTTTTTGGTTATTTGAATCTTTATAATAAAGGCAATAGGGCAAATAAACAGTGGTGGTCATGTCAGTATTATGCAAAGCTGAAAATTATTATGCAGGAAAGTTAGAAATAGTAGACAGCCTCAAAAATATACAATGAAAAGTGGAATTTCTCAATGAACTTTTTTGGGAGAAATAACCAATGATAATGTTGTGATTATGTAAAATTTCATCAGCCTCATACATTAAAAGGATGTGACAAGCTTTTAGTTAAAAAAATTTTCAAACTGTTATGTCAAAGATTAAATGTGGTAGTCAAAGTAATCTATGGAAACATACTGCTTTTATATGCTTGGTGGTGGAAGTCAGCACAAGTAAACCAAACATTAAAACTTCTAAGGTCTATGGTAAGGGAGGAAGGGGCTTTCAATCTGCCAGGAGAATATCCCCTTAGACTGTAGGTCCTGTGTGTGTTCCTTATTTATGCACCAGCTGTGATTAGTACAGGTTGTGCCCTTGCCGGCACTTACAGCCTATGGCTTCACAAGTGCTGGGAAGACATAAGGCGATAACTTGATAACATGTAGTTAGCCTTTTTAATTGATTGTAAATACATAGCAGTTATGGGTCATTTTTATAGAGGTGAAGCTCCCAAAGCTTCACCTACATCTTGCAAACCATTCTCCTATGCTGCCCAGATGGGCATTTCTGTATATAAATTGAGTGGTTGCACTTATTATCAACATAGCAATGACAACAGTGATTTAGAGTTATACACTTCAATAGGCATACAATATACTGAGCAATGGTCCAAGTTTTACATATGTTAACTTATTGTGAAGTAGTTAATATTACTATACTCAGGTTCCAGCAGAGGATACAGAGAGTTAAGTAAATCACCTAAGGTCACTTAGGTCACACAGGGAGTAAGTAGCAGATTTGAATCCTGTCATCTGGCTCTTCTAACCACCACCCTACTCTGCTTGAATTTCATCAGTACTTTATTGCCTTGGCCCAATGCACACTTGATGTTTAAAAAATAAGGGAAGAATGCCAGACTCAGTGGCTCACGCCTGTAATCCCAGCACTTTGGGAGGCTGAGGCAGCGGGAGGATCACCTGAGGTCAGGAATTCCAGACCAGCTTGACCAACATGGAGAAACCCAGTCTCTACTAAAAATAGAAAATTAGCTGGGTGTGGTGGCATACATCTGTAATCCCAGCTACTTAGGAGAATTGCTTGAACCTGGGAGGTGGAGGTTGCAGTAAGCCTAGATCATGCCATTGCACTCCAGCCTGGGCAACAAGAGTGAAACTCTGTCTCAAAAAATGAAAAATAAAAAAAATAAGTGAAGAAGGGGCCCACAGTCTAACCTGTCACCACCCTAACCTCTGCCTTATACATATAAGGCATAGCTGGAACCTTGTTATTTGGGTTTCTGTAGTGCTGCCATTTTGTTTAGGAAGGACATGAACCTTTCTCTTGCATGGTCTGGTGGTTTTAAAAATATACCACAAATTCTTTTCTACTTCTCCGTTCAAGAAATGGTGCTAAATTTCCCTTCTCTTTAGTGTGGGCTGGACTTAGTAACTTGCTTCTAACAAATAAAGCGGAAGTGATCGTGTATGACTTTGGCACCTAGGTCATCAAAAGCTTAGCACCTTTCATCTTGGTCAATCTCTCTCTTGGATCACTTGCTGTGGGGAGAACCAGCTACCAAGTCATGAGGAGAGTCGCACAGGGGAAAAAACTAGGAACTAGGTCTTCTGCCAACAGCCATGTGAGTGAGCTGGGAAGCAGACCCCGTAGCCCCAGCACAGCCTTCAGATGACTGCAGCCCTAGTGGACACCTGGACTCCAGCCGCATGGCCCTGAGCCCGATCCACCCAGCTAAGCCTCCGAATTCTTGTCTTAAACAAACTGTGAGATAATAAGTGTTTGTTGTTTGAAGTCTCAAATTTTAGGGTGATTTGTTAGGTAGATACAGATAACTCATACAGGTGGTATCACAGTAGCCAGTAAACTTTGACCAAATTATTCATAATCACGTTAAACGTAAGGGGCATATTTTCATTTTTTGAAAGAGAAGCATTTCTGGGCATCCCCTGTGGAACACAGCACCCTGGGCTTATACTCAACCAAATGTTTTGAAATTGAGGGAGTATATTTGAAATTAACATGTAGCTTAAATCTGCCTTGTATTTCAAGGTTCCCGAACAGTCTTTCTCTTCTCTCATCACCTGAAGTGCTCTGAATTGAATAGACTCATTTTTCTCTGCTGTTTGAGAGCCTAGAGCAGTTTGATTTTAACACAACTGTTGCTTAGCAATAAGAAGGAACTTAATGGTTCCAGTCTATTCTGCAAACTGAGAGGAGCCTCCCCTGTGTAGCTATTGTCTGTGTGTAAGGCTGAATTTTAAATTGCAATTATCATTTGAAGATGAAATTGAAGCTGGCCTATGTGACACATTCTATGTACCCTAGCAGCTCAGTTGCCCAGGGAGTTAGACTGGCCCAGTTTGAGGTCCCTTACAGACATGCTGGTCTCTTGGAATTATAAGGTATTTAGAAGTATAAGACAAAGCTGGAAAGAAACTAGTAAATTCCTCATTGGTAGGAAAACAGGTGGTCTGTATTCACTATATACTTATTTTGTGATTCTGGGACGAAAAACTTGGCTCTTAAATTGTTGTGACTAGAACCGGGGCCAATGATTTTAGAAAAGAATCCATAGAGAAGTGGGAATTCTAAAATTTGTCGGGGTGCGGCAGAGGGTGGGATGTCTAGCCACCACTGACCTCGCTACCCTGCTCTGTTGGAAAGGCTCCCAGAAATGTCAGCTGCTTAGAATTTTTAAACACAAGGTGTAAATCTGATTGTTCATCAGAAAGGTTGGTATCATTTCAGAAGCCTCCACCCAAATTCAAAGTGTTATTCTTTCCCACTCTGTAGACTAAATTATGTACAAGCTTACTTGATTTTTAAAAATCTTCAATTGGTTATATAGGTCTTTCTGTGTACACACAGTACCATATCAGGTACTGTGGAAGGATAAAAATGAAATACATTGAGTAAAAGTACAAGAGTAGAAGGCATTGCTTCTACTCTTTAAGAACTGGTCATCTAGTTGAAAAGGTTAGATGAACAGGCATAGAGTACATGTTAAATGATCAAGATGTGAACTCCTGCACGCTATATAATAATCAGTATAATTATCAGCCAATGTTGTTAAACTCTGGATTTGAAAACAAAGTGTCGCATTACCAAAATAACAAGGCTTCAGTGCATGACCCTGAAATAATAGGTTAATATAGTTTCAAATTATTTCATAGGCTCTTCCAATTAGTCAGCTTTCTCTGGCAGCAGATTTTTTTTTTAACTTCGAAACACTTTCTTCCTCTGGATCTACAAGTTATACTTTATGGGTATGCATTTCGTGGTTTATGTAACAGTCTGAGGAATTTAGCTGGTATATTAGATTAGGTGGAGGCAGCATCTGTCATACTGGACTAAATTAATATTTCCAAGATTTCTGCACATGCATCATAATGAGAAGTGATGAGAGACATATTGGAGCAAATTATACTTCACTGGTTTTGAAAATCAAGAGTCATAAACCTGCAGGAAACCCCAACTAGCCTAACTGAAATCGAGTAAAATAATAGTGCTGTGATGTGCTCTTATGTGTGTGTTTTTTAAAATAAATGTAACAAACAGCCATGGGGGACCAACTGTCTCCTTTTTCAGATATTACTGGATCATCAGCTGTAAAGGCTCTATGTTTAATTATGTCTAGCATTTGAATGGTAACAGCGCAGATGTTACCTGCCTATAATCCTCCTCCTCTCTACAGATTTTGCTTTGTTCTTGCTTCTTGTTTTTGAGATCCTGCACACAAGTTGAAATTAATTAAAAACAGTAGAGCAACTTAGTCTGGATAAGCCTTCATCTGGCAAATAATGTTACACTGCCAGAGATTTCCTCTGCCAAAGTCAGTTCTCTTAATTCCCGTAGATGTGTATGAAACAAGCCATAGTCCCCTTTAGAGGCAGGCACTAAGTGCATACGGTCTCAGCAGAGGTTAGAGTCTCCTGCCTTGCCTTCCTTACCTTCCTCACTGGGTGTTAATGACCTGCAAGTGATGTTCTTTTTGTCTTTTTTCTGTACTAGCATTATGGATTTACGAAGACCTACGTATTCATTACAACGAGCCTGTGAAGTAGGAAGGCAGATATCATCTTCCTCTTCTGACAGTTGAAGGAACAGGCTCAGTGAGGGACAGAGACTTACTTACTCAAGGGCAGTTATAAATCACAAACTGGACTCCTAGTCTAGTGCTTTAGGTTACTTTTGTTTAGTGGTATTTCACAGCCACATCTCTCTGATATTTCAAGGGACAGCTGAAGAATTAATTGGTATGCGGCTCTCACCCAGTGATTTTAACTACCAACCAGCTTCTCAGATTCAGCCACTTCCTGCATATAAGAAAGCTCTGAGAACTGCCTTTTATCCCTTTGTGCAGTTCATAGTTTCGGTTTAATTTTCCAACAGGGCTCAGGGCATATTTGGATACTGATTGATATACATAGAAGACATATTTAGGGATCTGAACCTATTTCTTTGTTCTCATAAACATTGCTTCAGCTAAACATGTAACAAAACCATCACAGCAAGTAGAAGAAACACCTGAACGCACCAACTAGATTTGATTTATTTCCTTTGTCATTTAAAAATCCACCCTCGAACATCACACTCTGGGGACTGTTGTGGGGTGGGGGGAGGGGGAGGGATAGCATTAGGAGATATACCTAATGCGAAATGACGAGTTAATGGGTGCAGCACACTAGCATGGCACATGTATACATATGTAACTAACCTGCACATTGTGCACATGTACCCTAAAACTTAAAAGTATAATAATAATAAAATAAAATAAAATAAGAAGAAGATATACAATCAACAAACATACCAAAAAATGCTTAACCTCACTAATTATTGGGGAAATGCAACCTGATAATTAGTGATAATGCAATTAAAACCACAAAGAGAGACCACATTACTCCTGCAAGAATGGCCATAATTTAAAAATTAAAAAATAATAAATGCAGTGAAAAGGGGACTCTTACACTGTTGGTGGAAATGTAAACTAGTACAACTACTATGGAAAACAGTATAGAGATTCCTTAAAGAACTAAAAGTAGAACTACCATTCCATCCAGCAATCCCACTATTGGGAAAATAAGTCATTATATGACAAAGACACACGATCATGCATGTTTATAGCAGCACAACTCACAATTGCAGAAATATGGAACCAAACTGTATGCCTATCAACCAATGAGTGGATGAAGAAAATGTAGTATATATGCACCATGGAAAACTACTTATGCATAAAACAGAAGACAAAAGTGGCCTTTGCAGTAACTTGGATGGAGTTGGAGGCCATTATTCTAAGTGAGGTAACTCAGGAATGGAGAACCAAACATCGTATGTTCTCACTTATAAGTGGGAGCCAAGCCATGAGGATGCAAAGGCATAAGAATGACACAATGGACTTTGGGGACTTGGGAGGAAGGGTGGGAGGGGAGGAGGGGTAAAAGGCTATATATTGGGTACATTGTACACTACTTGGTGATGGGGGCACCAAAGTCTCAGAAATCACCACTAAATCACTTATCCATGTAACCAGAAACCACCTGAAACTGTTGAAATAAAATTTTTTACAATTAAAAAAAAAAAATCCACCCTCCATGAGTTTCACCATCTTCTGATGGAGACTTAGGGAGAGAAGCCTCTCATTCTCAAAGACTGGCTGCCCTGTCACATTGTTCTTTCTAAACAGCTTTATGCATATATATTTCACATACCACCCAGTTCACCCATTTAAAGTATCTAATTCAGTGGATCCTAGCATTGCCCTGCCATCTTTAGTGGGCTTCCAGTCTTGATTTTTGAAAACACCCAGGCTGCCTACTGTAGAAAGAGTTCGCTTGGGATCTATGAGAAACTCTTCACTCTGAGTACTGTGGGGTGGGCGGAGGATACAGTTAGGAAGCTCCATGCCCTTGCAGGTTCACAATCTAGGCCTGAGGATTTGAGCTTCTGTTCTTATTACTTTAAGGAGGGAAATAAGGGGCTGTGTGCCTGTTCCAAAGGACAATGGATGGACTCTGATTGCTGGTGTCTGGTGATTTGGCAGTGGGAAAAAGAAGTTCTTAGGGTACGTGGGCCATAAGGGCCTTAGGGAGAATGGCCATGAGGGCACGTAAGAATGGCTCTCCAAGGGGTCAGAAGTAAAGAGTGGTCAAGAGAGTGAATTCCAATATCAAATAAACCTGCACCTGAGTTCTGCCGTTTATTTAGCTGTGTGACCTGGGGCAGCCTCTTTAAGTCTCATCTTCTCATCTTTAAAATGAGAAGAATGACTGTACCCAACTCACAGGGCTCTCCTGAGGATTAAATGAGGTGAACCATGTGCAGTTCTTAGCTCAGCACTTGGAACCATCTAAGTGTTCAATGAATATTTTCTGCTGTTATTATTGGCTGTTTCCTCCACTTGATTTATAAGCTTCTTGAGATCAGGGACGGTGTGTTCACCATTAGATCTCCAGCCCCTATCGTCAAGGCAGACCAGAGTGTTGAAGTGAAATAGATGCATCCCCCCATCATCCATTTATTCTTTGGATTTCTTCCTGACTCACTTATGTGCATGCATGTATGTGCACGTGAACACACACACACACATACACACACACAAGCACACGACTCCCCAGACTGATTTGCAGGCAGGAATTAGTAAAATAACTGCAAAAGTTTAAACTAAAAAGTTTAAATTTAAAAAAACATATACTAATGGTGTGGCATCCCATGATAATTCAATAAAAGGAGTGTAATTTCTGGGCACAATCAAGAGACCCAGAATGAATCTGTGCTATATAATGGTGTTCACCACAGATGATGCTGTGTATAATGACAGATCACTGGAAAGAGAAGAGCCAAGAGGCTTGCCAATAGGTTTTGCAGTAGTAATGTGAGGAGATGCTTATGACCTGCACTGGGACTGTTCAGGAAGGGGAAGAAGTCTGAGAAATGTTAGTGTAGACAGTTTTGATGGGCTATATATATTTTATTAAAGTTTAATATATCTTATAAACTGAGTTATCACAGCTATATGTGAAAGGCTAGGTTAATAATATGATAATGATCTCTGTTTACAATTAGCTAAGTATTAGGTGTCACAAGATATCTGACTGCGAAGAACCAAAGAGAGGGGACTAGATGTACTTCAAAGATGGGCTTGTCCAGCCCTCTGGCCTCTGGAGAGGCATCCCCTGAGCATGTTCCTTTATGCCTCACATCATTTTAAAAAGGTCTTGAGGCAGATCTCTGGCTGTACTGCAAGTACAGTACATGTCTGGGCTCCATTCAGGATAGAGTTGAAAGGAGATTGGGTTTTTGGTCCACAGGAAAACTGGTACCTTTTTTTTTTTTTTTTTGAGATGGAGTCTCGCTCTGTCACCCAGGCTGGAGTGCAGTGGTATCATTTCTTGGTGTCTAGGACTTATTTATGGCTGCTTCTTGCCCATTGACACTCTTCTACTGCCTGGCTGACTTGTGCCAGAAAGAGACAGTTTTATTGGATATAGAAAATTCCAAGAATGGAAAGGCAGGAAGGTTAGGATCAAGGAAAGCACCTCCAAGATGCTCGAATACTTCCCTGTTGCTTTATTTCACTGACTGTGGTCACTTCTGCTATTTTCTTACTTAAGAGTTCTTTGAGACTTCCTCTGACACTGCTCCAGCCTTGCTAGTATAACATGGGTCCAGCTGCTGGAACTGACATTCCTGGGGTGATTTTCATAGGAAGCAACTTGGACCATATCCAGGACTACACTCAGCTATATTGGTGCTATGATCATGTATATGTTTCAGAATAGTTTCCAATGTGGTTCAATTCAGCTAACTTTTTTTTAGTCTTGATTACTTTTTAGACACAATGATTATAATGCTTTATTCATTTATGTTGCAGTACTGGGTTTTTCCATAGTCAGAAGGATCTTGGGAACTAATGTTAAATCTATGGAAGAGAGATTTTTTGTTTGTTTGTTTGTTTGAGATGGAGTCTCACTCTGTCACCCAGGCTGGAGTGCAGTGGCACGATCTCGGCTCACTGCAACCTCCGCCTCCCAGGTTCAAGCTATTCTCCCATCTCAGCCTCCAGAGTAGCTGGGATTACAGGTGCGTGCCAACATGCCTAGCTAATTTTTGTATTTTTGGTAGAGACGGGGATTCATCATGTTGGCCAGGCTGGTCTTGAACTCCTGACCTCAAGTGATCCGCCTGCCTCGGCCTCCCAAAGTGCTGAGATTACAGGCATGAACCACTGCACCTGGCCGAGATATTTTTGTTCAAATTCAAATAAAGATTATGGGTACTCAACTCAGCCTTTGGACAATTACTGCTAATAATTTGAAGTTGTCACCAATGATTTATATATTGTTCTTACCAAAGTATGGTTTAATCCATCTAAGAAGAAAGAAGGATATACAAATTTAAGCTATCCCTTCTTCCTTCAATATCTGTAGGTTTTTAGGCAACATATTACTCCCTTCCTACCACAAAGCTATCTGATTCAGAAACAGGGTGACTTTATCCTAGATGTAGATGCTATGATGTATTATTTGCCAACATTTTATGTGCTTAAAATAATATGAGAATGGTAGAGTGAGGAGCTCAGCAAATTTCCTTCCCCAAAACAATGACAAAATTGTACAAAATTATCAAAACCAACCATTTATGAACTCCTGAAATCTAGCACAGGCATACCAAAATAGAAAAGCTTTTATTCAGGAGAAAGTACTGAACCTAGCTAGATAAGAACAGTGGGTGTCTATGGCATTTTAGCCTGAGACTGCTCTTGTCTCCTTACCCCATCTCCTTTAGTATGGGCAAAGTATGAAAACCATCAGCTTTGTTGTCAGGGGGCACTGACTTTGATTTGGAGCACAGTAGAATGTGGGAAAACCTCATGCTGTTGAGTGTTGTTGGAAACATTAGCAATCTCAGTGGCAAACAGCAGGGAACATCAACATTGCAACTAGCCTGAAGTTGTGATTCTGGGTGGGGCATGGAAATAAAAAACTCAACAAAGGAATTAGAATTAAAATGGTACATTATGAAATATTTATTTAACACTAAAGAAGGCATAAAGGACAAGCAAAGAAACAAAAAGATGCTAGACATCATGATAAGTAAAGATACCAGCATTGTAATGCACCCCCAGTATGTCTATATCCTAAACGGTGTGATCCGTGTGTATGTTACCTTACATGGCAAAGGAAATTAAGGTTGCAGTTGAAACTAAGGTTGCAAATCAGCTGATCGTCAGATAGGAAGATTACTCTGAATTATTCAGGCAGGTCCAATATACTCACAAGGATCTCTAAAAGTGGAAGAGGGAGGCAGAAGAGTCAGTGTCAGATAATGCAATGTGAGAAAGACTGGAGTGGCCATAGCTGGCTTTGGAGGATGCCATGAGCCAAGGATGGAGGGCACCCTCTAGAAGCTGGAAAAAGCAAGAAAATGGATTCTGTCTTAGAGTGTCCTGAAAGGAATGCAACCTTGCTAGCACCTTGCTTTTAGCCCAGTGAGATCTGCATCAAACTTTTGACCCCTGGAACTGAAGGATAATAAATATATGTTGTTTTAAACCACTAAATTCATGGTAATTTGTTATAGCAGCAACAGAAAACTAATATGGAATGAATAGAAAGCAAATAGAAAAATGGCGGATATAAATAGAACCATATCAAATTCCATTAAGCATTAATTCATGGAAAATGCAAATCAAAAGGTAAATATTGTCAAACCATATAAAAAAGAAATATCTAACCATATGCCATATATGAAACACATTTTCAATTAAAAGACACAAATAAATTGAAAGTAAAGGAATGGAAAAAGATATTCCACGTAAAAAAAATTCATGAGAGACTGGAGTGGCTCTACTGATAAAATAGACTGTAAGACCAAAAAAAAAAAAAAACTTATTAACAGCAAAGAGCGGTGTTTTATAATGAAAACACAGGCAATTCTTCAGGAATATATAATAATTATAAATATATGCATCTAACAACAGAGCCCTAAATACACGAAGCAAAAACTGACAGAATTGAAAGGACAAATAGACATTTCAGCAATAATAATTGTTAACTTTAATACCCCACTCTAAATAATTGATGAAATAACTATACAAAAAATGAAAAGGATATAAAAGAGCTTGAACAACACTATCAACCAACTTGACCTAATAGACATATATAGAATACTCCATCTGATGAAAGTGTATACATTTGGGGTTTTTTTAGACAGAGTCTGTCTGTGATCCAGGCTAGAGTGCAGTGGTGTGATCATAGCTCACTGTAATCTTGAACTCCTGGGCTCAAGTGATCAGCCTCCCAAGTAGCTAGGACTACTGGACTGACTAATTCTTTTTTTAATTTTTGTAGAGACAGGGTCTCACTATGTTGCCCAGGCTGGTCTCAAACTCCTGGTCTCAAGCGATCCTCCCGCTTTGGCCTTCCAAAGTGCTGAGATTATAAGTGTAAGTTACAGCACCTGGCCAGAATATACATTATTTAAGGAAGACATGAAAATATCTCCAAGATACACCATACATTAAGCCATAAAATAAGTCTTACTAGATTTTAAAAGTCTGAAATTATGAAAGGTATGTTTCGAGAACACAGTTAGAAATTAATAATAGAAATAAACTTGAAAAGTCTCAAATATTTAGAAATTAAACAACAAATTGTTAAATAACTCATGGGTCAAAGAAAAAATAGATATTTCTTTGACATACTGGTTTCATTTCCTTTGTGTATATATACACACAGTAATGGGGTTGCTGGACCATATGGTAGTTCTATTTTTGATATTTTGAGAAACCTCCACACTGGTTTCCATAATGGCTGTACTAATTTACCTTTTCATCAATAGTGCACAGAGTTCCCCTTTCTCCACATACTTGCCAGCATTTATTATTTTTTGTCTTTTTGATAATAGCCATTCTAACTGGGGTGAGGTGATATCTCACTGTGGTTTTGATTTGCATTTTGCTGATGATTAGTGATATTGAGCATTTTTTTCACCTGTTGGCCATTTGTGTGTCTTCTTAAGAAAAATTAGAAAATGTTTTGAAACAAATGAAAATGAAAGCACAATATACCAAAATATATGGGATTCAGTTAAGTAGTGTTTAGAGAGAAATGTATATATTTCAATATCTACATTAGAGAAGAAAAATGATCTCGAATCAGTCATTTAAGTTTCCACCCTCAGAAATTATTTTTTTACTAACATCTTTCACAAAAGACACCCTCAGAAATTGGTAAAAGGAAAGCAGACCAAACCCAAAGCAAACAGAAGTAAGGAAATATTAGAGCATAAATCAGTGAAATAGAAAACAGGAAAAAACATTAGAGAAAATTTTTAAAAAGCCAAAAGTGCTGCTTAAGAAGATCAACAAAACTGACAAATCTTAAACTAGATTGATCAGTAAAAGACAAGATAAGACACAAATTACCAAAATCAGGGATGAAAGCAGAAACATCACAACCAACCCTACAGAAATTAAAATAATTATAAGGAAATATTATGAACAACTTTACGCAAACAAATGTTCTGTCCAACCAAACCCATGCCCAAAACTGGCAGCAGTGGAGTCCCATAAGGAGCTACCCCAGACCATCCTGATATAGAAGCTGGTTAGGATTCCAAGAAAGAAAGAAGCACTGAACGCTAGGGTGACTGGTCTAAAGCATTTATTAGGAGATCTTACAAACAGAGGGCTTCAGAGTCCTCTCAACAGATAGAGAGACAGGAGATGTTCTGGCCAGGTATGTCTATAATGAGGGAGTCGGGTTATGGAAATTATATGGGGGATTAGGGAATTTGACTTAGGGCTCGGGCTAGTTTCTACATTTTAGCAACATGTTTGACCTTTCAGTGTTTTGGGCAACAATCTAAACAACTTTATCTTGCCTGGGAATGTTCAAGGCCTAAGTGTGGGTTCAAGCCTGCAGCAGAGAGCATGCAGCTATGTCCAGGTACTTTATGTTCCCCTGTCAGGACAAAGAAAGAAAGTTGAGGGGGAACTGAGGGTCCCTACAACAAATGAGATGAAATAGATAAATTTCTAATAAGATACAAATGATCAAAACTGATTCAAAAGAAGAAAAAAAAAATCTGAACAGAGCTATAATAAAGAAATTGGATTAGTAATTAAAATTTTTCCCAAAAGAAAACCTCAGACCTAGATGGGCTCACAGGTCTTTTCTACCATTATTTATTCTTTAAATGTTCTACCCAATGTTTAAAGAATAAATAATGCTGATCCTTCACAAAATCTTCCAGAAAATGGAGGAGAAAACATTTTTTGATTCATTTTATGAGGACAGCATTACCTTGATACCAAAGTCAGACAAAGATACAAGAAGAAAATTACAAACTAATATCCCTCATGAGTAAAATGCAGAAATTCTCAATAAAATATTAGCAAACCAAATCCAGCAACTTATGAAAAAGTTTAACACCATAACCAAATAGGATTTTTCCTAGAAATGCAAGGTTGGTTTAATATCAGTCAATTAATATAATACATCATATAAATAATAAATGATAAAAACCGTATGATTATCTTAAAATAGATAAAACATTGCAAAATATTTAATACCCATTCAATAAAGTAGGAATAGAATGAAAATTCCTTAGTTTGATAAAAATGCATCTATGAAAAACCTGCAGTTAACATACATAGTGGTGAAAGACTGAATGCTTTCCTCCTGATGTAAAGAACAATATCAACGATGCCTGCTCTTGCCACTTCTATTCAACATTGCGCTGGAGTATCTTTAAAATGCAATAAGAAAAAGATAATTTAAGGTAGCCTGATTAGAAAAGAGGAAGTAAAACTGTCATTATTCATAGATGACATGAAGCAGTTTGTAGAAAACCTTGAGAAACCCACAAAAAGCCCCTACTCAAACTAATAAGTGCAACAAACGAAGGATACAAGATCAATATATAAAAATCAATTGTATTTTGTATATTAACAATGAACAACCCAAAAATTAATAAAACAATTCTATTCACAACATCATTAAAAAGAATCAACTACGGCTGGGCGCGGTGGCTCACACTTGTAATCCCAGCACTTTGGGAGGCTGAGGCGGGCGGATCACGAGGTCAGGAGATCGAGACCACGGTGAAACCCTGTCTCTATTAAAAATACAAAAACATTAGCCAGGTGCGGTGGTGGGCGCCTGTAGTCCCAGCTACTCGGAGAGGCTGAGGCAGGAGAATGGCATGAACCCAGGAGGCGGGAGGTTGCAGTGAGCCGAGATCGCGCCACTGCACTCCAGCCTGGGTGACAGAGTAAGAGTCTGTCTAAAAAAAAAAAAAAAAAGAATCAACTACTTAAAAATACATTTAACAAAAAAAGCTAAAGTCCTATAAAGTACCAAACATTGCTGAGAGACATTAGTGGAGAGATATACCAAGTTCGTTGACTGGAAGACTTAATATTTGTTAAGATGGAAATTTTCCCAAAACTGATTCATAGATTCAGCACAATTCCTATGAAAATACCAATAGCCTTTGTATTAGTCTGTTCTCACACTGCTATGAAGAAATATTCCTACCTGAGACTGGCTAATTTATAAAGACAAGAGGTTTAATTGACTCACAGTTCCACATGACTGGGGAGGTCTCAGGAAACTTACAATCATGGCAGAAGACACCTTTTCACAGGGCAGCAGAAGAGAGAATGAGTGCCAGCAGGGGAAATGCCAGATGCTTATAAAACCATCAGATCTCATGAGAACTCACTCACTATCACGAGAAGAACATGGGGAAAACCGCCCCTGTGATTCACTTATCTCCCACCAGGTCCCTCCCAATAGGGTTTATGGGGATTACAATTCAAGATGAGATTTGGGTGGGGACACAGCCAAACCATATCAGGCTCATTTACAGAAATGGACAAGCTGATCCTTAAAGAAAAAGTACAGCTTTAAATACAAATATTGGAAACCTCAGCTAGCTTTGTTTTTGGTAGGGTGCTAACACTTCTGTGGAAATGCAAAGGACTCAAAATAGCCAAACCATCTTGAAAAAATAAGAACTATGTTGGAGGACTTATACTTCCTGCCTTAAAACTTACTATAAGACTACAGTTAGCAAGATAGTACAGTATTAGCAAAAAGATAGTCATATAGATCAATGGAACTGAATTCCAGGATTCTAGGAATAAATTCTTACATTTAAAGTTGTTGATTTTCTGTAAAGGTATCAGTGTAATTCAGCAGGGACAGTGGTGGTAGGGAAATTGGATGGCTACATGCATAAAGATTAATCCTAAATGTTAAGAGCCAAAATTATGAAACTTTGATAAGAAACATAGGAGAAATTGTTAGTGGATTGGGTTGGGCAAAAATTTTTTACATACAACACCAAAAGCAAGATCTATAAATTTTAAAATTTGATACATTAGGCTTCATCAAAATTGGAAACTTTTGAGTATCAAAAGACACCCTCGAGAAAGTGAACAGACAACCCATAGAGAAATAGGAGAAAATATTTGCAAATCATACATCTGATAAGGAATTCTATACGAAATATATAAAGAAGTTTTACACCTCAATAATAAGATAACCTGAGAAAAAAGAAAAAATGGGTGGAAGATTTGAATAGACAGCTCATCAAAGAAGACAAATGAAACATGAAAAGGTGTCAATGTCGTTAGTCATTAGAAGAAATACAAATTAAAACCACCATGATATTCCCATTAGAATAGCAAAATAAAATTGACAGATGGTGACAAGAGGCAGTAAGAATGTGGAGAAACAGGAACCCTCATACATTACTGGTGGGAACGTAAAATGGTACAGCCACTTGGAAAACAGTTTGCCAGTTTCTTATGAGGTTCAACATAAGCTTACCGTAGAATCTAGCAATTTCATTCCTGGGTACTAGGTGTCTGCCATGAGAAATGAACCCATATGTTCCTACAAAAACCTATACATGAATGTTTATAGCTCCATTATTCATAATGGCCCCAAATTAGAAACAATCCAAATGTCCATCAGCAAATGAATGGATAGTCAAATGTGATATATTAATACACATGAATATAAATGTGATATATTAATGTATAAGCAATCATGCTATATATTAAATGTGATATATTGCAAAATGTTCTGCAATAAAAAGGAATGAATGACTGGGACATGCTACAGCATGGATGAAACGCAAAAATATGCTAAGTTAGAGGTTGGCAAATGTTTTTTTAAAGGGTCAGGTAGTAAATATTTCAGATTTGTGGACAAGATGGTCTCTGTTGCAACTTCCCAACTCTGCCTTTGCAGTGCCAAAGCAGCAACAGACAGTATATGAATGCATAGCTGTAGCTGTGTTCCGGTAAAACCTTATTTACAAAAACAGGCAGCAGGTAGTTTGCTGACTCCTGTGCTCAATGAAAGAATCTGGATGCAAAAGACCACGTACTCTACGATTCCTTTACGGGATGTTACATTAAATATCCAGAAACAGTAAATCTATAAAGACAGAAAACCGATTAGTGATTGCCTGGCTTGGGGGTGGGAACAGGGATTGACTGCAAATTGGAACTAGGGGTATTTTGTGGGTGATTGAAACGTTCTATAATTGGATTGTGGTTATGATTGCAAAACTATAAATTTACTAAATATCAGTGAACTCTGTGTGGGTGAATTACATGGCATGTAAATTACACCTCAATAAACCTGTTAAAAAGAACATATAATTTCATTTATTTTTGTTTCTGTTGTTTTACTGGCTTAGCCATTTTCTACTCATATTATTCTCATTTTATCTTCAGTGAAAGACCTGTTTTATTAGTGACTAGTGTCCATGCTAACGGCAGTGCCTAGGGAGTTTTATAAGAATCTTGGAACTTTGAATTCTCTTCAGAGCAAAAGTTGATATGTGTTAGGTGAACTCTTTTTGAACCCTCTCCCAGGGATCTTATTATAAGGAAAATCCTAGTTAGAACTACGAAGCAGGCCGGGTGCAGTGGTTCACATCTGTAATCCCAGCACTTTGCGAGGCCAAGGTGGGAAGATTGCCTGAGGCCAGGAGTTCAACACCAGCCTGGTCAACATAGCAGGACTTCGTCTCTACAAAATAAAAAATAGGCCGGGTGCGGTGGCTCACACCTGTAATCCCAGCACTCTGGAAGGCCAAGGCGGGTGGATCACCTGAGGTCAGGAGTTCAAGACCAGCCTGGCCAACATGGTGAAACCCCGTCTCTACTAAAAATAGAAAAAATTAGCTGGGCATGGTGGCGCACGCCTGTAATCCCACCTACTTCAGAGAGTGAGACAGGAGAATTGCTTGAACCCTGGAGATGGAGGTTGCAGTGAGCCAGGATAGCACCACTGCACTCCGGCCTGGGAGACAGGGCGAGACTGTCTCAAAAAAAATAATAATAGCTGAGGCAGACAGATCACGAGGTCAGGAGATCAAGACCATCCTGGCTAATACAGTGAAACCCCATCTCTACTAAAGATACAAAAAAATTAGCCAGGCGTGGTGGCAGGCGCCTGTAATCCCAGCTACTCAGGAGGCTGAGGCAGGGGAATCGCTTGAACCTGGGAGGCGGAGGTTGCAGTGAGCCAAGATCGCGCCACTGCACCACTGCACTCCAGCCTGGGTGACAGAGCAAGACTCTGTCTCAAAAATAATAATAATAATAATAATAATAATAATAATAATAAGTCAACCAGGTATGGTGGCATGTGCCTGTAGTCCCAACTACTTGGGAGGCTGAGATGGGAGGATGGCTTGAGGCCAGGTGGTTGAGGCTCCTGTGAACTATGATCACATCCCTGCACTCCAGCCTGGGTGACAGAACAAGACCCTGTCCCTAAAAAAACAAACAACAGCAACAACAAACTCTGAAGCAAGCTTTGTAACATCCTCAATGCTGCAGTATCTGGAATCAAATATCAGGGACTGTGGTTTTGGAGGTAGGTAAGAAAGAGCTTTTAACTGTGAGCATTTTCTTCCTG
The DNA here is from genome assembly GCF_000001405.40 of Homo sapiens. Taxonomy (NCBI): domain Eukaryota; kingdom Metazoa; phylum Chordata; class Mammalia; order Primates; family Hominidae; genus Homo; species Homo sapiens. The sequence goes on from NC_000005.10 coordinate 81,161,015, forward strand.
GCTTCCATAAAAGTTCTAATAATATCCAACCTATACTAGAGTAGGTAGATTAACTTATCTGATGCTGAAGGAATTGTCCATACTTTCTGAGGATTATGTTGTCCTAAGAAGAACACTTATGTGTGAGGTTGTCACTGTGATCACCGGATTCACACCACCGGGTCTGAGCCTCAGATGGGTCAAGGACTCAATTTGAATTCCTGCCTAGGGTCATTGCATAACTAGTTGGCCACTGCACCTTAGCAAGACAGTAAGTTAGTAAAGCATAAAACTCTAGGCATTTTTGATACATAGGCAAGCTCTCCTAGAGCTGCAAATTATCTTGCTGGTGACAGAGTTGGTCATACTGAGAGAGAAGGCCTCCTGACGGCTGGTGCAATGGTCTGCTGATTTGGTTTCATTTCACTCATTGGAGAGCATTTCTGAGGTATGACCTTGAAAGAAAATAGCCTTTTTCATCATCTGGGCTGATGATGGAGAATAAGCTGTAATGAACGACCTCACTGTATGATTGAGATGCGTTAAATCCTTGCTCTCCAGTTCTTAGAATCTTCAGGAGCAAGAGGCAATGATGTATCCCTCAGGAGAACATGCTATCTACCAGTCATAGAGTTTGTATAGTTTGCTAATATTACTAGACATTCTACAGCTGCAGAGGATCTCTTAGACAATATATAAATATTGTTTGTCCCTAGTGTAGCCTCTTTCCAGCTTGTATACAGAGATTCCCATATATGAACTTTAGTGTGCAAATGATTTGATGCCTTGTTAAAATCCTCATAATGAAGATGTTATTAATATAAACATTGTTGGCCCCAAGGAACTCATTGCCAGCCTTTGTCCTGTATGCATTATCATCTTCTATTTAAATTCTTTTATTTTGCCAGTCAGACCGTTTTTTTTTTTTCTGAAGCTACAAAAGAATGATCCCTTGTAGTAATTGGTTCTCATTTAAAGGGGAGGTTAGATTCTGCCAGGCAAGCATAGACTGAGGCAGGCTTAAAACGCGTAGCCTAACTGTTTTTTAAATATGGGCTCAGTTAATAGGGGTTCAGCACACACAAAAGATGGGCTCAAAAGTGCCTGATTTACTGAGGAAGGTACTCAGAGTTGAGAAAGAAGCCTCTGCACAAATTCTCCTTTGCTCTGCTGGAATTTCTTTTTCTTTTCTTTGTTGGGGGTGGTGGGGGACATGGGGGGCAGTGGTGAGAAGTTGATTGTGAGAAGTATGAGTATTTAAGTAGAAATTATGCAGATCAGTTAGAAGGCAGACTTCAGCCCTCTGGGGCTGGTACCTCTAAATGTGGAATGTGCTGGGGGGTTTTTTTGTTTTGTTTTTGTTTTTGTTTTTGAGATGGAGCCTCACTCTTTTGTCCAGGCTAGAGTGCAATGGTACGATCTTGGCTCATTGCAACCTCCGCCTCCCAGGTTCAAATGATTCTCCTGCCTTAGCATCATGAGTAGCTGGGACTACAGGCACATGCCACCACGCCCGGTTAATTTTTGTATATTTTAGTAGAGACGGGTTTCACCATTTTGGTCAGGCTGGTCTGGAACTCCTCACCTCGTGATCCACCTGCCTCGGCCTCCCAAAGTACTGGGATTACAGGCGTGAGCCAGCACACCTGGATGGAATGTGCTGTTTTAATTGAGTGCCAAGACTTGCCAGGGCACTGACTCCCTTGTTTGCCTCTGACATCCGACAGGAAAAAAGCAGCTCCTGGTTTCTAAGTGCAAACATTGAGCATTGCAGGCTGATTCCTGAGCACTGGGTGTTTGTCACGTGCTATCTATTATCCATTAAAGTTTGGTTTGGGGGAACAAATGAGCTAATTTCCGTGGGAAGAGATTTGTTACAGGAAATTGGGTATATAAGAAAGAAGGGCTGGAGGAGTAGGCTCCAGGCTGGGCATCTAGGAATCACTTCTGGAACACCGTGTGCAATTGGCCCATCAAGGGGGCTGCTGTCTCTGTGGTGGGGGGCACTGGGAAAGCAGGACATCTCTGCTAGAATTGCTGGCCTCAAGAAGACATCAAATTAGCTGCAGTCAGTGATCAGGAAGCTGCCGCTGCCCCTATGGGAGGCTGCCTCTGCGGAGGCTGCCTCTGTGACTCCACACCTGGAGGCTGCCACCCTATGGCAGGAGAGTCCTAGCCTCTACAACCACCTGCCAGCTGAGACAGCTGCAGCAGCAGGAAAATAGCCTCCACCTCACTTCCGTCTTCTGGGCCTTGATACTCCATTTGCACTTGGAACCTGAGTTGCAGGAGAGCCTAGGAAGTGCGATTTCTAGCTTTTGAGCCCTCACGCCCCAAAGTACAGAGAGGAACGCTTCTCTGTCTTAGTGCTTTACCTGTCTTCAGTTATGCTTATGAAAGAACGTCCATTTTTAACCATCTTAATTCAAATATATATATTTGAATTAAGGTATAAATATATTGGGGAAATGTGCATAAGTGAAATAGCCAAATAGGTACATAAGGTGCTCTCACAAATTTAAATGCAACTCTGCAGACCCCCCAAACTCACTACTTTACAATATCTTCAGGCAAAGCAGTTTTTGTGCAACATGTGGTCTCGCTACAAAAGAAACATGCAATTAGAGGGTTCTCGTGAGATCCAAGTTTATGTGCATATGGGTGTACATCAAGTTCTGTGCTTAAAATAAGTGGTCCTTTATTTTTCTGACCTGGGAGAAGTACAGATGTGATATATGTCCCAGCATGAGATGCTGTATAATCAGAGAGCTAGACTGGCCACTACGCTGGGAGGCATTTACTCATTCAAGAACCCTTAGAAGGTGGAGAAATTAGAAACCACGACTGATGTGGTCACATCATCATTGATGTGAATGGAACCTGGTGGTATTGTGCAGTGCAAAAATTCTCTTACTTCATGAGGTTAGTGTGGGTGTTAAATGTGTTAATATGTGTAAATTGCTTAGAACAGTTCCCGGCATATAATAAACACTACATAAATATTAGCATTGTATTGTTACTATTTTCCATAAAATGGGGATAACTCTGACTTGCAGACTTGTGAAGCTTAAATGAGCTTAGTCCCTGGCATAAGTAAACACTGAGTGATGTTAGCTATAAAATAATTATAGTAACAATAATGTTTGAACTCTAAAAATGATGCTTTCAATGTAGTATATTTCCTAGGCCATTTAACCCAGAGGTCTTCTACCTCTGAAGAGTAAGACAGAGCTGACATAAATTTGAGAGAACAGCACAAAGGCCATCTTCATTTCTTCAAGACTGGGCATTTTCTCAGCAACCTGCACATTCACTCCATGGGTTTAGTATACTTTACAGCCTTTCCATAGGACCTCAAGTCCAAGAGGTTAGTTTACTTTTGGAAAGTTGTTTTTCTAACCAAAATGACACATTCATTGTGGTTATTAAGGTCTCTGGACTCAAAATTGGGCCACGTTTGATGAAAAAAAAAAAACCCTCATGAAGTTTAAGAATGAATATGGTTCATTAATTCATATTTATATTAACCAAATATTTTGACTTGATTTGGCAGAAAATATTTTTTTACAAGTATCTGGTAGACTTGAATCATTTCTAGACTGTTAAATCATTTCTTGGGAAGTTGCATAGAAAATACTTTCAGAATTTGTGGTTTTCAAAAAGGACTTTGTCTAATGAATAGCGATGGCAACACAGATTTAGGGGTGGAATTCTTGGGGAGCTTCTATTGCCTTCTGGCAGTTGCATACCAATTAGTAAGTATTGGCCTGATCAGCAAAGTATGGATTGTAGAGGGAGGAATGATGAAATTCCTCTATAGGAGTTAGAGTCCTATGTAGATGAGGGGAAGACATCTAGGCGGGGCAGAAGAGGAACTTGGAGGCTCTCAAATATGTTTTAAGAGTTTTCAGTAATCTGTGTTGAAAGTTTTCAACATTGAGCATTGAGCGGCCATTTTCCACTAAAACGATAGAAATCGACTTGTTAACACTTTGCAGAGACATGAAAGACAGGCGGAGCCAATCCGCAGCCTGCCAGTGTGGAGGGTTCCCCAAGGGTGGGACCCAGCGTGACCTTGCCCTTGAACGGTGGGCGTTTTCCAGGGGCTTAAGGTTTCACAACTGTGTACAGGCCTCTCTTCTGAGTCCTCAGTTGCTGAACTGAAAGTACTTTACAATACCTCAAGTCTTGTGGTTACGGACCCTGGGGAGGAGGAGATGGGAAGAGAAGTGTGGTAAATTCCAAAGCAGGGAGGTTTAGGAACCTCCTGACTCAGGAAATACCAAGGTCTTCCCATAAATGGAAGCAGTCTGTGTTGGTCTATTTATCCACAAATGATAAAGTGAATAAAAAATCTCTGATTTAAAAAGTAGGAAGAATCGAACAGTTGGACCGAGTCCCTACCATGTGTAAGGCCCTTTTCCATGCAGGGAGGTATAAATGTAACCCAATGTTCCAGGCCTCCAGTACTGGACCCCAAAGCGAGGCCCGATTCTTTTCAATTCTTGAATTCTAATAACTTAATAGCTGCTTCTCTCACCTTGTAATCAGTATGGATCATCACAGGAAAATCCATCTTTCAAAGAATTCTTTGGGAATATTTCCAAGAATTTCCAGCACTGTTTTCACCTGACATTATCCGCCTGACCTTGCCTGGTGATGCTGCTCTAGGCCATGTGTCCTGTCCTAACTATATCAACAGCCCCACCTGCTGGTCCTGTGTGCCTCTGCTGCTCGTGCCAAAGCTTTGACTCATCTCCAGAGGTGTTTCTGTGATGCCCACTCTCTTCATGGCCACTTCTGGGGCCAGTGTAGATCTCTGCCAACTAGCCTGGAGCTAACTCGTCCAGACCATATTACTTACACCTTCTATAAGCCCTGGGACTTATTCCAACACACCAGGCCAGACTCCTGGTGCTTGACTCTCTGGAGGCCCCATCATCCTTTCCTACTGTCTGACCTGGTTCTGTGCCATATAGGTCCACCTGATATATCTCAGCATCATTGAACCTCAAAGAGACAAGATGGGATTGTAGTCTATTTCCATTCAGGGGCCTTATGTAAACTCATAGATGCAGTCAGGTGTATAGAATTGGTGTTGCCTGACTTTACTAAGAAACACCCAGGACCAAAGCACCAGCGGATTACTGGGGCAAAAAGTAAAGTGATACTTTACTTCTTTTTTTCTTTTCTTCTTTTTTTGTATTTTTTGAGATGGAGTCTTGCTCTGTCACCCAGGCTGGAATGCAGTGGCGCCATCTCAGCTCACTGCAACCTCTGCCTCCCAGGTTCAAGCAATTCTCCTGCCTCAGACTCCCAAGTAGCTGGAATTTACAGGCGCGTGCCACGACACCTGGCTAATTTTTGTATTTTTAGTAGAGACAGGGTTTCACCATGTTGGTCAGGCTGGTCTCGAACTCCAGACCTCAGGAGATCCACCCACATCAGCCTCCCAAACTGCTGGGATTACAGGTGTGAGCCACAGCACCTGGCCGTGAACTTTACTTCTCCTGACAAAAGCCCTTGTCTGCTTACAGATACTCCAAGGATACCTAAGATAAGCAAGAAAGACACAGCCTCTATTGTCACATGTGAGGGAGTGGCGGTGTTGAGGAAAGGCCTCTGTGCACAGACGGGAGGGATTTATGGATACTGAAGGGGAAGGATGGGGGAGGGACGAAGGGCTGGTAATTGAGGTCAGCGAAAGGATGGTATCAGATGCATGGTGGGCAACCTGAGCTTCATCCAAGGAGACACTAAGGAAGGGACCTTAGAGGCATCCAGATAAGCTCCTTTTGTGACCAAAAAGGACACTGAGAACCCGAGATGAGGGGATTTTTCTAAGGCCGTTCATTGAGCTAAGCCGATTTAAAAATTCCCAGTCCCTTCTGAGATGTTCTTCCCAGCTCATCTTTAGCTTTCCCCAGGGGTAAAGGAAAAGAATGAGGACGAAACTGCAGAGAGCTTTTGAAAGAAGGGAAATTAGGGTGTCTCCTGATCCCCCTCATGAAATGACTTCAGTCTTTAAGTCATAGGTGGCAGGGTCTTCCCCGAGTGAAGAGACGGGATGATCCTGGCAGTATGGAGTTAAAGCATCACCACACTGAGCTGTTAGCACCATTGTGAGTTATGTTACATTGCCCTCCATGGGTAGAGTGACGGATACAAGGCTGTCAGCATAAAGGACCTGGCCTGTCCAAGTCTGGTCTTCCCAGCAGAAATTCCTACTTAACACAGTTAGAAGAACTCACTGTAATACATACACACAGCAACCAATTTATCCAAGGCCTGTTTTGTATCAGTCCTGAGGACTGGAGGCCAACCAAGACGTAGCTATTGTTTCTGCCCCATAGCAGCCTCGGATGAGGGGGCAGGGCAGAAAAGCATCACCAGTAGGGACACAAACAAGAGAAACTGCAAAACCGAGAGATTGTTAAAATTTGCAATCATCAATCAGTCAGTTGTTAAACTAATCCACTTGAATAGAATTCTACAGCAAGTTGGTTAGAATCCGTCTGAAATTCTTAACTGCAGGGGTTTCACTGCACACATCAGTGTGCACTCAGTGATAGTGGTGTTCTCCTCGCTGGGCTTTCTGTAAGTTCCAACGCAGGGCACAGAATTGAAAATGGAAGCCCCCATGAGCAGCTGCAGGCAGGGATGCCGTCACTCTGACCCCTCGGCCTCTCCTCTCTGTGGCTGCCTCCAGGGCACATGAGGAAAAGCAGATGCCTCCCCTGGCAAGTTCTGATGGAAAGATCAAAGGTGGGGAGTAGGAGCAACGAAGAGCATGACTGAACAATGACGGGGTCAGGCCGACTCGGCACTCAGACACAGCAGAGCCATTCTCTGGAGAGACTCTTAGGGTGGTGCTGCTGGGACTCACAGGAAGACTTCAGATCTTAAATGGATATTCTGCACTGCCAGACAATCCTAGTAAAGTCATGTTCCTACACTGCCTTTTACCCTTTACCGCCTTCCCCTCTTCTCAGATCTCCACATCCCCTTGCAGGCTTGGCTGATGATCTTGTCTCATATTTCACAGCAAAAGCAGATACAAATGGTCAAGGATGACCTCTTCCCTCCACTGATTTCGCCAGCACACTACACTTGGTCTCAGCCTCTGCCCTCTCCCCGAGGCTGTGGAGTAATCATCCCCACACTGCCCTTGGGTCAGCCCCTCCGCTTTGCCCCATCCCATCCCTTTTCACCTCCTTAAGAACTGTTCTCCTGCAGTTACCCTTTTCTCTATTGACATCAATTTCCCCCTTTATCAATCATTCCTATAGCATGCCAGCGTCTTTTTTTTTCTTCTCTTTTTTTTTTTTTTTTTTTAAGACAGAGTCTGGCTCTGTCGCCCAAGTTAGAGTGCAGTGGCGTAACCTTGGCTCACCACAACCTCCGCCTCCTGAATTCAAGCAATTCTTCTGTCTCAACCTCCCAAGTAGCTGGGGCTACAGGCGCACACCGCCACGCTCAGCTAATTTTTGTACTTTTAGTAGAGTTGGGGTTTCACCATATTGGTCAGGCTGGTCTCGAACTCCTGACCTCAGGTGATCCACCCACCTCAGCCTCCCAAAGTGCTCAGATTACAAGTGTGAGCCACTGCCCCCAGCACCGGTGTCTTAATATCACCCATTTTACCAGCTATGGCTCCCTTCCTCTGCTTCTTTTCAAAGCACAATGTGTTGAAAATATTGGCCATACTTAATGTCTCCACTTCATCACCTTCTTTTTCCCCTCAATTTGGACTTTTACTCCGTCACTCTTGGAATGACTGACCCAGGTCACTGACAACCGATAGCTTGCCAGAGTCAAATCCAATCCCCTTGTCTTACTCAACCTCTCAGTGGCATTTGACACAGCGATCACTTCTTCCTTGTTGAAATATTTCCTGTCCTCTTGGGTTCCATGAGACTAATGTGCCTGGGTTTCCAGGACTTGCTCTCCTCCTTCTTTTGGTCTGCTTTGCTGGCTCTTTGACCAATATCTCCTGGTTGTGGGGCCACGGGCTTTGTCTGGTACACTCTGTACCTATGTGAGCCCATCCAGACTTCTGATTTTTAAGTACTGTTTAAATGCTGATACTCTCAATTTGCATTTCCAGTGTGATCATTAGATGTCTAGAGGCATCTCACACTTAACTATGTCTAAAATCAAACTCTTGATTTCCTCCCTCAAACCTGCCCTTGCCCCATCTCAGGAAGTGGTATCATCATCTACCCAGCTGAACAGGTCCTGAACAGTGGAGCCATTCCTGATTCCTCTTTCCCTCAGACCTTAAATTCGTTTTTGTAGGGCTTCCATAACAAAGTACCTCAATCTGGGTGGCTAAAAAAACAACGATTTATTTTCTCACTGTTCTGGAGGCCAGAAGTCCAAAACCAAGGTGTCATCAGGGCCATACTTTCTGGAGGCTCTGGGGGAGAATCCTGCCTTGCCTCCTCCTAGCTTCTGGTGTTTGCTGGCAATCCTTGGGGTTCCCCAGCTGGTGGCATCATGACTCCCAATATCTGCCTCTTTCATCACATGGTCTTCTTCCCTCTAGGTGTGTCTGTGTCCAAATTTCCCTCTTATAATGATTAGGACGCACCATAATCCACTTTGACATCTTAACTTGGTCACATCTGCAAAGACCCTGTTTCCAAATAAAGTAACCTTCACAGGTTCTGCATGGATGTGGATTTGGGGAGAATACTATTCAATTCAGTACAGACCTTCAGATCTGATTGATCAGCACATCTTAGCCCCTCCATCACCAATGATTCTTACCATCTACAGCCACAGCCTTTGCCCAAACCTGCACCACCTGCATCACCTGCACCACCTGCATCACCTGCATCACTTGCATCACCTGCACCACCTGTATCACCCATACCACCTGCATCACCTGCACCACCTGTATCACCCATACCACCTGCGTCACCTGCATCACCTGTACCACCTGTATCACCCATACCACCTGCATCACCTGTACCACCTGTATCACCCATACCACCTGCATCACCTGCATCACCTGCACCACCTGCACCACCTGCATCACTTGCATCACCTGCACTCCCTGCACCACTGTTATCATCCACACCACCTGCATCACCCGCACCACATGTATCACCCATACCACCAGCATCACCTGCACCACCTGCATCACCTGCACCACCTGCATCACTTGCAGCACCTGCACTCCCTGCACCACTGTTATCACCTGCACCACCTGTATCACCTGCACCACCTACAGTATCTGCATCACCTGCATCACTACCTCACTCTTGGCCTCTCCTCGTTCCACTTTGCCCCCCTCCAGTGCACACTGCACATGGCAGCCAGAGTAACCTTTCTAAAATGTAAATCAGACAATATGATTCCCTTGGGCAAAACCCGCTGATGGCTTCCCAATACCAGAGAATAAAATTCAGCTATTTAAACTGGCTTAAAAGAAGCTTGGTGATTTTGTCTACTCTCTGACTTTACCTCCCTTTTCCTGTTCCCATGATTCCTGGGCTGCAGCCATACTGGGCTGCTTCCCATCCCTCCATCAAGCAGAGCTGTCCCAGCCTTTTCAATCACTGCTCCTTCTGCTTGAAACACTCTTCCTCCAAATCTCCACATGACTCTGTCTTTCTCTTCATTCATGTCCCAACTCCTGTGTTTCTCCTTAGAAAGGCCTTCCCCAGCCCGAGCTAGCTAATGTGCCCTTTCTCTCACATGGGCCTAGTCACCCTTTTTCTGTTCAATATTGGAATTTACCTTATTTATTTGCTTATAGATAATAATAGCACTTGTATGATTTATTATTTATTATGTCTGCCTCCTCCCAGTAGAACATAGGTTCCTATGAGCAGCCAACTATTTTCCTTGTCCACAAAAGAAAACTCCTACCCATTGATTGGCACAAAAATGCTCAGTAAACATTTTGTCTGACCAAGCTGGGCTAGCTTTGTGCTTCCTGGTTTCCGCCCTTCCTCCCACCCTTCCTACCATTCATGTTGTAATGGTAAAGCCTACTGTGTTTAGACATTAAAACCTTTTTGTATAAATTATTATATATTAAAAATTGAGGAGAAGAAAATGGCCCATTTTCATCCTCCCTTATTAACCATCTCTAAAATTATCTAATTTGGCTTCTTTGGAACATCTCCACTAATTCGGTGGCCATCCCCCTCTCCTTGCATACGCAGGCGCATGCTCATTCACAACTGAACACACTTTAAATGCACCCTCCCTGATAAGAAGCTACCACTCACTCCTGATCCCATGCCCATGGAAAAGCATTTCTAGGTGTGTATGTAGGATTTTGTAGAAAGAAATACAGAGGGTTTTAAAAATCGTTATTATTTTGGTTTGTGGGGAAAGTTTGCTTAATGCCAAGGGGGTGAATATTGTTTCACATCAGGCTGGAGTGCGACATCTTATCCACAGGAGGTAACTAATGCCCCATCAAGGAATTCAAACTAAAGCACACAAAATCTCCCTCCCTTCACTTTTTAGATAGTTGGTCACAAAGTTGAGCAGACAAGAAAATTATCAGAAAATTCAAAGTGTGTTCCTTTTGTGTTTGTGTGTGTGTGTGTGTGTGTGTATGTGTTCTGCATATTAACCATTTCTAGAGCATTTGCTGTATTTTCAAAGGCCTTTCTGAGTAATATGGATTTTGCTGTCAAGAAACTCTGACCTGGAGTATTATATTTCTTGAATTTTTAGAGCACTCTATTTTAATTTTCCAACTGGTTCATGTTATTGTCTCCCACAAACATGTTGTCACCTTTCTGCTTCTAACCCATCCCTTTCCTTCTTGCCCCAGACAATTTCTGGAAGTCTTTAAACTGGCTCACCCTGTGGCTTCACCTCACACTAACCCCTGTCTCCATTCTCCTTTGGCAGAAGTCACCTTCCGCCTTTTTCCTGGCAGTATATTCTTGTTGCATTTCTATACGAGCATAAAAGCTGATGACAGCAGCGATGGGAGGGCTGATAATTACATAGAACCAACAGGAACAACTTGCTGCTCCTCATGAGTTGGCACGCAGGTGGTATGTGTCAGTGGGAGGAGCCTGCATTTTAGAGGCATTTATCTGGTCATAAATCCTGGGTTTTTTTTACCATCTGTGACCTTAGGTGGATGTTGGACTTCTCTGAGGCTCAGTTTCCTCATCTATAAAAACAAGGAATATGTTTTTATGGAATTATGGGAATTAAAATAAATAATACACAAAGGTTCTCAATAAGTTTCATTTTAAATTCAATATATAATCATTCCTTTAAGAATCTAAACAACACATGTTGTTTAAAAAAACTATGAGAACAATTTAATTGACAGTTTTAATTACTGATTTCCTTGAAAGATGAAAGCAAAGATATTGATTTTACCATTCTTCATGTATTTTTCATCACAAATAATGATAGATCTGCTGAGCTGCTTTCCCTCGTCTACAAGGATGTGCGTGTGTGTGTGTGTGTGTGTGTGTGTGTGTGTGTGTGTGTTTATTGTTACAGTTAACTGCACTTAGAGAAAATCTCAGGTTAACCTGAGTAAGGAGATGAACTTAAAAACTGAAGGATAAGAACACACTTATAGAAAGGTAAAAACAGACAAGCAAATCCACTCTGAGGCATATTTGTTCATTGCCTCATTAGCATCTTGCCAATGACACCCTTAAGAAACTGCCCCTTCACATTCTGGCCATGTGCTTTGTGTGGGAACTTACCACCCCTTATCCCTACCATTGTCAAATGATGAGTTTATAGAAGGCCTATGATGCAGTTTATGTCAGCAAAATGCAAGGATTTGTTTGGGGGCCCTCGGATAGAAACTTCCTCTATCTTCAGTGGAAGTTTCCAGAAAGAATGCCCTCTCATCCTCTGGATGATGTGTGGTGAGATTATAAAACTAGCAAAGCCTTACCCATCTTTTCTGCTTGGCAGTGAGACAGAAATGACATCATATGCTTCTGAATCAAATGAGATCTGAATCTAGAACTATCACTGTCTCCAGATATGTGAAATGGCAATTTCCTTTCTACTCCAAGCCAGTTTGAGTTGGATTTTCTGTACCTTGAAAACAAAAGATTGCCAACTGTACTCCATTAAGATAGAAGCAGTTAGGCCGGGCGCAGTGGCTCATGCCTGTAATCCTAGCACTTTGGGAGGCCAAGGCAGGTGGATCACCTGAGGTTAGGAGTTCGCAACCACCCTGGCCAACATGGTGAAACCCCATCTCTACTAAAAATACAAAAAATTAGGCAGGTGTGATGGTGGGTGCCCGTAATCCCAGCTACTTGAGAGGCTGAGACAGGAGAATTGCTTGAACCCGGGAGGCAGAGGTTGCAGTGAGCCAAGATCGTGCCATTGCACTCCAGCCTAGGTGACAGAGCAAGATTCTGTCTCAAAAAAATAAATAAACAAATAAAGATGGAAGTAGTTTAGAAGCAGTTGAATATACCAGCAGATTACTACACCAAATGTCCTGCCCTATCCAGACTAAAGTTGAGCTTCCATAATCCTAACTGTTATCCTAACTCATCTCTCCAGAAACAGTATGTCAATTCATAGACTCAGTGAACACTGTTACCATGATGTATGTATGGAAAATCTGCTTGTCTGCACTGACCAGCTATTTTCAGTTTACTAGATGTGTAACCTTAAACAAGTTACTTAACCTCATCATGTCTAGGAAAATGTTCTAGATTGGTTCAATGGGCAATAGGGAGACATGAGAAGTACTTGAGTTGGAGGAGTAACAAATTAAAGGGGTATTTGGGAAGATTATTCTGGAAGAGATAGGCACCTTACTCATTTCCAAGGTTTTGAGTTTTGTAAATTTGGCGTCTTACTTGTTTGAAGCCCATCTCCTCCTGCTTTATAGAGAAAACTTCACGAGAGCAGGGAGCATCTCCCTTTGTTCACTCAGCACCTACACAGTATCTGGAACATAGTAGGTGCTTTATAGATACTGATTGAATAATTGAATTGTGGATAGAAGGAAAGTGTAAGAACAGAGAGAATGAAGAAAGGAAGAATATCTCGGAGACAATAACTGAAACCCATATGTGTAGCACACAGCATGGCAGCAGAAGAATGGAAAAGAAGGGATAAATCTAACAGGTGCTACCAAAAGTTCACAGAATTTATTGACTGAATGAGAAAAACCAAGGAGAGACAAAGAAGAGTAAGGTGTCCCACCTGAGAGGTTGAAACCATGGCTATCCCATGAAGTCAATGGGAAAGTTAGATTGGGGAGCAGTTGGAAGAAAAGACACATACACTTGGTTTTTAGATATGTTTCTTAGGAGAGGAGAATGTGTCATTAATATGGACATGTCTAATAGGAAGTTTGAAATGAGGAGTTTGGGGTACTGTTGGAACTGGAGGTGTCAGGTTGGAAGGCATAGAAAAACCACAAGATAGGGCATGTCCCCAAGAGGGTGAGAACTGAATGGGGACAACCCTAGAAAAGAGGAACCAAGGAATCAGGCAGAGGTGGAGAGGCTGGAGGGTCAGGGAGAGAATGAAGAGAGTGTTTGGCGACAGAGCAAAGCAGGCACAGTGACAAGAGGAGAAGCATCTTCTGCTTTTTCCTCAGCATGTTTCATAGCAAAGCACAAACTTGATTACCCAGGATTTCAGGGAAATTAATGCAGATTCTTTAAACATAGTGCTAGTAATCAGATTGTCTATATCAGTCACTTTTAAACTTTTTTATTGCAATCCACACTAAGAAAAGCTCTGGTCCACATAATTGTCACATAAGAAATGTGATGAGTTTGGGAAAAGAGCACATTTTGAGGAAATCTAAGTTCCCATTAGACAAGTAAAGGTTTTGCCTTAAAATCCATGACAATATGAAACATATCTGTCTATTTAATAGTGGTGTCATGCTCTCACACTTCAAAATTTAGAAGAGAGATAGAATTAAAAGGAAAGCATTTTCTTTCTCCAAATAGCCAAATAGCGTCTTCTCTCATACCTTTAAGTGTTGGTTTACTAACTTGCAAGAGAAACTTAAGGCTTACACTTTGGATCCTGGCACAGGGGTGTAATTAAGAGCACTCTAGTTTTAGAAATGGACAGACCTGGGCTCAAATCCTGGTTCTCACACTTCTTAGTTCTGTGACCTTTGCCAAGTTTCTTAGCCTCTTTGGTTTCCTGTTTCTTTGCTTGCAAATTGGGATAACAATGTTTAACCTATGCAGTTGCTCTTATGTTGAAGAAGCCGCATTACTTATGGTACTATATTTAGCACTTGGTGGGCATGTGATGAATGGCAATTGTTATTATTGCCTTGGTTGTGAGGGTTAAGTTATAGACCACTTGTAAAGCTCATAGCAAAGCACCTGGCACAAAGCAGCAATAAATCTTAATGATCTTTCCATAACAGCAACCAAAGAGTAGAAATCCAGTTGTAATCCAAGTGCACGGTAGTATACAAACCAGTTACATGCTTTTATCTTGCCTACAGTTCTTTAGAAAAATATCTACTGGGGCTGGGCGCAGTGGCTCATGCCTGTAATCTCAGCACTTTGGGAGGCTGAGGTGGGCAGATCACCTGAGGTTGGGAGTTCGAGACCAGCCTGACCAACATGGAGAAACCCCGTCTCTACTAAAAATGCAAAAAAATTAGCTGGGCATGGTGGCGCCTGCCTGTAATCCCAGCTACTCAGGAGGCTGAGGCAGGAGAATCACTTGAACTGGGAGGTGGAGGTTGCAGTGAGCCGAGATTGTGCCATTGCACTCCAGCTTGGGCAACTAGAGCGAAACTCCGTCTCAAAAAAAAAAAAAAAAAAAGGAAAAAGAAAAATATCTACTGGGCAAAGCAAAGCACATTGATAACATTGATGCTGTTGGACAGATTACGTCCCATTTGTATGAAATGAAAAATGATGCATCACTGAAATGGCATTCTTAATTCCTAATTTGTCCCAAATGCCCTTGGGACAATTTAGAAATGCCCCAAACCAGATGTCATCTCTCCAAGAGACATGCCTGTAGCAGTTTGATCATTTTTTGTAAAAGGGGGTGCTGTATACTCATTAGCTGTGATTGTTTTAACTGTGCTGTCATGTGTGAAGCTGATCGTGCATTCTTGCTATGACATAGACATCGAGGTCCATGCCAACATGCTTCCAATCAGACATGCCCATCTCACCACTTTTCACAGTCTTTAAAGCTATGTGAACAATTTTCTACAACTTGCCAGAGTGTCTGCTGCAAACCACCACCTAAATGGGGAGCTCCTTGGACAATATATTTTAATTTAAATATGGACTACACTGCTAATTGGTGGCAGTAATCATGTGGAAGCCATTCTCTCCTAAAATCATAGATCCACCCCCAAGAAGTCCTTGTACCATTTTCTGGAAAAGAAAATAGCAAATATTTGGGGGGCTTTAGACATCTTTGACATGCGCAGCATAACCCAATTCTCCATAATCCGGGAGAATCTATTGTATTAATATCTCACATGTGGAATACATACTGTATGTTTAAATTAGAGCTATCTAATAGTTCTCATATCTGAAATTCTTGGCGGTGATGATGGAGGGGTGGGGTGGGGAGCATCAGGTTCCTGATCCCTGTGCCTACTGATCATTGCACATGTGGACGGTTTGTGCGTTTTATAATTTTGGATTGTGAGCTCTTCTTCAAGGGCTTTCTCCATGGTGATCCCAGTGCAGGCTGAGGTATGTGTTCCTCGGCAGAGGTTTTGCATGTGCTTTTGTTGGGGTCCTCAGGGTCATCATTGGCCTAGGCCACTTTTTATTTTAACTTCTCATTAGATGGGTATACCATACAATAGTGATTCAACCTGAGCCTCTGGCCTGCAGGAAGTGGGCTGTGATTATCTCTTCTTGAGGAGAATGTTTCCACCCTCTCCCACAACCCCACTGAGGCAGAGGCAGACAAGTTTCTTAGTAGTCTCCTTTTGCAGGTAGGATAAATTTTTTCCCTGTTACGTTCTTTTATGGAGGGGTGGTCCTTTGAGAGTTCCAGGTTTATGTGGGCGTCTCAGTTCCCATCTCCCCATTCCCACTTCATGAAGGTCCTGGGGCTTCTTCTCCTGAACCATGTGGATGTTACAATCCCAACACCATGCTACTGATAGCCTTCCCTCCCCTCAGCACAGCCAGCATCAGTTCAGAGACTTGGTTCTGCTTTTCAGATCCCTCTGTGTGTTTGACCATGGAAAATTCCTTACTTTCTTGAGAACTCAGCTATGCATTTAGAAGGATATTTGTTATATTTTACTCAGAATTTCTGTTTTTAATAACAAAAGATTTTTTTTCCAAGATACTTACTCTGCCAAGAACACATCATCACCATCCTCTGACAGAATTAAAATGTCCACTGGTGGGTGGAAGATGCCTGTCTACATTCGAAGAGGAGTAAGGAGAAGGGGCCTCTGGCCTTTAGAAACTTAGAGATTTTTTTTTTTCTCTTAACTCACTCGTTAGCTCCGAGAATTATTCTTTCAGTCATTCACTCAGTTATCCTTACAGTCATATATCATGCAATACAACTTAGTAAGTTCATACTATGTAGGCTTTCATTTTTCTGCAAATGTATATTGTATACAGCTTCTGCTATGTGCCAGACAGGTGCTTGTGCCCAGTAAGATCATACTAGATCCCTGTCTTCATGGATGACACAAATATTAATCTGATAATCACATCAATAAGTGTACAATTTCAAATGTGCTAAGTACCATAAAGTAGATGTGTGTGGTGCCGTGAGATATGTAATGGGGGCTTTGTCCAATTCAGGCTGGAAAGCGCTCATTTGGAGAAGTGAAATTGGAAACAAAAGTGGCTTTCACTAAGTGAAAAGAGGAGTGATAATTGTTTCAGATATGTAGCAGTATGTGCAAAGGCCCTGGGGTAAGGATGAATGACTAAAAAGAAGTGTGGTGAAATGGAAGAAGGAGAGAAAAATATGGTTTCAGAAAAGACTGAGAGGAGCTAGGGCTAAACCACCAAAGACCTTGTAGTTTGTGTTCAGGAGTTTTGTATTTATCCTAAGAGCCATCTAAAGAGCTTTAAGCACTGGAACAACACATCCTAATTTTCTTTCTAAAATCCTAAAGATCTTTCTGACTTCAGAGAGGAAAACAAATTTGAGGAGGCAAGAGTGACAGTAGAGACCAGCTGGGAGGCTGTTACAGGAGACCAGAGGCTATTACAGTAGACAGAGTTGCTGGTAGCTCAGCCCCAGTTTTGGTTTTGTAGATGGGAAGACATGGGACAGATTTGAGATTTATATAGCAGATAAAATTATTAGGAAACAGCATAAAGATAGGACAGGAATAATTCCAAAGTTTCAGGTTTACATAACTGGAGGGAGGGTGGTATTTCTTTACTGAGCTAGGGAACACTAGAAGAAGACAAAGTTTGGTGTAAAGGCCATTGGTTATTTATTTATTTATTTTTTGGACACATCAAGTTTGAAGTGTGTTTGAAACATATAACAGGAAAATAGAAAGAGACAATTGGATATTGCGTATATGGATCTGGAACTCAGAGAAGAGATCTGGAGATATAAATATATGACTAATTTGCTTGTAGGTAATCATTTAAGTGGTAGGCCTAGACGAGATTTCCTAGGGAGCGATTATAGCCTGTCCCCTGGATATAGGGACATGAAGGTTATTGGTAGGACCTTAAATGGGAGCTGTTTTGTCGCTGAGATGGGATAAGAAGCTTCGAGTAGGATGTAGAGAGAACAGGAAGTGAGGAAGTTGAATCAGTGAGTATAGACAACTTTTTTTTTTTTGAGACGGAGTCTCGCTCTGTCGCCCATGCTGGAGTGCAGTGGCGCCGTCTTGGCTCACTGCAAGCTCCGCCCCCCGGGTTCACGCCATTCTCCTGCCTCAGCCTCCCGAGAGGCTGGGACTACAGGCGCCCGCCACCACGCCTGGCTAATTTTTTGTATTTTTAATAGAGACGGGGTTTCACCATGTTAGCCGGGATGGTCTGGATCTCCTGACCTCATGATCCACCGCCTTGGCCTCTCAAAGTGCTGGGATTACAGGCATGAGCCACCGTGCCCAGCCTAGACAACTCTTTCAAGAGGTTTGCCACTGAAGTTATGTAAGGCTTTAATTGATGTTTAAAGGAAATGTGATTTCATTGTGATTGGAAGGCAGAATCTTTTAAAACAGTGTGTCAGTGGAAAAATATTAAAATGGTTTCTTGATAATGAAAAGGTAGCCAAGATAGAGACATTAGCCAGCACAGAGAAGACTCAAAGACAGTGAATCAAGATTGATTTGTAATCGTAGCTAACATTTATTACAGTCTCACTGCTGTGCAAGTGCCATTTTAAATGTTTAGCATGTATTAAAAGTCTTAATCCCACAACAACTTTATGAGGTAGGTACGCTTATTATCTCATGAGGAATGTGGGAAACCGGTCACCAGAGAGGCAACCTAACTTGCCAGGGTGGGAGAACAGTGATTTAAGAGCAGGCACTCTGGTTGTGGAATCCATGGGGTTTTTGTAAATTTCCTTTTTAATTGACAAATAATGATTGTAGATATTATATTCTTATGGGGTACAATGTGATGCTTTGATATAGGTTTATGTCGTGGAATGATCAAACCGAACTAACAGATCTATCACCTGGCATATTTACTATTTGTGTGTGTGTGGTGAAAACATTTAAAATCTACTCTTGTAGTATTTTTTAAATACACATTCTTAGCCGTGATGCTGTACTGCTTCTCAGTACAGGGATGCACAGTAAAGTGTTTGAATCATCCATAAGCCAAGATATGGCCTAATTCATCTACAGATATTGAAAATGTTATCGGTTGTGCAGTTACTGCGAGGCAAAAGTATAAATTAATGCTGACTCAAATACTTGGTTAAGATTCCTTCTTGGCTTTGTATTATAGAGTAAGACAGGCATAAATGGAGGTGTCAGGAGAGCAGCTTTAGCTTTAATCAGTGGTCTTCAATAAATATGTGTGCATTATTTATTTAATTGCACCTGTAACCGCACGAGGGCCTTGCTGCTGAGAGAGTAATAGGTGAGCGGAATTCACAATAGTCTGAAGCCACGCGCACCTCTCTGCCAAGAAGTGTCATCTGTGAGTTTCGTTAACCAATGTCCTAAAATATATGACCTTTTCCAGGTCCCTAGGGAGTGGCTTTAACTGCAACACGTGTGTGTTTCTTTTTCTCCTAAGGCTTTAACAACACCGAGAGAACATGTGATAAAGAGTTTATTATACGGAGAACGGCTACCAATCGAGTTCTGAACGTCCTCCGTCACTGGGTCTCAAAGCACGCACAGGTAAGTCAGTGCCCTCATTAATTACTTGCAAGGATTTTTTAAAAAATCATCTTTTTAAGTTGTGACACATGTAAAACACCTCCCTACTCTTTGGAGTTCAATGTGAAACCTTGACACTGGAACTTAGGAAGGGAAGAAATAGGCTAGGCATACAGATCAAAGCAGACACAAGTGTCTTGCCAACATCCACTGTTTCAGATCTGCAAATGACGTGACACAGTGAAACGGGGCTCCTCTGTCCCTGCAGCTTCTGAGGAAACAGCACTCACCCATGGGCACCTGAGCCACAACAAGGCCTCTGTGCTGTGCCACCTACCCTGGGAGCACTTTTCACAGGGTCTTCTCTGTAAGTGGAGCTATGCTTGAGAGGCTGCCAACTGCAGTGGTATCCCCGCCCCCCACCCAGCTAGACACAAACCTCACGGTCCCCCCTGGAGGTAAATAACACTCTGGGATCTGGTCAGGGAGTGCTTTCTGGGCCTGATTCTGGAGATATTTTGTCTCATGCCCGTTGATGTTTTGGGTCCCAATGCTGTTTTTAAATTGTGTTACACTGACAGGACACCCACTTGTTATCTGTTTATGTGTTTTCAGTGCACGTTTGTAGAATTTATTCCCCTTTCACAAAACAAGTCAGGTGCCACTTTGCCCCCCTGATGTGATGCATGCATAATGCTTTTCTTACCCACTGCCACATACCAGGCAGGCCCTCCTGGACACCCACCTGCCTGGCACCCTGCAAGGAGCATTTGAGAGAGAGAATGGGCCCTGCCTGGCTCAGAGCAGAACATGTGCAGCATATATTAAAAGAAATATAATCAAATTGTCAGTCTGCTAATGAGAATCGTGTGTTATAAATGGCACTCCCATGGGTAGGTATTCCCAGGTCTTTATTATTAGGTTGGTGCCAAAGTAATTGCAGTTTCTGCCACTATATTCACAGAGCCCATCACATGTCTGCTGCGTGGTCCTCGGTAGTGACAGTCTGTTCAATAGGGTCACCATGAGGGCAGGCTCCTGAAACCCCTGTGGTAAGGGAATTTACTAATTAGGAAAAGTGGCATTTAAGCCTCACCACAAGTAAGCCCATAGAAGTTCTTAAATATTAATTAAAGTAATAAAGATAGCATACTAAATAATGTAAACATTCCATCTTACACATCTTAAATAAATAGAAAAAATTTAATCCTCTATGATTCAAATTCCAAGAACCATCCTTAGTGCATGAGAAATGTCTAGTCTCTTTTCCCTGTAGTCTCAGTGAGCTGCTGGTAAATCCATTTTGCCTCACTGCAGATAAAACACTATAATGAGTTTTAGCATTTACAGTTTTTCCACTGTCTGATGGTCCATCTTATTCCTCTCTGATTTTTTCTCAAGAATCTTGACAGTTAATTCCTGGGGCCCACAGTGGCTTCTAAGATGCAAAGTAGCTTTGCATCTTAGATAAGGCTGAGCTGGTTCTCTCCCCTGGCCTCAGCTCCCCTCCTCCCTTCCAAATCTTCTCCCCAGAGCCCTCCAGCCTTGGTTCCCCTATTCACCTTACTTCCCTTTTCTCAATCCCCAGTGCCCTCTTTTTCTAATTATCTCAAACAGGAATCCCTCCCAATTCACATATAATTTTTACAGTAGCTACAAAAGTACCACAAAGCAAATGACAGAATGCTGGGAGTTTTTTATTTTTGGTGAAAAAATTCATAGATGGGGAGAGATTAGTGTATGGAAGCCCTTTACAATAAAGAGTTTTACAGTAAGGTTTGCCACCTGATTTGGCAGCTGAATTGTTTAGACGGTTCAGCTGCGTTGCGACCTGAGTGACTGCAGCTGTGCTTATACATGAGCAAGCTTGTCCATCTCCAATTCCAGTTAGAGGGATCCCAGCTCCTCAGACTCTCCCTCCAGCAGGGGCATAGGTGAGTGATGTAAATAGCTCAGGGATCCAGTCTTCTCTTCTGACCTCACCATTGGGTAAAATACAGACCCTGGCTATTTCGTTCACTGATGTGCCCAAGGAAGTTCTTCCCATAAGGTCTTTCCTTACCTCCCCTGCATGCATGAGTGGGCCTCAGGGCTCTATGGCTGGTTATCAATGCCCTGGTGCAACCTTGTCATGTGAATCTCCTGTCACCTTCCTCATCCTCTCTGTATGAGTACACGACCGTGTGCAGGACATTTCTGTGAAATTTCCACTTAATGGGAATTGCTTTAGGGCATTTTTTTTCTTTTTTGCTGGCTTTAGTGTCCAGATTCCCTTTCTTCCTTTTACTGACTCACTTATGGCTGCCCAGTAATCATTTGGCCTCCACAATGGGTGGTTTGAGCAAGTCAAGGCAGGCTCTTGGTGATGGATTGGTAAATGGTTCGAATAGACAGAGCTGCTCTCAGCTCACACAGTCTTCGGGCCTCATTGTGTGCATACTGCCTCCTCTCACCAACTGTGGGCCTAGCCTGGGCCATTTCATTCAGAAGATGTGAAGGTGGCCCTGGCTTCACAGAGCCTAAGCAAGCTGACTGTTATGGTGCTTTCAGAGTAACAGCCCATCTTGGTATCTTTATCCAAGTTTATCTGCAGGTCTTTACTCTCCCAAGGCAGCATATAGCTATAGATGGGACTGCTGGTCTGAAAACGTGTGCTATAATCCAGCTGTCAACCAACCCTCACCCTTATTGTTTTTGGTTTTCACATCATAAAGCGAAGGGCTTGGATACGATGATTTTTAATTATCTGATTCACTTTGTACTAGTTGAGTCCATTTAAGGAAGAATATAGCATTATTGTGGCAACCTGATTATTTTGAATCAGTAGCTTTTAAAAAATGAGTAGGAAGTTGTACTCATCTCAAAACTACAGCCAAGCATGGTAACAGTTACATTTTTTCTCACATGGTGAACTACCCAGGGAGGCCACTTCGATTTCTAGAAACAGAAAAGCTGTAGATCCACATCAATCAAGATGTAGATTTACCCACAGATCTAGAGAATCAAGGCTGCCACAGAGTGTTCGACATCATCTAATTATTTCTCACTTCTCATCAAAGGTAACTAACATTGGCAGATACTACCTTGAGCTTTATTCAGGAGAATTAAAAAGTTGCAGAAGTGTGGGGTTAGGGGTTGGTTCTCCAGAGAAATAAGAATGCCCCAGGATGTCACCTCCTAACTCTACCCCATGTGGTGCTAGGATAGCATTTCATCTTCTGGAGCCTTCTAGTTTTTTCTTTAGTTAATATTTGGGGAGGCTAGGATGTTCCATTTTTAGGGGGTTCTAAAAATCTTCCTATGTGAATACATTCTGGCCTATTGCTCCTGATTTTGTTATACCTTCTCACTATTTGTTGCCTTTTAAGTTGAAAGTGAAGCCACAGGCCCAAACTGGGTTTCTCTCATGTGCCTTGTCTATCAATCAGCAGAGGGAACAGCAGCCCAGAGTCAGGGGACCAGTGTTCTTACTCCAGCTCTGCCAACTGTAGCTCCTGTGGGGCCCCAAGCTGGTCTCTCCACCTCTTCGGGTGTTAGTTTCCTCTTCTGAAAATGAGAACAACCATCCCTGCTTTACCTCTCCCAAGGATGTGATGAAGTTAAAGATGATGCTGAATTAAGCATAAAGCATGATATTGATGTGTGTGATGAAATCCCTTTTGGCTATGGACAGGAGAGATGCACATTTCATCACCCTACAACCAGCCTGTAAGCTCCTTGCTTGTCTCATTCATCTTTGCATCTCCTTTCACATAGTTCTGCAATGCTGAACACATGGCAGATGCCCAGTAAATACTTGTCAAATTGAGTTTATAGTTTAATGTTTCCACTGTTCATTCTCTCCTGGAGGTCATTTTCTAGCCTTTAAAGTTTCCAAAGTCAGCCCAGACAGAGACTATGATCACTAATGGATCAGAAATCAGGGCCATGTGTTTAGACAGTCTAAGTAAAGGAAGTGT
Organism: Homo sapiens; assembly: GCF_000001405.40. Taxonomy (NCBI): domain Eukaryota; kingdom Metazoa; phylum Chordata; class Mammalia; order Primates; family Hominidae; genus Homo; species Homo sapiens. Next base: position 81,184,220 of record NC_000005.10, read on the forward strand.
TTTCATTAGAGGTCTACATGCTTCTTGAGCATCTCCTGCTGGGAGGCCTTACATATCGTTTACACAATTCCCAGGTCCCTGCAGGTTTCAGACCTGTAGTGCTATTAACCACATGTTCCCGTGATTGCTTTTGTCCTCTGCGCGCAGACAGATGGATGGGGGCTGGCTATAGACATTTCAGATCTGTGCACAAGACTCTGTCGAAGGCCTTTCACGTATGATCTATAGCAATTTTTGTTTTCCTCAATTACCGTATTGACCAACCAATTCTGAAGAGATGCTCTGTCCATTTATTCGAGGAATTTCACAGACCATGAATGACGCTGGTAAAAGGGCTGCAGCTGTGTCTGCAGATTACCACTGGCGCCATCAGGCTCTGGGTACTGTCTGAATGACAAGTGGCCGAGAATGAAACAGTCACATATTTTCTTAATTGGAGGCTTAGGGGCATGTTTTTAAAACATGAGATCAGACAAAAATGACCTACCTACATAAAAATCTCCTCCCCAAAGGAGTTTACAGAGGAACACTGCTACTCCTTTTTCTGTTTTCTCACCTCCTTGATTCATTCACTAATAAGAATTGGGCACCAGAATGTTCCAGACATTGGGGTAGGTGTGGGAGTGACCAAGATCCAGGCAGTCTCTGACCTCAAGGGGCTTCCAGCCATTGGGAAAATGCCCACTAACAGCCACTGGACTTAACGTAATTATGTGTGTGGCCGGCTGTTAAATCGAATTCTTCAGATTGTTTCTGACGTTCAGGCAGAGGACCAAAGGCACAGGGGCAGGTAAAATAGGTAGCAGCAACAGCCTGCATGGCCTTAATGGAGTGGCTCGGCCACCTAAGCAAGACCAGCTAAGAGCTCGTGAAATCAATCCTGCTAGCAATTGTGATCACCCACCTGTGGGAAGTTGAGGTAGGAGAGGTCAAGGAGAGGGAGATTTCCAGAGAGAGGCATCTGTGTAAGTTCCCTACCACTATGGGGAAGGTGGGGAGATGCCTCCTTTTCACTTCTAGCCACATGGGAAATGCTTCAAGGAAACCATCCAGCTAGCCTCCGTGTTAAGGTGAAAGGTGCTGGCTGGGCAAAGTGAAGAGTGGTGGATGCTAGGAGTGAGCTGTATTCATATGTGTTTGAGTGAACCAGATGGGTCCATGGGGAGTCCAATCTGGATGGCCCTGCATCCTGCCCAAGAGGACGGCCTGGAGGGGTGACGCGTAGACAGACGCTGGGTGAAAAAGACCACTGGCAGCCCAGGGCCTGGGGGAGTTGAAAATGACTCACAGGAGGACAGACATTGCCAGGGTCAGGGGAGCTGGCCATAAGTCTCCCACAGAGAGGTCTCCAAAATCTCACCAAAGTGCCCCACACAGGAAAAGCTGGCCACTGCCCACCTGCCACATCTAGAGAGAGCCAGGGCTGGGCTCCCCTTACACTATCATACTAAATTATTGCTTTCCCCTGGACCTGAGGTACAGGATCAGAAGCAATAGCCAGCTAGTAGAGAGGTGGTGGAGACAGCAGAAAGGGCCTCCTGTGCAGGCCACTAGGATGGAAGCAGCCCACGCCAGGGCTAGAGGGAGGCTGGACTGAAGTTTTGAAGAATATACTGAACTGGACATTTTGACTGTTGAAATGACACCATTCTTATAAGCAAAAAGTACTGAAAGACATTGGTGCCTGCCCAGAACTCCATGTCAGGTGGGGAAGGATAGGCTATCAACTGGTTTACTGGGACTGGCAAGAAGCAGTAATGCCATTTGATGATTCCGTTATTACTTATGATACAGGGAGTCTAGGGTCCCTTGGGAGAGCAATTTCACAAAATCTATCAAAATAGCTCAGCTGTTATATTTCTAACTCACTCCAGTTCTCTTACATTCATTTTATGGTGAACAAAGAGACACATTTTTAGCTAATAATGAATAACTTGAGTTTACATTTCAGTTAACATGCTTTTTGGCATTTTTATTGAAATATCACATACCGCATATAAAGGGCAATAAACTTCAGTGTGTAGGTCAGTGACTTTCTGCCTCTGTATACGCCCATGTAACTGCCACCCAGGTCAAGATCTGGGACATTTCCAGCACCTGAGAGGGGCCTCCAAGTCTCTGCCCCTCTTCCTGTTACCCCATGCTCTATTAGTTTTAGTATTGTTCCCATTGACATTATGAGCTTTTTATATATTCAGGACAAAATCCTTTATCTGTCAAATGATATTCGTTTCTCTCAATTTGTTCTTTTACATTTAGCATTGCTTATGGTATGTTTTACATATATGCACCCTTTTCCCATTATAAGAGGGTTTTATATATACTCTATCCTATAAACACAGACACACACACGCGCACACACACAAAACAGAGTCCTTTTCACTCTTTCATTAAAATATATGTTCCCTAACACTGTCATAACACAATTAACAAATAAATATAGTCTGAGGTAGAAGACAGGAATTAGCGGATCTCACAACCACACTCTAGTCACTCATAGCAGCTGAGGTGAGAATTTTTACGTCTCCAAAAATCACAGTAGGAGTTAAATTCAGTCCTCATGTGTCTTTGTAGCAGAGATCTCAGAGCTGGGGGTACTTCGAATCCTGTTGGAGGTGTGAAGTTAGGGTGATCTTGATGGAAATCCCTGCTCTGGCATTTACTGGCTGTGTCTGAGCAAACTATTTAGCTCCTCCAGGCCTCCATTTCTTCATCTGTAAAAATGGGGATTAATGCCACTTTTTCCTCTGTGGGAGGGTGAGGATTATGTGAGTTAAAACATACAGAGTAGCCATTACAGATGGAGGCTCAAAGCACTGCAGATGCTGCTCTTGATAGAGATAACCTTGTGAAAGCGGCATCTGGTCCAAACCCAGACCTTCAAGCAGGCCAAATGCTGTTACCCCCGTTTGACCAGTGAACCACCTAAGTCTCAAAGGGGTTTAGTCAGCATCGCCCAGGTAAACTTGCTGTGATGGTGGAAATGTTCTATGTCATGGTGCCCAGTACAGTAGCCTCTAGCCACATGCAGCTAATTGATCACTTGGAATGTAGCTAGCATGGCTAAAAAGCTGGAGTTTTAATGTTATTGAATGGAATTAAATGTTAATAGTCCCACGTGACTAATGGTTACAGTATAAACAGCACAGTTCTAGACCACTCAAAGGTACCATAGGGAAACAGACCCAGCTGTCAAAATTCCTTCCAGTCTCCCACAGTGCCTCATTCCTCTGAAACAAGAACCCGACCGGGTGGTCTCCACGATGGCTCCAGCAATAAGCCTGCTGAAGGGGGCACACCTATATTAGGTTTGTGGAGAGGAAAACAAAACCTTTATGTAACCTCAGAGTCACTGTTATCTCAGAGAAGACCATGGCTCTTTCCCAGTAAAGGAACCAACCAATGAGCATCCGTCTGCTCCACAGAATTTAGGTTTTGGGGCTGCAGTCCCAGATCTGAGGTAAAGTGGGGACATGCCCTCTGACTTATTAAGGTGGAAAAGTGTGTGACGGTGTGATGGCCTCTACTTAGTGTGCTCAAGGTCTCAGGGATCAGATTTTCCCAGAATGTGAGTGGACATAGTTCATCTCTTCCGTTTCTTATTTTGACAGATGACAGGGGCGGCTTCTAAATTTTTTTGTTGACTATTTGGCATTGCCTAGTGAAACACAAAATTCAGTGTTGAATTAGAGCACTGAGTTCAGGTTTGTTCATTGTTCTTGTTCATTGTTCCAAATCTGAAATGGAGGTTGGGCTAGGACAAACACAGCACAGAATTTTCGGTGTGGGCAGGAGAATGAAAAGTGAAAGAAACAACCAGCTATTGAGCAGGCAGCTGCTGTCACCTCTCCTGACGTTCCTGGCCTGCTGCTGTCACCTCTCCTGACGGCTCCTGGCCTGCTTCCAGCCCTGCCCTCCTCATCCATCCGGGCTCGTGTCAGTTGGCCACAGGGTACTTTTCTGTCACACTCCTGGCCTGGTCTCTGCCCCTTAAAGAGCGGATCTTCTCTTCCATTTGCAAGGCAATCTCAGCATATGGGGGCCTGACCTTTGAGATCTTTATAGGAGAAAGATGCCTCTCTGCTGTGAATAGGGCTTTTGTCCCCACTTCCTGAAGAAGTTCAAGACTTTAAAAGCCCCTTTCCCTAAGCCTTCACCATGGCTGGATGAGACTTCCAGTGCAGAAGTGTGTCACTAGGACTCTGAGCAAGGAGGACGAACCATTGAATTGCATAGAAGTCATCTAGGAGCAGCCTGAAGTTTGGTATCGGTTTAGTTATGATATGGGGCACATGGTCTTTTATGGGTGACTTGAGAACCTGATTCTTAGAATGAAGGTAGGTAGCTTCCTCTGTGAAGATGGATTCTGAATGACAGAAACCCAATTTAAAAAAAAATACTGTATCACTTACTTTATATCAGACACTGTTTCAAGTTGTTTTCAAATATTAAGTCACTTACTGTGACTCCACTCGTTTGAGGGAGAGGAGGTCGATGTTGTTATTACCACTGCTTTACAGATGGGGAAATGGAAGCTCAGACTGAACCATTTCCCTGAGGTTCCACCGATAGCAAATGGCAGCAGCAGGTTTCAGTCCCCGCCGTCTGGCTGCACAGTTTTTGCCGGGAACCCCCAATCTTGCAGCCTCTCCATCTTGCAGGCCAACTGTTGAGATGCAGACCGCTCAAAATGTGAAACATAAAAACCCGCTTCTGACTCAGGACAGTGAGAATAGCACATGTCAACACTGCCAATGCTTTCCCTGTTTCTCAATCTTTCCTTAGGAAAGTTACTTTTGACCCTGAGTCTATTTTGTGTTGCTCAAAGGATTTGTACTTGCTAAAGGCTGGTGCAGGGAGGAGTGCTGTGCCCCTGCTGACAACCACTGCACCTCCCAGGCTGAGATGGTGACAGCAGACGCCCCGGCCAGCCTCCCCAGGCCACCTGCCTGCAGGAAGTACAGTCAGAGCTGCCCGCGGTGAAGGGCCAGGAAACCCCCGCTGTTCTTGAAGCCTCAAGACCCCAGATATCCCACCTTGACAAGTGGGTGAGATGCTGCCCACTGCTCAGGCACCACAGAGTGCCACGAGGCTCCTGGGCATGTCCCCAGCTGGTAGGACTGATGGGGATACCAGGAATAAGAAGATAAAATTTGGTCTCAATGTGAAATGCTAGCAGCTATGAGATGTTTTTAAATGACTAATGAGTTGTCTGCTGCTTCAGCCTTGCAAATGGTGTTTTATGTTTTTTTTGTTGTTTCTGTGTGTGTTTCTTTTTTTTTTTTTTAAGAGATGGGGTCTTGTTCTGTCACCCAGGCTGGGGGGCAGTGGTGCGATCGTAGCTCACTATAGCCTTGACCTACCCCTTGCCTCAAGTGATCCTTCCACCTCCGCCTCCCAAAGTGCTGGGATTACGGGCATGAGCCACTGTGCCTAGCCACAGATAATTTTATACAATCACCATGTCAGAGGATAATCGATGGCCTATATACTTTTTTTTTTTTTTTTTCAGAGACAGAGTCTCGCTCTGTCTCCATGCTGGAGTTCAGTGGTGCAATCTTGGCTCACTGCAACCTACACCTCCCAGGTTCAAGCAATTCTCCTGCCTCAGCCTCCCAAGTAGCTGGGATTACAGGCATGCGCCACCACACCAAGCTAATTTTTTTGTATTTTTAGTGGAAACGGGGTTTCACCATATTGACGAGGCTGGTCTCGAACTCCTGACCTTGTGATCCACCCGCCTCAACTTTCCAAAGTGCTGGGATTACAGGCGTGAGCCACTACGCCCGACACACTTTTATGTCAGTCTCACCCTTTTATTATTTATCAGCACCCATTCACTTCTAGCTGTCGACACTGTCAGCCTCTGCGTATCTCAGCTAAGAGATCCCAAACATCCACCAGGCACACACCAGTGTTTGTTCACAAACAGATTCCCCATGACAGCCGCCCAAATGAAATAGAGAATGCTCCGTTTAATTTAAATAGGCCAGCAACTTCAGTTCCTTTTGGCCCCTTCTGATTTCCTGGACACATAGGCTGACCCTTATCTTTACGGCAGTGCTGGGTCCTGCTGTAATCTTTTACTGACCGCTGCCCTCTCCTTCTCCCCTCAGAACAGATGCCTTAGGCGTCACATTTCACTTCAGTTCTTCAGAGGTTCCTGGGTCAAAAAGGTCTCAGATGAGGAGAGAAACCTGGAAACTTGCACACTAGTTTGGATTCCATTGTTAGCTTGCTAGTTTCCACATTTGTAAAATTGGCAAAATTATCTGTGTGAAGTTATAATGCACAAATGAATTATTTGTCATATCTCTCTGGAAAATATGAAATGTAAGAAACTATTATCTGATAAGTATGGATTTTCTTTTCTTTTTTTTAATTCCAAAGATAGATTTTTATTCTTTTTCTCTGGTCCAGGCAAACAACCAACCAAGTAAGAAAATCCTAGTTCCTTGAACTATTTACCAAAGTTTTTTCTTATTTTTATACATCCCTATTGTTATCCTTTAAACTCTCCTTACAGTGAGACATTTACAGCAGGATTTATTAAGCTAGCATAAGCTAGATTTAAGCTTTTAGGAAGTGTGCCTTCAATGGCACTGATTTTCCGTTTTCATTAGCTGCCGAAACAGAAACATTTTCCCCATTGAACTAGTGGGATTCCTTAACCTTTTGTGGATGGATTTCGTTGATGGAATTTTATGTACTTCGATAGCTTCTTATCTCTGTTGTAAGAGTTTTCTGATGCAAGTGCCATGGAGAGCCCTTATTTTTCCTAATTTGTCTCCCCACTCTTGTAATCACTCTTGGACCTTGGAAGCATTTCTGGAGACTGCGGCATGCAACCCTCAGCATGGGGAACAATGATCCTGACATCACCTGGTCCTTGTTTGATCCGACCAGGCCTGGACCAGTGCTCTCCATCACTTCAGAGCTGCCTCAGAATGCCAAGAGCTGACTTAACATTTGTGTTATCAACTGGTTCTCAAGGCCCCACGGCTCTGCCTTGCTTGTTGCCTTTCTCTTTGTGTTCCTCTCCTCTCCACTCTGCTCTCAGATGTCATTAACTTATAGCTCCCAATCTCTTTGCATAAAGTCTCTCCTTGGGTGAATGTCAAAGATGCTACTTCCTGTAACTCTAAGTGCATCTTCTCCTTGGGGAAGGAAGGATGCACCCACCAGCTTTCTTTGTCAGTCTTTTTCCCTCCTATGGATCAGGGTAAAAAGAAAAGTATAACTAATGACTACTTTCTAGTTATATTAGAGTTAAACTCAAAGATAATTTTGTTGGCAGGGGGCATTACTTAAGAAAGTTAAATACAGTTTTAAATATTGGCAATAAAAGGATGCCCTTCCAGACTTTTCATTTTCCCTCTGGTCTTTGTCATTTTCTTGAAAATGACAATCCATATAAATTTACCACCTACCTAATGGAAAACACAGCATCTGAAAAAAAAATTCTCTTTTTTTCTGGTAAATGCTTTTTAAACTGACTGATTCCCTTTTGGGGCGTAAAGATGTAAGCTTGGAAGCGATCTGATTCCGGGGTTGTGGGGCAGTATTTAAAGATTCCTGTATGCACAGCTGTTCAGAACTAGGGGCTGAATTTTAGCAGTCATTCAAATGCAGAGTCATTTGTCAGCAAATGATCAAATAAATAGTTTTCTGGATGGGTTTTTTCCTTCTCACTGAATTAGTGTCATTCATTGCCATTTGCCGCTTCCCAGTTATTTTTGTTCTAACATATCTTCCACATTTTCGCTGTGCCTTCTCCCCGTAGCCTCCCACTTCACATCTGCTAAACTAATTTCCCAAACCACCAGTTTAAAACTTAGGTAGCTTATTACCACTTGTCTCAAAGTCAAGTATTCTCCCCCATGGACTTTTATGCATTCATTCTACAAACGTTTGAGGGCTGACCAGGAGCAAGGCACAGAGCTTACCAGATTTGGGGTTTAATTGTCTGTGGGTTTTACTACCTGAAACATAAGTCCCCAGATGATTGTCAGGCATATATTTTCTCTACATTCTGTTCCTCTTTGAAGATTCAAGAACCTACTGAGTAGTTAATGACTAGTAAGTATTGAACGTGTATTGGAAAGTTTAGAAGTACTGTCGTATTGCTATGTAGGGTTTAATTCCAAACTTATTGCCCTTCCTTATGTTTTTCTATTAGAATGTTCTTTTTCATCGTGTGAACAATGAGGCTTTTAAAATATTTTTGTAGTTAGGCAATGGAAAATGCCAGAAAACCCTACCCTTTCACTTTTCCAGCAAGAAGCCCTGATTCAGAGTCCCTGTTGCCCCAAGGTGGCGCCGACGCAGGCAGGCCAGCGGTGGTGGCCGGTGAGCAAGGCGAGCGGGTCCCCTGCAGAGGCTCTCATCCCAGGTTTTAGCCAGCACAATCTCCCCTGGAAGAGGGTTTCAATGTTAAAGTTTTGAATAAGGTCTCTTCTCCTCAGAAGAGTTGAAAACCACCTTGGTTTAGGAGGTTGTCTCTAGTTCATGAACATGAGGAATGCAAACCTGTGTACCCCAGACCTGTCAAGGCTGATTTGCATATATCATGATCATTCAGTGCCTTTGCCTCAGCTTCCCAGTTTACAAACTGGCCCGAGTCTAAACTAACTCTACACCACAATTTAAATTCTTCATCTTGTGTAGTCAAGACAGAAAACAGTAGTATGTTTTTCATTTTCTTGAAAATCATTAAATTAACCCCCCACCTCTTATTTCTGAGCTCAACACATCCTGAGTCCTTCTTTATAAGCTCTTTGTTCCAGATTTTAAAATTATTTGTGTGATTTTAATCCACTCTGCAGTATTTTCACTTTCCTTTTAAAACCTCTGGCCACTGTTAGGAATATACTGTACTTATTACACTGAGAAAATTACTCTCATAATTCTCTTTAGCCTCAAACTGTGTTTATAGAATCAGATTTTCCCAATGTCCTAGAGTTCCCTTGGCCATGTATAGTAAATTACTAATTACTACCCTGCTCTCCTGAAAGAATGAATATCATTTCTAAAATGCCTAAGCTATCAACAGGGATTCGTTTTAAAGTGCTAGAAAATCTGATTTATTGCTTTGCAGATGATTTTTCTGGTGTATGATCTAGCCTCATTAATGCAAACTAGTTTATTCAGACTGGAAACCACAGTTTCCAGATCCCCGTCTCAAATGGTCATCAGTGAAGGGAGATAGTTCCAGGCTCTGCAACTGTTTGACATTTCAGCCTTCCCTTCCCCAAGCCAGCAGCCACTAAGTCACTGATAGCTGCTTTTTTCTTTTTTTCTTTTTCTTTTTTTTTGAGATGGAGTCTCACTCTGTCACCCAGGCTGGAGTGCAATGGCACGATCTCGGCTCACTGCAACCTCTGCCTCCTGAGTTCAAGTGCTTTTCCTGCCTCAGCCTCCTGCGTAGCTGGGATTACAGGCGCCCACCACCATGCCCAGCTAATTTTCGTATTTTTTAATAGAGATGGGGTTTCACCATGTTGGTCAGGCTGGTCTTGAACTCCTGACCTCAGGTAGATTCACCCGCCTCAGCCTCCCGTAGTGCTGGGATTACTGGCATGAGCTACCGTGCCCAGCTCGATAGTTGCTTTATCTCAAGAGGTTGAGTGGTTAGAAAAGCAGTTTAAAAACTCAGGCTTTAGCCAAGAGTTTAGCCTGGATCTAAGTCATGGGCCTGCCACTTGCTAACTGTCTGACCTTGGATAAGATACCTAGATTTTCTGTACCTGGACTTCCCCATATGCAAAATGGAAATCATGATAGTAAATATGTTGCAGTATTGCTATTGACGATTAAATGAGATAATAAAGTAGCTAAAATGTGGCCAGGTGTGGTGGATCACATCTGTAATCCCAGCATTTCGGGAGGCCAAGGCAGGTGGATTGCTTGAACCCAGGAGTTGGAGACCAGCCTGGGCAGCATAGAGAGAGCCCCATCTCTAAAAAAAAAAAAAAAAAATCTTAAAAATTAGCTGGGCATGGTAGCATGTGCCTGTAGTCCCAGCTACTTGGGAGGCCGAGGTGGCGGGAATCCCTTGAGCCCAGGAGGTCAAGACTGCAGTGAGCCATGATCACACCATTGCACTCCAGCCTGGGTGACAGAGTGAGACTCTGTCTCAAAAAAAAATTACCTAGCATGGGGCAACCTCTCACTGTCTTACTTACAATTACTTTAGGATTTTGTTTGTTTTTTGTTTTTTGTTCTTTTTTTTTTTAACTGATCCAGGTAAAATGCTAATTTTCCTAATTATTTATGAACATGTTGAGTAGAGTCAATACAATTTTGGTAAAATAGACTCATCTCACAATAGCATCTCTCCCTTGGAAGACTCTGGCATCATCGGTGGACAGTGTTTTGCTCCTAAGCGTGTGCTGGGTGCCACACTCCATCCCTTGACAGTTTTTGTCTTGTTCCTGGCCAGAACTACCCGCTTTTTGCAGGTGGTTTCTGGACCTCAGTTTCCAGGCCCAGCCTCTCCTAAGGGTCAGTAGGGCGTCCCCAAGGGGGGCCCCTTGCAGATGGACGCCCTCCTCAAGCCTCTCTTGGTTTCTTTTGTTAATGTTTCTTTCATGTGCAAACCCACCCAGAAGTCTGCTGCTCCGCCTCCACTGCAGAGCGTTGTTTGTTGAGTTACTCAGTAATTCTTTTTGAAGGAACAAGAGCTATGGGCTCCTTTTCAGAGAATGAAATATAAACGTCTTGCATTTTCTGAGTGCGCCACCTTTGAGAGCAGGGCGGTTTCTTCGTTCGAATCCTCTCTCTCCACATCCCTGCTTCAGGAATTGGAAAACAAAAACTAAATTAGACGCTGTTGCTTTGATAACTTCAATAAGTACCTCGGGGTCTCTTGGGTGCCATGGATTCGCTCTCCTGGCGCATGAGGCTTCGTGCGGCTTCGTGTCATAAACATGGGCAGGCGACATCCCTCCTCCAGGCCTGCGGGCTCCACCCAGGGGCCCGCGCCAGAGCCAATGCTGACCCGGGAGCGCCATCTTGTGGGCGCCTCGATTGCTGCCTCCGAGAAGGCGCTCGGGTACGTCTTATTCCACCGTTTCAGGACTTGGGGAAATGTAGCCAATAATTACATGCCGGACAATTACAACATAGCTGTCAGCCAGACATTAGGAATCACTTATCTCTGGATTTAAATAGGGCAAATGTCTTTTTGCTGCTTTAGATTTCTTTCTATTGAGGAGCAGCTACTGTATTTTCAACAGGGACTTTTGAATGACCAATTCTGTATTTTACATGCATTTGTAAAAAATAAAATCATTCTAGGTAGTACATCAGAAGATCTAGATTTCTTTTACTTCTTGAGATTTTTTTTTTGTGACCTTTTTTTTTTTTTTGATAGATAAACAAAGGTAATGTAAGGTCTTGCTACTCAAAAGGTGGACCCCGGGCCAGCAGCATCAGCATCACCCGGGAGCTTGTTGGAAATGCAGAATCCTTATCTCTGTTCCAGATCCCCTGAATCAGAATCTAATTTTAGCCACAACCCCTAGTGAGCCCTGTGCACATGACAGTTTGAGAAGGGCAAGTATAAAGGACTACGAAGGAGTCAGAAGGACTGGTGTTCTTGTCCCAGCCCCTCCATTTCCCCATGCTTCTCATCTCAGCCCATGTGATCACCTCTCTTCAGCCTGTGTGGCCGATATGTGACGGGAGACCATGAGATTATGGTTCCTGACTTGTCTGATGCTGGGTCAGCTAAGGAAGGATTAAAATTTTATACACGGCCGGGCACCGTGGCTCACGCGTGTAACTGCAGCACTTTGGGAGGCCAAGAAGGGCAGATCATTTGAAGTCAGGAGTTCGAGACCAGCCTGGCCAACATGGCGAAACCCCATCTCTACAAAAAATACAAAAATTAGCTGGGCGTGGTGGTGTGCACCTGTAGTCACAGCTGCTCGGGAGGCTGAGGTGTGAGAATCCATTGAACCTGGGAGGCAGAGGCTACAGTGAGCCCAGATTGTGCCACACTCCAGCCTGGGCAATAGAGTGAAACTCTGTCTCAAAAACAAACAAATAACAACAAAAAATTATATACTAAAGGTCACTTTGTACATTGTAAAAACCTGTGCAAATGTAAGTGAAAATTATGGATGGCAAAAATTCTTCCATTTCATACTCCACTATCAGAGATTCTGCTTTGCATTATATCAGAGTCTGATTTATATCATCAGCAGCAAAGCAACTATTCAACTGCGACCATTTGTCATGCTTCAAATAGTGTCTTGGCAGATTTCATTAAGTCCTTCAAAGGTCCCTCTCAGACCAGTCTTCCCAGAGTTCAAAATAATAAAATTACATTATGCTTTTCTTAACAAGACCTTTCCCACATTTGCCATCCTGGGGCCCCAGAAGCGTCCCCCACCCCACTCCCCCCTCCCCCGTTGAGCCCAGTATGGGGCACAGTAGGTACTCACTAATGCCGGTTGATCAAACCACTAATTGACCCTCAGCACGGTCTAAACAGTAACCTGATATCCTTCACACTAATCGTGCATTTATGATAATCAGATTATTTGTATCATTAGAGACCTGACATAGCTACATGAGGACTCAGTTGTCTCACTAATATATGTGAAATATTCATTAAGGAAATAAAGTCCTGATGGCTGAGAATGTAGTGCACAAAGATTGATGAAAGTGAGAGCATTAACCGTTTACAAACATCCCTTTACCTTGAAATGAGGGAGAGAGTGGAACCAAAGGAAAGAACACTGGCAAACTATTACTCTCTTCTCTTTATGTACATTTTAAAAAACTAATAGCAAAAAGGTGTTTGGCAATAAATAGGTGAAATTTTAGGAAAACATCATCTGAAGCCTTAATATTGATGAGATATTGACATCTATGTTGCTCCTGGGCCCCAGTGGCTCTTGTTTCTGAAGAATTGGGACTATGGTCAAACAGTGAAAAGTAAAATATTGGCCGGGCGCGGTGGCTCACGCCTGTAATCCCAGCACTTTGGGAGGCCGAGGCGGGTGGATCATGAGGTCAGGAGATCGAGACCATCCTGGCTAACAAGGTGAAACCCCGTCTCTACTAAAAATACAAAAAATTAGCCGGGCGCGGTGGCGGGCGCCTGTAGTCCCAGCTACTCGGGAGGCTGAGGCAGGAGAATGGCGTGAACCCGGGAAGCGGAGCTTGCAGTGAGCCGAGATTGCGCCACTGCAGTCCGCAATCCGGCCTGGGCGACAGAGCGAGACTCCGTCTCAAAAAAAAAAAAAAAAAAAAAAAAAGTAAAATATTGGGAATAACTTATTACACCATCTGCCACCCAACTGAGGTACAAAAATACTAAATTCAAATTAGATTAGACTTGCATTGTCTACAATTTGTGAAATTATGATCTTGTTAATTGTTTTTACCAAATATAGTAAAATCTTGCTCTTTTCTTTTTACCTGATTCGTTGCAATTAACAATGTTCTCTCCAATCATTTAAAAGGATTCAGAATGTCAGTGCTTCAAAATTACTTTCCTGAAAGTTAAAATGTAATTATAATAAGTAACTTTATATGGGGGAAAATAAACACTCATGTCTGTACATATAAAGATATAGTCTATCAGAGTAAGATCCTCAAAAGCAGGACTTTGCAGTGTTCAGTTCATCTCTGAATACCTAACAATTCCTCTCTGCTGCCTGCACGTGTTTTATAAGGATACATTTAATTAAGTAATGAAAGAGACACAATTCTACCTTTTTGTTCTTTTTTTCCCAACATTTACCTTGAAAATTTTTTGAGAGAAAAATTGCCAGAATAAAAGAAAGTACACTGATACACATCTAGAATCCCTCAGAAATCATTCACATGTTTAACGTGTATTCTCTCTCTCTCTCTCCCCAGACTCCCTCCAAGAACAAAAACCTGTTATTTTTTTTTTAATTGCATTTTTATTTTAGTTCAGGGGATACATGTGCAGGTTTTGTGTGGCGCTGAGATTTGGGCTTTATTGATCTCATCACCCAGATAGTGAATATAGTATACAACAGGAAGTTTTCCAGCCCTTGCCCCCACCTCCCTCCCTCCTTTTGGAGTCCCCAGTGTCCACTGTCGCCATCTTTATGTCCACGTGAACCGAAGATTTAGCTCCCACTTATAAGTGAAAACATGTGATATTTGGTTTTCTGTTTCTGCATTAGTTTGCTTAGGATAATGGCCTGTATCTTCATCCATGTTGCTTTATAGAACATGATTTTTTTTTTTTTTGAGACGGAGTCTCGCTCTGTCACCCAGGCTGGAGTGCAGTGGCGCGATCTTGGCTCACGGCAAGCTCCGCCTGCCGGGTTCACACCATTCTCCTGCCTCAGCCTCCAGAGTAGCTGGGATTACAGGTGACTGCCACCATACCCAGCAAATTTTTTATATTTTTAGTAGAGACGGGGTTTCACCGTGTTAGCCAGGATGGTCTCGATCTCCTGACCTCATGATCCGCCCGCCTCAGCCTCCCAAAATGCTGGGATTACAGGCGTGAGCCACCGCACCTGGCCCATGATTTCGTTTTTTAAGGCTGCATAGTATTCCATGGTGTATGTATACCGCATTTTCTTTATCTAATGCACCGTTGATGGGCACCTAGGTTGATTCTGTGTCTTTGCTATTATGAATAATGCAGCAATGAACATGCAAGTATATGTCTCTTTTTGGTAGAGCAATTTATTTTCCTTTGGGTATATACCCAGGGATTGCTGAGTCAAATGGTAGTTCTATTTTTAGTTCTTTGAGAAATCTCCAAACTGCTTTCCACAGGGACTGAACTAATTTGCATTCCCACCAATAGTGTATAAGTGAAGAACCTGCTCTTAGACAGCCAACAGTAAAATGATCAAATTCAGGAAAATTTCAGATTGGCAGAATGCTCTCTACTAGTGCATAGTCCTGATTCCATTTTTGCCAGTTGTCATAGTAATGCCCTTTTAAAGCATTCGCCTCTTGACTCCAGGTTCACAGGTTGCATTTAGCTGTTATCCCTTTGGTGTCCTTTGAGCTGGAAGAGTTCCTCAGTTTGTCTCTGTTGTTTATGACACTGACATTTCTGAAGAGTACAGGCCAATGCTTCTTCAAAATTAGATCAATTTATGCATTTTAGGCAGAAATACTAAGGATGTATTACATTACAGAGCATTACATTAGTAGACATATGATGTTGGTTTCTTCCATCATGGGGGATGGTAACTTTGATCACTTGGGGTAAGGTGTTATCTGCCAGATTCTCCCTTTGTAATTAATAAGTAATCTCTGAGGTGTACTCTGACACTGTTAATTCTGTTCTCTAATACACTTCATTCAACCATTTTAGCATTCAGTCATGATCCTTGCCTGAATCAGTGATTACTGCTTTGGTTGAAAATGGTGATTTTTTGCCGGGTGCAGTGTCTCATGCCTGTGCGGTGGCTCCCAGCACTTTGGGAGGCCAAGGCAGGCAGGTTACTTGAGGTTAGGAGTTTGAGACCAGCCTGGCCAACATGGTGAAACCCTGTATCTACTAAAAATCCAAAAATTAGCCAGGCGTGGTGGCACACACCTGTAATCCCAGCTGCTCAGGAGGCTGAGACAGGAGAATCACTTGAACCCGGGAAGCGGAGGTTGCAGTGAGCCGAGATCACGTCACTGCACTCCAGCCCGGGTGACAGAGTGAGACTCCATCTCAAAAAAAAAAAAAAAAAGAAAATGGTGATTTTCTAACTCATTTATTTCTTTGCATCTACTATTTGGAATTCTACTATAAAGAATAGCTTTAGGCTGGGTGCAGTGGCTCACGGTCGTAATCCCAGCACTTCGGGAGGCTGAGATGGGAGGGTCACTTGAGCCCAGGAGCTTGAGACCAGCCTGGGCAACATGGCAAGACCCTGTCTCTACAAAAAATTTAAAAATTGGCTGGGCATGGTGGCACACACCTGTAGTCCCAGCTACTTGGGAGGCTGAGGTGGGGGACCCCCTTGAGCCCAGGAATTTGAGGCTGCAGTGAGCTATGATCACACCACTGCACTCCAGCCTGGGTGACAGAGAGAGACCCTGTGATTTAAAAAAAAAAAAAAAAAGAAGAAGAATAGTTTTATTTTCTACCTTTTTAAAATCTGTCTGTCTTTGTGAGCATCAATATCGATAGGGACTTACAGGTTCTTCTTATTAAACTGGTTATTGCTTATTACTCTCATTATTCATTTTGATGCTCATATTGTCCCAACTTTCCCCAGTGGGTGCCTCTTCAATCTCACTTCTATGTTCATTCGATGTGGCCCCATTAGTCTGTGTCATTCTTTAGCTCTTAGCATATCTATATTGATGTAGATATAGATATTGATAGCCTTAGCATATTTTCATTCAAGTTACTGCTTAAATGACAGATTTTATTCTTGCAGCAAATATTCTTTGAGATACTGGTATGTCACAGTTACTGATCTTACTCATGGTCCAGAAAAAAGCCAGGCAATTAAATTGGCCCTTTCAATGGAATACAGGGAGTTGACAGCCGTGAGTTACGTGTGCCGTGGGTGCACAAAGAAAAGCTCCCAATCCCACTGGGTGAATTAAGAAGACTCCAGGGAGAGTGCATATCATCTCCTAGGCCCAAAATATGAATAGAAATACATGTATGGAGGCGGCATAGTGTTCCAGGCTATGAGAAGCACATATCTCTTGAGGAACTGAAGGCATTTGTTAAGTCTAGGACAGTGTGAGTGTGTTGGGGGCGTGGTGTGTGTTGGGGGCGTGGTACGTGTTGCAGGCCACAGGGATGCAAGCAGTGTGAGAGAAGAGGCTGGAGGGGTGGGCCAGGGCCTCGTAAGCTCTGTTAAGGACCCTTCCCAATGGCTGTTCCTAGAGGCAGTTGTTCTCAACACTGACTGCACATTTGCACCCCCTGGGGAGCCCCCAGGGGAGCCTGTCAGAACTACCAATAACAGACCACCATTCCTAACCAATTAAATCGGGACCCTAGGTGTGGCAGGGAACTCTAGGGTCCATACATTTTAATTTCCATACCTAGCTTCTAGAGAATTTATCATGGAGAATGGTGTCATGTGTCATAGAGCTAACCCTTTCAAAGCTAAAATTTAAAAAGATTCATTTTATTTTACAGGATTTCGAACTCAACAATGAACTAAAGATGAATGTCCTAAATTTGCTAGAAGAAGTTTTGCGAGACCCAGACCTTCTTCCCCAAGAAAGGAAAGCCGCCGCGAATATCCTCAGGTGAAGGCAGCTGAAGATGCCGACTGGATGACATTGGTTGATTCCTGCTATGTTCATAGAAAATAAGAGCCAATAAATCTTAGAATCCTGGGGACAGTGGGGACTATGTTCTCAGCAGTAAAGTGTTATGTATTATCTTCTCTTTCCTGGGGGCAATTTGGGGTCTGCTGTCTCAGGAAGACTCGGGACGGGGTGGTATAACTCGTGTGGAGTGCAGTTGCTGTTATTTATGGAGGCAGACAGCGGTTTACTATAGAACCAACAGTTAAAGAAAGGAACCCTTGAGGAGCCTCTCCTGCAAGTCCGGCAGGCATCAAAGAGAGATGATGTTTCCTCCTGTGGGTTGTAATTGTTTATTGTAAGCTCATGTTTGTGAGTGTGGTTGTGTCTGTGGGAGTCTCGTGCACCTAAAATGTGGATGTGACATCACAGAGTAGTTAGGAATTTTCTTTGGCTCATTTCACTGGTCCTCGACCAGCTTTTCTACAGCTTGTCAGTTTAGGATTTCCACATCACGTAGGTGGTATGACTATGGGGGATTGTATAAGGTATGACTCCACACTTCTATGTGATAAAGGCTTCAACTTTGGGTGTACTGCTAGAGATTGTGTCCATAGTTGTTGCACCCAGTATCCAAGTGGGTAACAAGCTTTCTTATAGCTTCTTGAACTGGTGGGTGGATTTTTTTTTTGTCCACTCTATGTGGAAAGGGCAGCCATTGCTAGCTTTGTGCAGACATTTCAGTTGCAGCTTCCCAGCTCACTCATAAGTACGTCCTCTGTCCGTGCTTGGGGATGGGAAGCCCAGCATCTCTCTGCCAGGGTCTGGTACTTCTTTACCACTCTCATTTCTAGTTCCCTCTTCATTTACAACCTCTAGAAATGACCCTTCCTTTCCTCGAAGCTTGGCTGCATTGTCTCCTTGTTACATGTTATCCAGAATGTTTGTGTCATCCACAGGCAGTCTATTTTAGCTCAGTCCATGTTTTTGCAAGTCCTTCCCTGATGCAGCAACACCAGATGTTGGTTTGTGATGTGTTAGCAACTGGCCTGTAAGTCTTTCTTAGCCCCCATTAGCTGAAGATCCCATAGCCAGACCGTTCTTTGGTGTAGGGTCTCTTACAGGTAGAATTGTATCTCCCTACCCCCTAAAAGATATATTGAAGTCCTAGCCTCCCATACCTCAAAATGGACCTCATTTGGAAATAAGGCCATTGCCAGTGTAATCAGTTAAGATGAGGTACTGGAGTAGGGTGGAGGTATTGGAGTAGGGTGGACCCCAATCCACTTTGATTGGTGTCCTTATAAGAAGTCAACCATGGAAGACAGACACAGACAATGCCATCTGAAGATGGAGGCAGAGACTGAGTTATGCAGCTGCAAGCCAAAGAAAGCCAAAGATCGCTGGCAAACCACCAGCAGCTAAAAAGGCAAGGGAGGGTTCCCCTCCAGGATTCAGAGGCAGCATAGCCCTGCTGACTGTTCGATTACAGACCTCTGTCTGGAAGGTGAGACAATACATTTCTGTTGTTTTAAGCCACCCAGTTTGTGGGATTTTATTAAGGCAGCCCTAGGAAACAGTTAGGGGCCTTCTTCACTTTTTCCATTCTATGAAAACATCTAAGTAAGCCCAGGGATTCCACTACTGTGTCTGTTTTCAGATTTTAAAATTGTAAGTACATATTGAGGTGAAGCCTGATTTCAGTGCATGAGGGACTCTGAGTGATTACTGTTTCTTTTCTCTTCATAACTAGTTTGTTATGCTCTTTGCATTTAAAACACTAATATTTAAAAACTAGATTCAGGAAGTTTGTGCCCCTAGGGATATTTGACTAAATAGCTATCAGGGAAGTGAGGGTGTTCAGGCTGGGAAAAACTGTCAGGATCAACCAGTATGAGGGCCTTTTGTTGCCAATCCCCTCAAGACGCCCATGCCAGACTTTACCCATCAATTCTGAGAGCTTTCTCTCTGCACCAAGAGGTGACCTCAGACGTCAGTCAGTTGGAGTTGGTTCTTAAGATGAATCCTGTTTGCCATCCCAGGTCTTGATTATTCATCAGGCTTCAGATGTGCCAATTCTTTCTGCTGAATAATGACCTGAGAGTTAGCAGTGTAAGATTGATAGGGAACAGAAATTTTAGTAGGCAGTAGAGCTTGAAACTACAACACTGAGCAGAGTCTGATTCTACCTTTTGCAGGATGTCACAAGGCTAAATCTTGGCTCGGCCATTTATGGATGTCAAGTTCTCAACCGGTCCAAACCTGTTTCCTCATTTATAAAGTGGGACTCATAATAGCTACTTCATTAGGTTGTTGTGAAGAGTACATGATGTGAAATGTGTAAGGAGGTTAACACAATGCCTGAAAAGTCATTAGCACTCGTAGTAAAGTGAGTATTATTACTGTTAGAAGCACTGACAGTAGTTCCTGGAAAAAGTAGTTTCTGCCGTTAAGGCCATATGGCCCAAGTGAAACCAGGCTGGATCTTAGTCAACTCAACTTTCTTTAGGCTTCGTCACCTTTTCCACACAAAGACAGTGTGGACCAATCCCAGGACAGACACTGGTTGCTTGTGGCTCTGTTTTTGGACTACCCTAATTGAAAGAGGAATTTTCTATTCATACAGCTTGGATAATCCCATTTCCTTTTATTTGGTGTGTCATTATAAATGCACAATTATTAAACTGGTGATACTGCTGATAGACGTGGTAGTGATGGTGGTGGGGAACCCAGGATCCTGGAATGTTCATCAATGCCCAAGCATCGCCAGAAGACTAGAAGCAAATCTTTTCTCTATTGGAACTGAACCAGAAGTGCAGAGGCCTCCACATCTGAAGGGAAAGAATTCTGAACCATGCCCTCTAGAAAACACAGGCTATGACTGTGAGAGATAAAAAACATATCATATGGTGGTTAAGTGCAGCCCTGACATTTAGAGATTTATATGCATTCCTGACATCTAAGAGATATGAACATAAAACATGTTTTCATGCATAGGTTACATTAATGCAATAAAGCAAATGCTCTTTTGAATGAAGCCTCCCTGACTCACAGTCTCACAGGGGTCACAATTAAGTGTATGATGAATACACTTAATTGCCATATATAGTTTGTTGCCCTGTTTGTAAATAAAAACCTGTACTCAAAACTTATATTTCTAAAATACCATCTCTCCTCCTCCAAAGTTGTCTAACTAGCTGTCTTCAAAATCTATTCAGTGTAGAGTTTTTCTAGATACCCAACATGCCACAAAATAAAAAGAAATAGTGATTAACTTCTTGGATGTTCAACTGTGATGGGCTCAGGTCATAGAAAAGTCATCCTCAAACCCCACATAGCATCAACAGGAAGGCATAAAATGTTAGGTAACTTAATGGCACCAGAGTGCCTCTTGGAAAATGAGGGTAAGATCATTGAGAAGAGGAACATTTGATGGGAGCTAACTAACTTTTTGACTTTTTCTTTCCAAGGGAAAGATATTACCCAGCTTCATAAAAAGATCTTTCCCACTGGTACACATAATTATGGAGCCACAGATCTCTCTCCAGGAACCTAGAATGGTGGAAAAGATGATGTGCACTTTCGGAAAAGTCACTTTTATCTCCCATGTGTAACCCTTACATGTAATTTAATAGGCTTTGGAGAAAGAGTTAGCTTTAACTTATTTTTTCCTCATCTTAATCTGCCCTTTAAGATAAAATGACTATTTCTTTCTACTCACAAATAATATGGCTAAGTGCCGATAAGAGGGCTGCTACTAGTATAATCTAGAAGGCTCCTGCTCCCCCTTCAGACAGCCGAGGGAAGGGAGTTGTGTTTATTGACTGTGTGCTGTGTGTGGGACCCTTGAAGAGGTGCCTTCCCTGAGCCTGCTTAAGAGAAGCGCAGAGTAAAGGAAGGGCCCACAACCCTGAGCAACTTAGTCAGTGTCTTTGAGCTTTTGTTTCCTTATCTGTAAAACGGAGATCACAATGCCTGCATTATCTGCTGTCCTGTATAACAATCCCTTGGAAGGGATCTGTTAGGATACAGGAGATAGTGCATGTCAAATGTTTAGCACATGCCTGGCATAGAGCGGGCATACAGGAAGCCATCTCTGTTGATATTATGTTTTTGAGGGTTGTGGCTGTTGTTTTAATCAACTCAGAACACAACAGAACATCACATCATCATTACTTCTTTTAAAAGTAGCTTCCTCTTACTCTAGTTTCTCTTCATATCGCATAAATCTTTCGCCTTTTACTAAAAGTAGCTTCCTCCAGCAGAGTACATGGTTTGGGACCGTTTAACTATTTTATTTTGTTTTATTTTATTTATTTATTTTTGAGACTTGAGTCTTGCTCTGTCGCCCAGGCTGGAGTGCAGTGGCGCTATCTCGGCTCACTGCAAGCTCTGCCTCCTTGGTTCACGCCATTCTCCTGCCTCAGCCTCCCGAGTAGCTGGGACTACAAGTGCCCGCCACCTGCCCAGCTAATTTTTTGTATTTTTAGTAGAGGCAGGGTTTCACCGTGTTAGCCAGGATGGTCTCGATCTCCTGACCTCATGATCTGCCCTCCTACTATTTTAATGCTTTGAGTATGTGCTTGTGCCTTCCTTTTGGAAAACATAAAATGCCTGGCTCCAATGGCAAATTATGTAATTGGATGCCTACTGGACTCCAGTTTTCCTGGACTCTGAACGTCTGTTGCACAAAAATACCCTCTACTCTGAAACCAGTATTTAAGGTATTAACTTGTGTTTATTCATTCACTCATTCATTCATTCATCATTTATTTTTTTAAAAGATATTTATTGAGAGCTGAATAACATGTATGAGATTCAGGGCCAAAAGTGTCTGAGGAAAGTCCATCTGGAATGCAAGGGGGAAGAAGCTATCTGCTGGCTCCTGCCTGGCATTGTTCAGAGTCTTGCCACATAGGAACCCCCTGTGCTTCTGGTCTACGTAAGCTTGAGAAAGGGGTGGCCCTGCGTCTCCTGCCTCTGTGAGGGCAGGGAAAGCCCACGGTAGGGGATAGAGGTGTGGGGAGGAGGGCACTCAGGCCTAGGAGTCCAACTGGCTGATAGCATTAGAGGATGCTCCATTTTACATTATGGATGGTAACTCAGAGCTCACCCAGCTCACCCTCAGACTCACTGTGACGGTGGTTGTTTCATTTACAACCTTGTATGTAACAGGTTGCCTTTTTGTTCTAAATCAGCTGTCCTGATGATTCTCTCATGCCTTGAGCATGTTTTCTGTTTGGGGATTGCTCATCTCCAGCTCAGCAGTTGGTTGTGCTGCATGGCCTTGTAGACCCAAATCCTCAGACCTCCCATCCAGGGAAAACCAAACTGCATTTGTAGTTTTGTTCCTAGGTTGTCTATTTTTTCTTTCATGGAGGATAATTTGATATCTTTTTCAGGGCCCTTTCACAAGATGACCAAGATGACATCCACCTAAAATTAGAGGATATAATTCAAATGGTAAGTCTGACCACATTTTTATCTAGCACAACTATGTGCAAACTACCTCTCCAAGGCGAGCAATATGCTTGTAACCGATCAAGGAGTGTTGTAGTATTAGGCCCTCTGTCCTATCTGTGAAGCTCTGTGAGATGAACCACATTTGGTGTGGGGTCTAGCAGTTGGTCTAAGATATTCATGTTGGCTTTGATACTTTTAGCTTTCTGCCATTTTTTTCATAGTTAGAATTTAGTGGTGAACTTCATGCTTCCACACATGCAGCTGTCTGCCTCACTGACCTGCAATGAGATGGCAGGCGCCCTCTCCTGGGTGTTTCATTTCCCTCCCTCATCTCTTGCAGACTGACTGCATGAAGGCCGAATGCTTTGAGTCCTTGTCGGCCATGGAGCTGGCAGAACAGATCACCCTCCTGGACCATGTCATTTTCAGAAGCATTCCCTACGAGTGAGTGCCACCCCCCACAGCAGCAGGGCTCGGCTGCTCTAGCTGTCTTAGAAGTTGACATTATTCCTAAGGCAGGTTGTGTGTATGTCTGTCCCCTCAGTTCCTGTGTGAGTATCTACCAGTTGTTTCCATCCATGGAACTGGCACGCCTCTGTGTCCAGCACTCTGCAGGATGGGAGCAGGACCAACAACAGCAAGGGACAAAGAACCCTGCCCAGGGACTTAGTCAACCTGAGTATCAGAGTAATTTCGAGTGTTTTTAATGACTATACAAAATAATTCCTGTATGCTGCATCTCACTTGTCCCTTGTTTCTTGCTGTGTCTGGTGACCTGCTCAGGAATGAAGTGAATGATCAGGAATGCTGCCCTGAAGACAGCCCATCTGACCAGGTGGAGCTTCTGCCCCGCTGAACTGCCTGGTCAGGGCAACATGCGGTACAAGCCTAAAAGGAGCGCTTTTCAGCCCTGACCACCTGCGCCCTCCTGAGCGCTGGGGAGAACAAAACGCAATCCCTGCCTTTGAAATCTGCATCCTCCAGGAGAATGGCAGGCAGCGCAGAGTGGAGGGAGAAAATTCTGCTTCTGACTAACATTTTTGGTAGTGATGAAATTTTTGGACCCTCTGCTAAGGCTTAATGTTTTTAAAAGCTAATCCTGGGAAAATAGTCTTGATTTCTAAGGTAGTACTTAACCTCTTTATTTCCCTTGTGTTGGTTCTTGTTTTCCAACTTCAGAGAAGGCTTTATAGGATCCTAATAGGGACACAGTTCCAAACATTTATAAGAGAAAGCTGGAAGCTGAAGAATCTTCCTTTTTGGCATTGAGAGGTAAACTGCAACAGCCGAGGTAAAATTCACTTGTGAGGCTGGCAGCAGCAGGTGTCAGGAACCATTCTAGGCCATGTCAAATGGAATTTTTCTAATATTCGTGACAACTGTCCAGGATCATAGCCACCATATTTTTAAAAACTTAATTGGTTTTGTGTTTTGTTTTGAACTTCCAGGGAGTTTCTTGGGCAGGGGTGGATGAAGCTGGATAAAAACGAAAGAACTCCTTACATTATGAAAACCAGCCAACACTTCAATGACGTGAGTAACCGTAACAGTAAAACCGTGGGCGTGTCACAAGAAGATGGATATTGGGGTCTAAAGACTCCTCTAAAACAAAGCAACTCTGTCACCCACTTTTTTTTTTTTTTTTTTTTTTTTTTTTTTTTTTTGAGACAGAGTCTCGCTCTGTCGCCCAGGCTGGAGTGCAATGGCGTGATCTCAGCTCACTGCAACCTCCACCTCCCTGGTTCAAGCAATTCCCCTGCCTCAGCCTCCCGAGTAGCTGGGATTACAGGTGCATGCCATCATGCCTGGCTAATATTTTTGTATTTTTAGTAAAGGGGTTTCACCATGTCGGCCAGACTGGTCTCGAACTCCTGACCTCAGGCAATCTGCCTGCCTCAGCCTCCCAAAGTGTTGGGATTACAGGCGTGAGCCACCGCACCTGGCCTGCCACCCACTTTTAAACAGAATTGATGGGATATTGACGACAAGCTTAAATCTCTAAGAGCTCACAGTAATGTAATAATGTCCAATTAACTTCCTGACATAAAAGGTTCACCTTTGATGGTACCCAGTGCTCAATAATGTACAGGTTGCTGATCCTATTTTTATCATGATTATCACTACTTCCTGTTCATATATTGACTAACAGAGTGAGCAGTACATGTGTCACTGGCCCCTGGTGGTGTTGGTCACGGTAAGGCTGGGTTGGTGCAAGTCCTCATCATTACTGAACGTTCAGCCTGAATTACATTCCAGGGTTGGAAGGGGCCTCTTGGAGCATAATCACATTGTTGCTATAGTTCTGTGCAGCAGTGGCCAGCTGTCAGTCCATCTTACAGCTCTGCTTTTCCCCAGCGGTAAGATTGGGAGATGCTTTTATACCTCCCCGCTCTTCCTTAGTGCTGTTCTCATAGTCTTAGTCCTGTGGTAGAACAAGTAACAGGTGTGGGAGTGTCTTCTGGCC
The DNA here is from genome assembly GCF_000001405.40 of Homo sapiens. Lineage (NCBI taxonomy): Eukaryota > Metazoa > Chordata > Mammalia > Primates > Hominidae > Homo > Homo sapiens. The sequence goes on from NC_000005.10 coordinate 81,209,370, forward strand.
TATCCAGGCAACGGGAAGCCTCCCCTTCCAGTTTCACTAAACTATAGTAAAAGGAATAACGATTTTAAAAACAACAACAACAAACTACCAGGAACCCCATAGGTAAATTAATAAGTGATCTAGAATCAAAATGCAAAAATGACAGTTTAGATTCCCAAGACAGTGTTTCATGCAGGCTTTCCCCAAAGCACGTGGATGCTGTGTGAATGCTACCACACAATGAGCTTCAGTGCCGCTGCTGCCTAAAGGACAAGGGCATGGCCCATCTAGTGCCTGCCCTGAGAAACAGATTCCCTGCTGTGGGAAGCAAACCTCTGTTACCTGTGGTGAACCAACACAGGGGATATAATGGACACTCAAAGAGAGGTTCGATCCCAGGCTCCAGACCCACATGTCTCCTCTGCTGGGACGACTGCTACATTGCATTCTTGACAATTACAGATGGAACCTTTCATCTGCACCCCAGAGCCGCCAAGCCTGCTTCTTCATTGTCCTCTCTGTTCTCAGTCTTGGGTAGTGGCCTCACCATACACTCACTCACCCAAGCACAGGATCTAGACGTCATCTTCTCCCTTACCAGCTCACCCTTACCACTGCCCAACATATTTGCAAACTCTAAATCTACATATATCTCAGGCTCTTCCCCACCCTGCCTTCCCCGCTGCCACCACCTTGATGTGGCCTTTTACCTTGTCTCTCCAGGAGCTCCTGACTCATCTCTCCCCTGCAACCTCACTGCCCTCCAATCCATCTGTTAGGTTCAGAGTCAGGTTCCAGCCCATGCTGAGGTCTGAGGGGAGTGGGTGGATGCCTGAAAGAACACGTAGGGGGCCGTAGGTAGGTGAAAGATGATTTTGTTCAGCGGGCGCTCTCATCAGCAGCTGTCTCATTAGCAGCTCTTTCATCAGCAGCTCTCTTACGCTGTCTCTTCTGTCTCAGCTGCTTGAGCCAGTCGCTCCCGCGCACAGCTGTGTGGCCAGCTCTCACTTGCCTTCAGGGTCAGCAGCTTAACTCTTTCTCTGGGCATGAGCTCCTGTACAGTGTCAACAGGGCAATTATACCTTTTACAGACAATAGTGGCTTAGAGCCAAGTGATGGCCTTCCGTGTTATGGCTACATGGCTGTGATCACAAGTGGAGTTATACACCTGTGCTCTAAACTCACTGAGTCCCTCTGGCCCGGATGTCCACCTTGGCCTATCCTAGACCAAAGCACAGCCATGTACCTTAAACCATCCTGCATGCAGTGGCACAGGAATGACTTCTCTGAAAGGTCAATCTAATTATCTACCTCCCTTTGACAAAAATCTGTCAGTGGCTTCCCCTTACCTTAGGGATATGGTCCCAACCTGTCATACAAGAGCACAGCCCATCTGTCACCCTTGCCTCTCCCAGTCCTTGTGCCCCTCAGATGGCTGCCAGGTCCTCCATTACACCATCCCTCCCACCTCTGTCCCCTTGCTCTCATACTTAGATCCTTTAAGACTCAATGCAAGGCTGGAGACTGTAGCTCACACCTGTAATCCCAGCACTTTGGGAGGCCGAGCTGGGAGGATTGCTTTAGCCCAGGAGTTCAAGACCAGCCTGGGCAACATAGTGAGACCCTGTCTTTATAAATACAAAAAATTAGCCAGGCATGGTAGTGCACACCTGTGGTCCCAGCTACTTGGGAGGCTGAGGTGAGAGGATCGCTTGAGCCCTGGACATCGAGGCTCCGGTGAGCTGTAATCATGCCACTGTATTCCACCTGGGGCAATAGAGCAAGATCCTGTCTCCAGAAAAAAAAAAAAAAAAGACTCAGTGCAGGCGTGACCTCTTCCTAGAAGCCTCCTCTGTACTAGACCAGATGCCCCATGCTGCCTGTGTATTCCCAAACCCCACCGTGAATAGACTCAACTTTGTGTTTCGCTGCATGGCATTTACCTGTTTATGTATCTGCGACCCTCCCCTTCCCACCTACCTAGGCTCAGATTGCCTTAAGGTCAGGGATGGATTTATTTGTCTTTCTGTTCCCAGCACCTAAAAGAATCTATTCTATCCCATTTCCTCAATAGTTATTGGCAAGAACTTCTTCATCGAAATTACTGATTAACAAAACCACTTCTTCCCAGGACAAACTGGATTCCAAATAATTCCTCTCCTCACGCTAAGGATGCGCAGGCACTCAGTGAACAGCACTGCAGTAGGTGCTTTAGCGAATTTCCACAGTGATGGTGTTGAGGCACTATGAGATCTTAAGTGTCTTCAGAATCATCAAAGAATGGGTGAATCCATCAGACTTGGTGTATGGATATAAGATTACACGCCCTATATTCCCTTTGTTAATACGGTAATCTCATTTCACTTTTTTTTTCCTCTCCATATTACAAGAGCTGAGCTTCTTAAACTGGCTTTAAGTAATAAAATTACGGTACTTAGCCTCAAAACTATAGGTCCTTTTAACTGCTGGTGAAGAATAAGATGAAGAAAATGTTCTTTTCCTTGCAGCCAAGTGATTCTGGTTTGAGAGTTAATCAGCTCAGAATTTGATCTAACTGGGGGCAAGTGTTTTTTTCTTTCTCTGTGATAACTGTGGCTTCTCAGAGTGAGTAATCACACACTGTTGGGGGCCAAGGAGTAAAGGGAAAGGCCCCAGGGAGTGACATCCATGATCTACAGACATTGCCTTTCCGCAGGCGTTAGGTTATTCTGTCCCATTTCCTCAGTAATTATTAGAAATGACACCATCAAAATTGCTGAGGAACAAAATCATCTCTTCCCTCAACAAGCGGGAATCCAGATAACCCCTGTGTTCACTCAAAGGACAAACAGATGCTCATTAGTTTATTCTTATAGACTTTAGTCTCTTTAGAAAGTTGGTATCTAAATGTAGAATATGATCTTCAAGCTACTCAACACCCTGCCTTCCTGACAGGTCTGCAGATAATTTACATATTTTGCCTAAATGCACTGCTTGGGGCTCTTAGACTGCCTTTCGGGGCTTTTTGATTGTCTCAGATGAGTAACCTGGTGGCCTCCCAGATAATGAACTATGCTGATGTCAGCTCCCGTGCCAACGCCATCGAGAAATGGGTGGCAGTGGCGGACATCTGCCGATGCCTGCACAACTACAACGGCGTGCTGGAGATCACCTCGGCCTTAAACAGAAGTGCCATCTACAGGCTGAAGAAAACCTGGGCCAAGGTCTCTAAGCAGGTGAGCCTCAGCGTGTGACACAGCCTGCTGCTAAGAGGAGGAGAGGCTGGGAGATGGGAGCCAAGTTAAATATTACTAATTAGGAAATCATTAACTGAAATGAGCCGCTCAGTTGCCAAAGAAAGGTGCCAACATGGGTAATTACAGGGCTCTTACCACTTAATTGATTTCATTCATGTGCATTTCTAAAACATTCATTAAAGCATTTTGGGGGACAGCCACAAACAATGTGGTTGTCAGTCAAGAGTTGTTTCCTGAATTATTTCGGAGGGTACATTGATTTTGAGCAAGCACACTTATGTCCAGTGGGTCCATTCTTTCTCTCCCAGAGTGAGGGTGCAAACTCTGTGGGGCCAAAAGCCAGGGACAAAAGGCCTCATTTTTCACCTTTCTCTTGCTCATTCCTGTAGTAGATGTAAAGTTTTGGCATAATAATTTAGATGTGCAGAAATACAATTTTCATTTTCTTTCATTAATCTCAGCTTGCCTATGCCTGTCATTTTCACTCAGATAATTTCAAGATTCAAACTAAATCATGATTCTTCCCCTGCCCTTTCTCCTGGCCTTCTCCCTGGGTGTTGGGTGCCTTGGAGGGCATCTCTGGGCTTTTGGGCACCTGTCTGCTCCTCTGGCCTCCTGTGGTCATTCTTTGCTGATGATTCATTGGGTACAGGCTGCTGTGAATTGCCTGTACCTGGTGTCACCTGGCCTGCTTGCCCTGCCTGGGAACAATGCATGGTGATTGCACCCAGGGAGCCTGGCTGACCTCGTCTCAGGGGCGAGGGGGAAAGGGCCTCAAAGGGCCTCAGGGGAAGTTTCCAGGCTCTCACGTCCCATTGGTGCCAGAGAATAGAAGGGTCTACATCAGGCCCTCTCTGCCTAACCCTCCCCTGCCTTGCTGTGAACACCCAGAGTTGGTGAGGGGAATCTACAGAGTGCCACCTCCAGGGTCCCAGACCGGAAGATCTAGGTATGTTCTGCTGACATGGCCTAAAAACTGTCTCATTTTATCACCCTACTCTGAGGATTTAAGCCCCTCTCAGAGACACTCATTATTTCTTTTCCATCTTCATTTTGCCCTCCAAGCTTTTCCCTTTAGCATAGGAGAACAATTTAATTTCTCCATGTGGCAGGAAACCAAGCCTAAGTCCTATCTTTTATCTTACCTTTCTCAGAGTAAAAATGCAGTGCTCTGAGAATCCCAAATTTGGCCCCTTAGAACTCAAAAGTCCTCTTTTCTGTCAACAATGGACCTGGTAAATAAAAGCCACAGTTTTTAAAAATACTGGTTAAAAACAAAAAAACAAAAAAACAAACTTTTGTTTTGAGATGATTATAGCTTCACATGCAGTTGTAAGAAATAACGCGGGGATTCCCTGCACCTTACACCCAGTTTCCCCCAACAGCAGCATCTTGCACTACTACAGACAGTATCACAACTAGGAAATGAACATTGGTGCAATCCACCAGTCTTATCCAGATTTCACCAGCTTTCTAGGGATCACCAGCTATCACCAAGGGATCCCTAAATCTTAAAGTTTCCAGGCCCACTCCGTAGTTAAGTGATATTCTTGTCTTTGATAGGATGCTGGTTTAGGAATAACCGAACTGATCATGAAATAGAGATGATGAGACTAATATTGAAATGATTGTTTCAAAATTTGAATATACCATCTGTAGAGGCTCTAAATAAAATATTAGCATTTCAGTCACATTATAGGTCACTCACAGTGGCCTTAGCATGGGCTAGTGGACTGTCCCCCAGAGAGGCTGTCTCTAGAGCCAAGCGCCTTACTCCAGTCATGGTAGGTAGGGCCTGGTTGCAGATATACCCTGCTTCAGACACCTTTGATGACAACATCCGCTGTACAGCTGTCCCTTCTCTGCATCTGAGATCAGCCGGGGAGTTGTTCAGCAGGCCTGATAATCTGCACTCTGGAACCCACAGACTGGTCTGTTGCTGTAGGACAGGTTGTACTTTTGAAACTTTTTTGAGCAAGGTTAGCCCTGGACCAAGCATGCCATCTCTAAGAGCCCTCAGACACCAGAACTGGGAAGACAGCCCTTTGCCTCTCAGGAAGCTGTGCAGCTCCTCTCCAGGTGAGACAAAGTAGTTTGAGGACCCTCAACCTGGGCATTCCAAGTTCTTCTCCAGGCAGGACCTGGATCCTCCATGCCCAGCCACGCTGCCTGGATGTGGGTATTCCCAGGAATGGGTTATCCTCCCCAAGGGCCACCCTACCACTCTCCTATGTTCATGGAAGAAACCCCAGACCAATGTCAACAACAATGTTATTTCTCAGTAATTATCAGTTATACTTCTCTAACAAATGGATGAAGAAGATCACAAAAGAAAAGATCTGTAGTAGAGGACATTGCTTAGTCAATACCAAGGTAACCAAACATGTGCTTTAGTCATTTGGAGATTAACACTCTAAAGGGTTCATCGCAAAAGCTGTCTGACATGAGACCTCTCCTTTAAGATTCTATATTCGGCCTGGTGCAGTGACTCATGCTGTAATCCCCACATTTTGGGAGGCCGAGGCGGGCAGATCACTCGAGGTCAGGAGTTTGAGACCAGCCTGGCCAACATCGTGAAACTCTGTCTCTACTAAAAGTACAAAAGTTAGCCGCATGTGGTGGCATGCGCCTGTAAATTCCACTTGTCAAAAATAATTGACAAGCACATGCTGAATATAGAATCTTTTTTTTTTTTTTTTTTTTTGAGATGGAGTCTCGCTCTGTTGCCCAGGCTGGCATACAGTGGCGCAATCTCGGCTCACTGCAACCTCCGCCTCCCGGGTTCAAGTGATTCTCCTGCCTCAGCCTCCCGAGTAGCTGGGATTACAGGCATATGCCACCATACCCGACTAATTTTTGTACTTTCAATAGAGATGGGGTTTCACCATGTTAGCCAGGATGGTCTCAAACTCCTGGCCTCAGGTGATCAACCCGCCTCAGCCTCCCAAAGTGCTAGGATTCCAGGTGTGACCCACTGCACCCGGCCTACTTGTCAGTTCTTTAAGTGCCTAAGTTTTCTATCCGTTGCAGTGTTTCTTTCCACACATTTTTGCTCTCTTTTTGGCTAAATGTGTAGATACAGGCACTTCCTCTTCTCCATATGTTGTTAACATTAAATGTAAACATAATGCCCTGTCTCTACATCTTAGAATCCTATCACACAATGACCTTTATTCTGGCAAAGGTGTCAGCACCTGTCACCAAAGAAGAGAACTGAACATCTTTTGGCAATTCACTGTCTTTTTAAACCATAGTATTTTCATCACACTAAGTTTTTTCTTTTCTTTTTAGACAAAAGCTCTAATGGACAAACTTCAAAAGACTGTTTCCTCTGAAGGAAGATTTAAAAATCTTAGAGAAACCCTTAAAAAGTATGTCTATCTTAATTATTAAATTATTCATAATTCAGAAATATATTTACATAATGTATATAGTATACAAACAGTGACCTACCACCTACTTTGCTTTGAAAAGAAAAATAAATGGGAAACAACTTGTATCATCTAGGTATTTTTCTGATTGTCCTTATTATTTGGAATACTGTGCATACAGTAATTGTCTTATGGATATACTCATGGCATGCAGATTAAGAATTAAGAAGGTAATACCACCATAATAAATCGGACTATCTTTTACTGTAAAAATGTTCTTGATTCAGTTATTTCCTAATCTAAGCACAATTATTTCCTGTGAGTTTTATTTAAATATTCCAGCACCTGTTGATTATTATTTTTGATCTTTGGTTTCTAGATTATTCCCTTTCTACACACACACACACACACACGCACACACACACACACAAACACACACACACGCAGAGAGAGAGAGAGTTTGAGATTCTCCTGCAACTGGTATTCTCATGATCTACCACATGTACTTTGGAAAAACATGAGTCCTGTGATGGTATGAGTGAAAGCAAGACTAAGACTAATAATAATAATAATAGCAATAATAGCAACAACAGCAATAATAGTATAAGAACTAATTACCAAAGTATTTACTAAATGACAGGTTTCATGCTAAGTGCTTGATGTGTCTTATGTAAGCCTCACAAGAAATTCAAGAGATAAGCTTTTCTATCTCCATTTTACAGAAGAGGAAACTGCAGTTCAGAGAATGTTCCCAGTATCACTTAGTAATTGGTCAAGCTGGGATTTGAACCCAGCTCCTCCCGCATCAAAAGCCCATGTGCTTAGCCTCCGGCCTCTGAGAAGACCAAGTATACCCAGCTCTCTCTAAAAACCAAACAAAACAGTGTCTCACCTTAGTCTGAGTTGTGATGTTAAGTCTACACTTTCTAAAACATTTAAGTACCAACTAAAACAGAAAACAAGTTTTTACCAGTGCAAAGCTCTAACTGCATGGATTTTTCCATCTAGTTCATCAAGGCTGAATACTTGATTTAAAGAGGTAAGACCATAGAGGTTTCCCTCCAAGCTTCTACCCCTCAAAAAAGTGTGGGCAGTTTACAAGTATTGCAAACAATTACTGCTAGCAAATGCTTTGTATTTGTCTCTAAGATATCCTGTTGTTTGAATATGCCATTTTTTTTCAAACACGTAGTAAAGCAGGGGCTGTCATTTTGTATTATATTCTACTGTGAAATGTGTTTAAAATTCTGCGTATTATGAATATGCTTCTGAAACTGAAATAAAAAGGTTTTGCTCTTCAGTACCAAAGGAGGATACTTTAATCCTCCTTTGTTTAATTTGGGGAGGGAAATAGACATTTATTCAAATGAGTCTCAGAACAGTGCCTCTTGGTCTTGCAGTTGTAACCCTCCTGCAGTTCCTTATCTTGGGATGTACTTGACAGACCTGGCATTTATTGAAGAAGGAACACCAAACTTTACTGAGGAAGGCCTTGTCAATTTCTCCAAAATGAGAATGGTAGGTATAATTTCATAATTAGCCTGTTTCAATGGCTTTAGAGGTTTATAGAGAAGAGGCTAAGTAATAAAAGTCAATGTCTGCTTTTTTTTTTTCTCTTCTTTTTTTTTTTTTTTTTTTTTTTGAGAAACAATCTCAGTCTATCGCCCAGGCTGGAGTGCAGTGGCACGATCTCTGCTCACTGCAACCTCTGCCTCTGGGTTCAATCAATTCTCTTGCCTCAGCCTCCTGAATAGCTGGGATTACAGTTGTGTGCCTCATGCCCAGCTAATTTTTTTTTTTTTTTTGAGACAGAGTCTCGCTCTGTGGCCCAGGCTGGAGTGCAGTGGCGCAATCTCGGCTCACTGCAAGCTCCGCCTCCCGGGTTCACGCCATTCTCCTGCCTCAGCCTCCCAAGTAGCTGGGACTACAGGCACCTGCCACCACGCCTGGCTAATTTTTTGTATTTTTAGTAGAGACGGGGTTTCACTGTGTTAGCTAGGATGGTCTGGATCTCCTGACCTCGTGATCTGCCCGCCTGGGACTCCCAAAGTGCTAGGATTACAGGAGTGAGCTACCGCACCTGGCGACCAGCTAATTTTTATATCTTTAGTAGAAAGGGGGTTTCACCATGTTGGCCAGGCTGGTCTCAAACTCCTGACCTCAAGTGATCTGCCTGCCTTGGCCTCCCAAAGTGCTGGGATTACAGGCCCGGCCCAATGTTTGCTTTTTAATCTTGCGGTGGAAGAGGAGGTGGATACTGGGACTAATACCCGATGTGGGCTGATTGAGGAGATTTTTGGTCATGAAATCCTTACTTAAACCAATGTCTAGAAGGGTTTTTCCAATGTTATCTTCTAGAATTTTTATAGTTTCAGGTCTTAGGTTTAAGTCTTTAATCTATCTTGAGTTGATTTTTGTATAAGGTGAGAGGTGAGGATCCAGTTTCACTCTCCTACATATGGCTTGCCAATTATCCGAGCACCATTTGTTGAAAAGGGTGTCCTTTCCCCACCTTACGTTTTTGTTTCTTTTGTTGAAGATTAGTTGGCTGTAAGTATTTGGATTTATTTCTGGGTTCTCTATTCTGTTCCATTGGTCTACATGCCTATTTTTGTACCAGTACCACGCTGTTTTGGTGACTGTGGCCTTATAGTATAGTTTGAAATCAGGTAGTGTGATGTCTCCAGATTTGTTCTTTTTGCTTAGTCTTGCTTTGGCTATGTGGGCTCCTTTTTGGTTCCATATGAGTTTTAGAATTATTTTGTCTAATTCTGTGAAGAATGATGGTGGTATTTTGATGGGAATTGCATTGAATTTGTAGATTGCTTTTGGCAGTATGGTCATTTTCACAATACTGATTCTACCCATCCATGAGCATGGGATGTGTTTCCATTTGTTTGTGTTGTCTATGATTTCTTTCAGCAGTGTTTTGTAATTTTCACCAGTGTTTTGTAGAGGTCTTTCGATTCCTTGGTTAGGTATATTCCTAAGTATTGATTGAGGAGATTTTTGGCAAAGCCATTTCAGCATCCCCAAGGAGATGGGGAATCCAAGGATGGCTTCCTAAGACTGACCAGTGATAGACACTTGCTGAAGGCTTCTTGCTAAACAGCCAGGTTCTTTTTTTTTTTTTTTTTTAAAGACACAGTTCTGTTGCCCAGGCTGGAGTGCAGTGGCCAGTGACATGATCTCGGCTCACTGCAACCTCCACCTTCCGGGTTCAAGCAATTCTTATGCCTCAGCCTCCCAAGTAGCTGGGATTACAAGCCCACGACACCACACCTGGCTAATTTTTGTATTATTAGTAGAGACAGGGTTTCGCTGTGTTGGGGCCAGGCTGGTCTCAAACTCCTGAACTCAATTGATCCACCCACCTCGGCCTCCCAAAGTGCTGGGATTACAGGCATGAGCCACCATGCCCAGCCTGGACAGCCAGGTTCTAAGCACTAAGCTAGAAGCAAGGAGCCCACGGATGACAGCACCCAGAGCTTGCCTCTCCCAAACATGAGGCCACATATTGCCAGCTGTTCCCCAGTTTTGAATTCAGTATCTTTTTGCTTTTGGCATTTCATGTGCCTCCTTGAGAGTCAAGAAAGCACCAACCATAGGGAATGGTCAGGCAGGCTCCACCCGCCTCACTGGAGGAAGGGACTGACCCTTCTGGGAAGAGGCCTCAGAAGAATGTGCTGCAATGCAGGAAATACCTTTCTTTGCTTTTGTTGTTGTCATTTTGTTTTGTTTTTTTCTCTGTTAGATATCACACATCATCAGAGAGATACGCCAGTTCCAGCAGACTTCCTACAGAATAGATCATCAGCCAAAGGTAATATTATGTGGCTGTGAAGAAATTAATAAAGAAAAAAGGGGAAATTAATGAATTAGAAAACAACAGTAAAAGTTGATCCAAAATACCAAAAGCTAGCTCATAGAAAAGACCAGTAAAATAGAAAATCTTTGGCTAGTCTGATTAAAAAAAAAAAAAAAAAGAACATCAATTCATCATCAAGTTCTATTGATTTTACTTCTTATATTTCTTGTGAATCCTCTTCCATTTGTCTTCACTGCCAGAACCCTTGGTCCAAGCTGCCGATATCTGTTGCCTGCTCTACTTGCATTCACTCTAGGATGCAAAATTCATTCTACAAATTACAGCTAGGTAGAGCTTTCTGAAATGCAAAGTGGATTATTTTCTCCCTTACATAAAACATTTTCCTGGCTTCCCGTTGGTCTTAGGATTAAAAAAAATTAAGAATCTTTGACATGACTGTGAAGTCTCGCATTATATGGCCCCTACTTTTTTCTTAAGGTTCAGTTCACATCATATACCGCCTTACTGTCTCCATCCTAGTCACAAATGGTCTTTTACCCCATTTTTTAATAGACTTTACTTTTTTAGAATAGTTTTAGCTTCACAGAAAAACTGAGAAGGTAGTAGAGAAAATTCCCATATACCTCACAGCCAATGTCCCTATTATTATCTTACATTAGTATGATGTGTTTGTTTGACTTAATGAGCCCATATTGATACATTACTTTATTATTATTTTGAGATGGAGTCTCGCTCTGTCGCCCAGCCTGGAGTGCAGTGGCACGATCTTGGCTCACTACAAGCTCCACCTCCCGGGTTCATGCCATTCTCCTGCCTCAGCCTCCTGAGTAGCCCGCCACCACGCCTGGCTAGTTTTTTGTATTTTAGTAGAGACGGGGTTTCACCATGTTAGCCAGGATGGTCTTGAACTCCTGACCTCATGATCCTCCCGCCTCTGCCTCCCAAAGTGCTGGGATTACAGGTGTGAGCCACTGCTCTCAGCCAATACCTTATTATTAACTGAAGACCATCATTTATTCAGATTTCCTTATTTTTTACCTAATATCCTCTTTCTGCTCCAGGATCCCATCCAGGACACCACATGTCATTTAATTGTCAAAATTCTTTAGGCTCCTCTTGGTTGTGGTGGTTTCTTAGACTTTCCTTAATTTGGGTGGCCTTGACTGTTTTGAGGAGTAGAGGTCAGGTATTTTGCAGGATGGCCCACTGTGGAAATCTGTCAGATGTTTACTCAGGGTTAGCCTGGGGTTATGGGTTATTGGAAGGAAGACCCCAGAGGTGAAGTGCCATTTTCATCACATCATATCAGGGGTTATATTATCAACCTAATTTCTGACTGTTGATGTTAGCTTGAATCGCCTGGCTAAGGTAGTGTTTGCTGGGTGTCTCCACTGTAAAGTTATTCTTTTTCCTTCCTTCCTCATCCTGTATTCTTGGGAAGGAAGTCACTATGAACACCCCACACCTAAGGAATGGAGAATTATGCCTGCCTCTCCTTGAGAGCGAAATATCTACATAAATTACTTGGAATTCTTCTGCTCAAGAGATTTGTTTCTTCTCCATTTATTAATTTATTCAATCATTTATTTATATCAGTATGGACTAATGGATTTGATACTTAGGGTTGTCATCCAATAATGTTTTATTCTATTGCTGAAACTGTTCCAAGCTTGGCCATCGGGTGCTCTTTCAGTTGACCTCTTTGTCATACCCCAATCCATGTAGGGTTTTCTCTTTTTCTTTTTTGAGGACTTTCTTACTTTCTGATAGTATAAGATGCTCCAGGCCAGGTGCGGTGGCTCACACCTATAATCTTAGCACTTGGGGAGGCCAAGGCAAGAGAATCACTTGAGCCCAGGAGTTTGAGCCCAGCCTGGGCAACATAGTGAGACCCTGTCTCTACAAAAAGTGGCCGGGCGCCTTGGCTCACAGCTGTAATCCCAGCACTTTGGGAGTCCAAGGCAGCCGGATTACCTGAGGTCAGGAGTTCAAGACCAGCCTGGCCAACATGGTGAAACCCCATCTCTACCAAAACTACAAAAATTATCCAGGCATGGTGGCGGGCAGCTGTAATCCCAGCTACCTGGGAGGCTGAGGCAGGAGAATCTCTTGAAACCAGGAGGCAAAGTTTGCAGTGAGCCAAGATTGTGCCATTGCACTCCAGCCTATGCACTCCAGCCTGGGCAACAGAGCAACACGCTGACTCTGGAGGGGGAGAAAAAAGATGCTCTAGACTCATCTTTTATATTTTGCCCCCGTCCTAGTTTCAGATATTTCTGCCAAAAGCTCTAGTTCCTTTTTTTGGAGAATGGTTTCAGCAACCAAGATATGGGCTTTAGATATGCTTGCGTTATGGAGGTATCAGCTGACAGAGCATAGGAATCTATGTGTGTATAGATTTTATACACATCTATTTATAAATATATCTCTATGTAACCATCAGTATTTGTATTAAGCTAAATATACTGATGCCCCCAACTCTATTCTATTACCATGTGAATCATTCCAGCCCTCTCCCCACATTTGCTTATCTGTAAATTCCCTCTCCAACAGTGAGAGACACACTTTCTTTTAATAGCCCCTAGGTTTTGCCCTATTTCTGTCTGCCACAAGGCCTTTACCTATGTTCTTCCTTCTGTCTGGAGTGCCCTTTCTTCCTCATTGCACAGTTTACTTGTACACAGCTTAAGTATCACTTAGGAAGACTTTCCTAACTTTCCCAATCCCCACTCCACTCTTAAGGTTGTATTGCACCATGTAAGTCTCCTTTCTAGCACTTACTGCTGGAGTCACCATTTTACATTTATTTGTGTGATTATGTGCACATGCATGATATCCATGAAGTTCAGAGCTGGACCTACTGTGTTTATTGTCATAGCCCCAGCATCTTGCACAGTGCCTGGACCATAGTAGATAATAAATGTTTCTTGAATTAGTTAATTCAAGTCAGGAAAAAGACAAGGTTGTGACCATCACTGCTACTATTCAGATTTGAACAGGAAAAAATTCACCACGGCAATGAAGCAATAAAAAGCAAAAGGTATAAAAATTGGAAAGGTAAAGATTAAATACTATAATTCACAGACGATTTGATTTAGAAAATCCAAGAGAAAAATCTAAGAAAAACTGATAAATTACTAAAGGAGTATAGCAACTTGACATGCAAAAGCCAATTTTCAACACATTGGCAATAAGCAATTCAAATGTAATATAAAAAACCTCAATCAAAATAGCAACAAAATCTGTAATGACTAGGATTAAGTGGAACAGGAAATATGTAAGACCTTTATGTACTGAAGTACGTAAGGAGAAAGTTGTATCATATTCATGGATCAAAACACTTACTATTGTAAAGAGGTCCATTGTCCTCAAATTAATCTATAAATTCATTGAAATCCTGGTCAAAATCCCAACAGGTTTTTCATGGAACTTGACAAACTTATCTTGAAACTCTTAGGGAGGCATAGATAGGCAAAAAACAGACAAGAACTTTTTGGTAAATAAGAATAGTAAAGGAGAGTGTTCCCTACCAGTTATGGCCACATCCTAAAGTGAGAGTAAATAAGGCAGGACTCAGCCGGGCGCGGTGGCTCACGCCTGTAATCCCAGCACTTTGGGAGGCCGAGGCGGGCGGATCACAAGGTCAGGAGATCAAGACCATCCTGGCGAACACGGTGAAACCCTGTCTCTACTAAAAATACAAAAAATTAGCCGGGCGTGGTGGCTGGCGCCTATAGACCCAGCTACTTGGGAGGCTGAGACAGGAGGATGGCGTGAACCCGGGAGGCGGAGCTTGCAGTGAGCCAAGATTGCGCCACTGCACTCCAGCCTGGGCGACAGAGCGAGACTCCGTCTCAGAAAAAAAAAAAAAATTCAGGACTCTACTGGCACAGCAGTGCAAATCCAGTAGGGCAGAAGAAAGTCCATGTGTGTGTTTAGTCTACCTGAAAATCTAATACGAGATAAAGAAGGCACTCAAAGAAAGTGCCAGAAAGAAACTGACCATTCAATAAATAGAACAGGAATTTTGGCTCTCCATCTTACCATTCACAAAAATAAATTCCAGATGAGTTCATTACCTAAGTTTAAAAAGTATTTATATTATTTGAATAAAATAAAGGATAAAATATTCATGACCTTTGGATTTGAAAGACCTTCTTAAGCACAGAATGCAAAAGCTGTGAAAGCCAAGCTTGATAAAGTTAATGAAAATTAAGGACTTCTATATGACAGAGGACCATTATTTAAAAATCAAAATATAAGCAGTAGACAATGAGACAACATTTGCAACATATACAACAAAGAAACAGAATAAAAGTGTTTCCATAATCTATAAGAAAAGCATAAACAATTCAACTGGTAAACCTGTGAATAGTTAATTCATAGAAGAAAAAAAATGACCAATAAATATTTTTTAAATGCTCAACTTCACTAGTAAAAAGAGAAAATGTAAATTAGAGTGGGACATCGTTTTCACTTATCGGATTGACAAAAATTTAAAAGATTGATAATATCAAACATTGCTTAGGGTATAGGAAAACAGGTACTGTCATGTACTGTAGGTGCGGAAGCTTTGCAGGTCATTTTCCATCATCATTTAAAATTAAAAATTGGTATATTGAATTACTGGAACTCTTACCATTGTTGGTGAGAATAAAATCGAACAATCACTTTGCAAAACTGTGCCATTTAGAAGTTTCTTAAAATGTTAAATGAGCACTTATCTTAGGACCTAGCAATTTCTCTCTTAGGTGTTTATCCAAAGGGAAAATGAAAGCATGCTCATTAAAAGCCTTGTATAAAATGTTCATAACATTTCTAAATAATAGCCCCTATTTGGGAAGAGCTCAAGTGTCCATCAACAGATGAATGGATAAACAAATTATGGTATATCTCTACAATGGACTACTACTCAGCCATGAGAGGGAGCAGACTACTGGTACAGGCCACAGCAAGGCTGAATCTCAAAACACTATGCTGAGTGAAAGAAACCACACATGAAGGAGTACACACTGTATGATCCCATCGATATGAGGTTCCAAAATAGACAGAACTAATATGTGGTGATAGAAACCAGGGCAGTGCTTGATTCCAAGAGCAGATTGACCGAGTAGGTGCATGAAGGAACTTTTGGGGATGCTGAAATTGTTATCATGAAATGTATGTAAGTTACATGGTGTATACATGTCAAAACAGATCAAACTATCTATTTCACTTTTGTGTGTTATATTTCAATAAAACTAAAGAAATATTTTCATGAAAATCCCCCATGCCCCAACATATTCATTTCTAGTGTCAATTCCTTTCCTTTCACTTCTGATATCTACCCTAGCCTAGCAGAGTATTCACGCATGCACTCCAGGAAGCATGCTAACAAGGAATTCACTGAAACTTTGTGTAACAGTGAAGTATTGACAGCAACTCAACATCTATCAATATGAGATTATTAAATAAGCTCCAATATATTGCACTATTAATACTGTATAGCAGTTAGAGCTCTATCTACTGTCACAGGGAGCTCTCTCCAACCTATCATTAAGAGATGAAAGCAGAATAAAATGTGCACCATGGTGCCAATTTTAGGGGGAAAAATGATTTCTGTAAGTACATGTAATCTCTATAAAGACATAGAAAAACAACTGGGAGAAAACAAACCAATTAGTAACAGTAGTTCCTCTTGAGGGAGGTACCTGGGATTGGGGGTTGAGAGAGGACTAGAGATGTTCACCTTTTTTTTTTTTTTTTTAACAATGGAAACATATTTATGATTTTTTGGTCAAATAAGATTTTTAGTTGTTTAAGAGAAAATGTTGAATTGTGTTAGATTCCGTCAGAAAATGTACGCACTGGTGTCTGAAAGAGGTAAAAGCTGGGACTTCCCCTTTTTTTTCAGGTCGCACAGTACTTGCTTGACAAAGACCTTATCATAGATGAAGATACGCTATATGAGCTGTCACTAAAAATTGAACCTCGACTCCCTGCTTGAAGATCTGGCCTTGCCCCTGAGTCCACGGGATGTTCATGGAAAGCAGGACAGACAGAATTGTGTATGCCTTGCCTATCACGGTACAGCACGAAGCCAGGCTCCTTTCTCCACCAAAGAAGATGGAACCAGACTGGAATTCTGTCTCCAGAGAGAAACCCAGCTGTTTGGGTCAAAGACAGATGCTTCAGACTTGGGTGGGAAGGTGAAAGATGGCTATTTAGAAAGCTGGTGGCACGTTTTACATAAGGGAATGTCAGATGGGAGATGCTAGTTGCCATTTTAACAAAGCAGGTAAATCGGTAAATTTTAAACTCTGTCCATGTTCTGTTAGAACTCAGGGACAAGGATCCATGAAAAAGACCTGTGATGTTTCTCTGGCGCTTTACTGGCCTGGGCACACCTACCAATCTTCTAGGATTTGACTGGTTCCATTACATTTCCTTTTGGTATAAGCTTCACAGAAAAGCTGACACTTCCTCTACAGAGATGGACCAAAACATAAGCAATTTCAGTCTACAGCATGTGCATGGTTGTCAGTGCATTCTAAATATTTCTATGTGAGGAATGGTACCTTCTGAAACTGCCTTTCCAGTCTTTAGGCAATGGGATAGGAAAGAAAGAATGAAACACAAATGGATTTGTATGTAACATTTCCTTAATTAAATGCAGTAGGCTGTGCCCCAGAGGATTCCAGACAGTGGCTGGCTGAGGTGGGTGGGGAGCTTTTCCTTGAGACTGTTGGTCCTAAGAAGCCAGCCCTTTTGGAGAGGCAGCTGCAAAAAGGTGCACGCCCATCTCACCGACAAAACTGTGGAACAGAAGGCCACCAAGTGCTGTGGGGAATCATGGGTTTCAGTGCTGAGTGAAAATCTATACCTAAAAATCATCTCTGCACCTTGCTTTGTTTGTTTTCTTTCCCCACTCATAGTACTGCAGGAATCTATTCTCATTTACACAGACCTTTTTTTAGGCTTACTATGAACATTGGCTGTATTTTTTTTAAACAGTTTAGTGAAATTTTCTTTTCAAAACCCACACTTCCATATGCTGTTCGTAGATCTCTTTCTTTAAAAACTGATGTTGAGAGATCTCTGAGAATATTATAAGTGCATGGGAAATGGGCCCAACCACCGAACAGCTCTTACATTACAAAACCAAATGCAAGGGTTAGTCCTGCTACCTGAGGCTGGGGAAGTGACCTTCCTTTTCCCAAGATTGTCAGTTGTTGAAGAAATAGGGCTATCTCATTGTTTACCTCCCTCTTCTCTTCTCAGGGAGACTGCTGCTTTAAAAGAAGGAAGAGAAAAAATATAGTTCTATTTCCCTGAACCTGTTGCACCTGACATTTTCTCTTAGCAGCATGAAACTTATTGATGCTGACAATGAAAAATGGATCTGTCTGGCTGCTTTCCCTCTTTCCTTGCACTTTAATTATGTTGCTAGAGCTAACAGACTAATAAATTCCACCTGCTGGCTCTTAAGACTCAGTGAAAGAGCTAGCATTGGTAATGCACCATAGAGGTAGAGAATGTACACTTTCTGCACGGTAAGTGCCATCTCTGTATGTAACTATATAGTGAAATATCAACTAAGTAAAAGAAAATATAATATTTGAAGACCATTCCCAAAATATTTTCAATAGTTCATATTAGCCAACAGTGTAGCACTCAACCCAAGGAGGGTTCCTTATGGATGCTTTCTTTTTCTTTTTTAAAGTTGCTTGTTTGTTCTCTTTAGTTTCAAATAAGAGGTTGACGCATCTTGATGCATGATGAGAAGCATGGGCTGTTTGGATCCTAACAACGCATAACTTGTGATTTATTTCTCAGTGCTCCAGAAACTGAGGGTTTGAAATAATATGTATCAGTTGCACCAAACACCTCAAGGTCTTGCAGAAGAAAAGTAAAGGTTAGCTTTCATGGCTCAAAAGCATAGTCCTGAAGGGTGAACTAAAACCGGGACAAATCTGTGAGAGGACCACACACATACTAGTTTCGGGCCAAACAACACGTGGAAAGGTGCATGCATTCTACTCTGCCTTGGAGTTGCCAGAGTCCTTCAGAGGGAAAGGGATGGTTCTGTGTGCACTTTTTCTGGAAGTTCGGACTCATTTCTTTGACCCAAATGTTCCAGAGACACTGCAGCCATTCTTATTAACAAAAAATAAGACAGGAGTTTCCAAATGCTCCTTCCCTTTTGGATCGCAGCTTTTCTTCAACTAGTGACAAAGCTTTTGCGCCTATTTCCTGCAGGATGTTGGAACTGCCCCGCACTGGTCATATTAGGCACTGTCAATTGCTATGCTGACTTTTAGGGGGTTTTTGTTTGTTTGAAAAACAGGGTCTCACCATGTTGCCCAGGCTGGTCTCGAACTCCTGGACTCAAGCAATCTTCCTGCCTCAGCCTCTCAAGCAGCTGGGACTGCAGGGGTGTGCCACTCACTAGCCTTTCGCATTTTTGTTTGAGAATTACACCACTTTCTGGAGTCTGCAGCCTTCCTGGAGCTGCAAGAGGGCAAGAGAGAGAGCTCCACCTCTGAGGGAGTGTCTGTTGATGACCTGCACTATTCGTGTGCCAGCTGGGAGAGGAATGCACATTTTAAAATCCCTTCAATTTGGTCAAATTAAAAATCCCCAAGAGCAATTTGCAGTGTTTTTTCTGGTCGTTAAAGTACCCATCCTCTTCTGCCTACACACAAAGCATGCATTCCCAGCTGCATCTGCCTCTAGTCCATTATGGAGACCCATTTCTAAGAGGAGATGGGAGGTCAACCTCTAACAGCCAAGTAGCGAACATGTATACTGTAAAATTAACCTAGAAAATCAGAAGAAAAATCCAATTTCATGCTTTCGAATGAATGCCCACATTTTGTACTGTCAACGAAATTATCTTGGAGCTTTTAGGGGATGCCTTTTCGTTATTAACTGAGACATCTAGTTTTGCTACAGGGACAAATCTCTTACCTAATCCAATATATTATTTGACAGATTCAGGCATGAAGTAAAACGTCGTCACTTTTCCTTAGTGCTTTTCTGAAGGAATTTAAAGACGGAATTTTAAACGGCCATTGCAATATTTTCAAGTGGCTCTCATACCAAGTCCCATTACTGTTTGTTAAATTTCAGTACGTCTTAAAGTACTACTTATAAACAAATGAAACTCAGAGAAACTGAATCACCTGGAAGAGAAAAATCCATTATGGTCCCATGTGGAGTGAATAATGATGGATCAGCACCCTTTCTCTCATGTTATTGTATAAGACGAGACTTTTGGGCCAGCAGCGATTGGGCAGCTTTTAAATTCTTAACTGAAAAGAGTAATGCAATACAGGGATTATTCCCAATAAAATTAACTTTTATTTAAAAGCAAGAGATTTTACTTAGCTTTTTTTTTTCAAAGTTTGATTTTATCCCCTTGAAAAAAAATCTCTTCACTTTAAAGTATAAAGGTTTTTAAAAATCCAATTGCAAAATGTATTATTTTTACAACTATCGAAAAGGCATAAAAGAGAACATACTATTTATGGCTGAAGGGTATAGCCAGGCTAATGTGCACAGAGGGAATCAATAAATAAAACTCTTTTTCATTTCAGTAAGAAATCAGATTGTAAGTTTAATGGCTCCATTATAGATACCACCGTGTAATAGAAGACTTAAGTCAATGAAATCTAATCAGTGTGTCATTTCTCAGCGGCCATTGGTGACTTAAAATTAAGATGAGGCAGAGCCAAAATGGAAAACAGTCATTTTGTTGTAGGTATAAACACATGAACGATTCAGAAAATTATTCATCTCAGCTGCCATGCAGCATGACATTAACATTAGGATTGATAGCACTAGTCTGATCTGCTCAAGGAAAATAATAGTTCTATTATACTTAATGATGTTGGTTTTTACACAGCTCATTTCATTTTTCACTAGAAAGCCAGTTATGAAAGAGAGCTGGCCTAGGCATCCCGGCCCTGAGTCCTAGGCCCAGTCTCCAACTGGAAAACCTTAGGCTGGTGTTTACACATCCCTGAGCCTCAGTTTCCTCATCTGCAAAACGGTGTGAATAGTAATCCCTGTGCTGCTTATCTCACAGGGCTATTGTGAGGACCAAATGGATTAGACTGTAAACTGCAAAGTGCTGTCCGCACATGAGGTCATCTGATTACTGTCCTCAGATCTCTTTTGTAGAGGATTTCAATGTATTTCTTTATCATTTGAGTGTGTGTGTGATGGACGAATATGTGTGTGAGTTTGAGAAGCATATCGTTCGTGTCCAGTTACTTTGCAAATTTGTGGACATTTGTGATTGGACAGAGGGGTTTGTGCTGTGGCCTAACACTTGCCAAGTGAGGTGTAGGTTATGCCTATATGCAAATTAAACTTCACCTTTCTTGAATATTCAGAAATCTCACTGGTTTCTTCATTTAACTCTTTTTCCCCCCATTTTTCTACATTGTCAACTTAAAACCATGAAATGTATACATTTAGAAAAAATAGAACTTAATTTCTTATAAAGGGTTACAATCTGCAGGCTGGAGCCTCTGGCCAAAGCCAAAAGCAAGCACTTCAGATAAAAAAGGGAGAGGCTGAGATTTATGCCCAACAAGATGAGCCTTACATATACATTTAGTAGGTTATAGGATAATCTTATGAATATTTATGAGAGGCCCTAATGCATGCATAGCCAGTAATCATATATGTTACATGTTACATACAACCCATGTTCACTTTGGGATGGAGACTTAAAATGTAGTAAAATTGGGCTCTATATGTCAAAAGATGGAACACAGGGCACAAAGACGCTTGGTGTGCAATCTCTGTAAACCGGCCAGAACCGGCTGTGGTCTGTGGTCAGTTATGAGGATGGAGTGCTTTGTAAGGCTGAACACTTGTCAGGGGGAAACTGCGTTGAGGGAAGGGGGGGTTCGCCACGTCAGGTTGTCTGTTGAAGTTGAGGAAGAAATCTTCCAGACATAGTTTTTCAGTAACTGGTTTTAGTTTAATTTTAGGAAAGAAAGTCTTGAGGCAGTTATCGAGGTGGGAGAGCGTTGGGTGTGACTGACCTCTTGCCTTGCCAAAGCTGTAGAATCTGGTTTTTAATGTTTCCTGGGGTCTCTTTTTACCACAATGAGTCTGTTTTGTTTTGCTTGGGGGCCTAGGGGCTTTATTTTTATTTTACATCTTCTTCATAGCAGTGAACTCCTTCAGATATATTATTTACTTCTAAATATTACTTCTAAAGTTCAGGGAGAAAAACAGTTTAGAAGAGGCCCTAAAATTCAAAGAATTTGGGGAAAGCTTTGAAATGATACGAAGGATCAACTAATCACACTTTCTTTGCAGTGCTTAGATTCTTCCTGTGACATCCCCAGCCTATATTTGATACCTCCAGGCACAGAGAACTCACTACTACCTGGAACAGCTCAGTCCATTGCACAGCAGCTCAACGCTCCTGAATGGGTGGTGGAGAGAGGAGAAGCCGCCAGGGTAGAGTCCTGGCCTAATAGTCACCAGGCTCCACCTAGGAGGGGCTTCTGAAATAAGACTCCTGTCTACCCCTAAAATAACTGCAGTGGTTATATGGATTACTATATATGAAAATACTTTAACTTCTATGAAGTTGTGGCAACATTTAGAGCTGATGGAATTAAGTTACAGTTGCTGGACACAAGAATAGACTAAGGAAAGGGGTCCCTCCTGCCCAATTCTGAAATGAGCAATCCAGGCTGGTGCGACAGAGGAACCCAGGTTCCTTTCATCCTATTACTTGCTCATCCCACAAGGCGTCATCCTTGCCTTCGAGGTCAAATCTGGGGCCTGCTCTAGCCACACTCCTGCTGGACTCAGGAACAGAAAAGAGAATAAGTCCAGGACATTTTCCTTTAAAGCAAATGATATGGCAGTCGCACACTTCAATTCTGTTCCTGCCCTTATGGCAGAAGCCAGCCACAGGGCAGCCTGGTGTGGCTAGAGCCCCAGAGCTTCAAAAGGAGTTGGTAACGATGAGAAGGGAATAGATGCCATGTGACAGGGATGGCATTTGAAAGATTTCCAGAAAGCCAGAATTTCTACTGTGAGTCCCTTGTAGAGATTTCATCCCCATCACACCACCTTTATAATAAGCTTGAAGAGGACCAGTCCCCCAAAAGAAGGGTGGTACCCTCTTTTCTCAACAATGACCCAATTTTTCTTCTGACCTTACTAACATAAACATTTACTCTATAAAATATAAGGTGTTGAGGTCGGGTGAGTGGAGGGGGCCCTAAATGTTGATTAGGCAATTGGGGAGGAAAAGGAGGTTTTTGCTATAACTGCCATTCTTTAAATCTACAATTCCATGCTCTTTAAAAGCCTTATAATTTTCTGGATCTGGGAGCTGGGCTATTTCAGGGTCAATGGATTTATTTCAGTTGGTGCCTGAACTGACTTGAAACAAGTGTGTGTGGAAAAGAGCTATTTTGAGAAGGAATAAACCGAGACTGCCCTGATGATAGAATATGCAAGCTGGTGGGTCTTGACTCCTTAAAGGATTATGAAATTAATTTGATTGGTCCCAATCTTTATATAACCACCCCAATCAGGAAACTTCCCATCCCGCCAAAAGGCCCCCTCACGTGCTCTCCCTGTCAGTACCCCATGCAAAGGTAAAATAGATGATATTTTTAAACATGGGTCGTGTTTAAAAGAAATGGAAACTCCTTCAGAGAATGAAGGAGAACCACACTGGGTAGAAGGTTATTCCTGGGGCTCCACCCCTTGCTCCATCAAGTCCTCTGAGCATGAGCTGGGCTCTGAGAAGGAAGAGACAGGAACCAATTGGTCATGTCCACGTGGCCTCAGAAGCTGAGTACGTGACGGTCACCAGATGCCTAGGCAGGCTCCCTTGAAATGGCAGGGCTGCTGTCCAAAATCCTGCTGGGTCATTGCTATTTACAGGCAGCCTTCCCGGCGTGCGGTGGATATCCCAAGCGGGGCTATTTTTAAGCAGGGCTATGGCCTGCCGTGGGTTAAGCTGGTGTGGACAGAAAGCGAGATGATCTAGCCATCTACTGCAGGGGGCCTGATCTTGAACAGAAACCTGACTGTAATTGTCCCTGGATCCAGGTCCCAGACAAAGACGCTGGAAGGAGGTCCCTCCAGCCCCTGGCTCAGGGCCCGGTCAGCTGCTGGAGCCAGGCAGCTTGAGACATCCTCCTCTCCGACCTTGGCTTGAGGGGTTCATCCTCCAGAGCTCACCAGGGCCCCAAGGCTGGTACACCTGAGAGAAGAGAGAAACAAATCCCCCAACAGATGTGCAATTTCACCTGCTGGCCCTTCCATTCTGAGATCCAGAGCCCTGGCAAAGGAGCCTCCAGGACCAGGCCTGGGAAGCAAGACTGGCTCCGCCTTTTACGTTTCAGAGAAAGGGCAGGTGCTATAAAGGGCCCAGCGCCCACGGGCCTGCCTTCAAGGGTACAGCTGTGGGGGCCGGTGCGCCCGGAGGTCTACGCTGGGATTGGTGAGGTCCTCTGGCCCCGCCCCGCCAGGGAGGATTTCCAGGCCGGCCCGACCAGCTCGCCCTGCATACACTTCTTGGCTGTGTGCGCTCAGCAGGACGTGGGAGGCTCCGGCTTCAAGGTCGGTGAGTCCGTGAAACTCTGCTTTATTCCTCCAAAGAGGGGTCATGGCTAGAGCCAGTGTGAAGGGCCTTGGAGGAGTGGATGCCGGGCTGTAGACGGGGACCCCGTTAGGACGCTGACTGCGAGGAGGCAATGGTGACTCGCTAAAGCCAGCAGAGCTCCCGCCCTTGGCCGAAGCGACCCCTCCTCCCTGCACACAGGTGGGGGCAGCTCAGCACCAGGAGCAGAACAAATCAGCACGCTGCCTGCAGGGCCTCTTTTTGGTAGTGAATCAGGAATTTTTCTCGATGGAAAAAAAAATCTAAAGGCTGTATTTTGACGCTAAGTTTGGGACAACTTTAAACTTAAAGTGTCTTTCCCTTGTAATTCACAGAGTCTAATCCACTCATTTCTGGGAATGTTTTTCCCCAGCAGTCTCAGTCTCAAAAGACATGTAAATCAGTGACTTGGGATGAACTAACTAGAAAATTAAAATTTTGAGAAGCTATTTGCTCATAAGCCCAATAGCCAGGCCCAGTTTAAACGGGCAAATAGTATTGCTAGAGATTCAGTTTTGCCGTCACTAATACTAACACATTGATAATGAGACAAGTAACCGTCTCCCCTCCCCACCATCCTTACCTTTCCCACCGGAGGTTAATTAAAAAAAAAAAAAAAAAAAAAAAAACCTATGGAATTGGCCCCACGTGTTTCACCTGGGCAGAGGCCTGTTCTTCACTAGCTTGCTTGCTTGGTTGGTTGTCCCGGGGTTAAAATCAGTCCTGTTCTTGCCCCTAGAGTGGTCTGCCTTCAAATGCTCTCCTCCGAATGTGAGGAAGAGTGACATTTGACAAACAGACCAAAACCTTTAGGTCTCCTCAGTGCTGCCCTTTAGACCTTCCAGAAAGTGTTGCCAGGCTCGTGACCCCTCACAGTGTCAGCTGAGTCAAGTGAGGGGCAGTTAGTGGCCCTCAGGACAAGGTTACGCTAGGTACACCAGTGTGCTGTTTCCAGAAGGGCTGCTTTTCCTGTCTACGGCTCTCACATTTTCTCTGTTCTGAACTCGTGTCCTTGGTCTGTTCTCTCTGTCCTCTCATAGAGGCGAGCATGGCCACAGCATGTGGCCAGAGACTTCCTGACAGGCAGGCTCTTCCGGGAGGCTCTTGGCCTTGTTTGGCGGTCTGAGCACTTCACTTCCTCTGCATTGATAGGCACCTTTTCCAAAGACCCCAGACTTTGGAGTTAATCACGCCTGTGGGTTAAGGCACTGTCACAGCAAAGCACAGGAGTGCCACATGCACCCCATGGACTCTGCCAGCCTCATGACCAAATCATATCATTAGGAAATGGGCCATAGGCAGGTCAGTTTTCCTAAGGAAACTGTGGGTTGGGTCGGGGGGAGTACCATACAGAATGGGGAGTCCTGGGGTTTCAGACACAGGAGGGAGACTGACTTTGCCCCTAGCTCAGAGGCCCTGGGCCTCCATCTCTGCCATAGCCTACAGCAGGCTCCATTTGTCTTCCCAAAGGAAGCCACGTAGAGTCTGTGTCAAGCATTCTGGGAGCTCCTGCCCACAGAGCCAGGAATCCAGCAGCAACCCATGCTGAAGGTGACTGCTGGAGGTCACACTAACCCTTGCCAGGAAGCCTCAGAGACTCCCTCCCTTGGGCGGGGAAGAAGGCAGCCCACTTCACAGCACTTCAAAGGACTAGATGGCTCCTAGCTTCCTGTTTTCTTGAAAACAATTTACCCTTGAGGGACAAAGTCTGGTAACGGTCCCATGCCTTCATCACAGGAGGCCTAGGAAAGGCCTCTGTTTTACAGAGTAGGATTCTAAATATCTCCTTCCTGCCTAGGACTGTCTATTTGCTGAGTAGAACAGTAATGCCAAGAGTGCCCATTAAGGTTGGCTGCGTACTAAGTGGTTTTGAGGTAACGCACACCCTTTGCTATCTTAGAACTGGGAGGAGACAGGCATTTTCTGCGGCCTAGGAGCCTGGCATCGTGAGAATTTGTTCAGAGTGTTCTGTGGAGCTGGTCCAAGCCCAAGGACATCCTCTGTTTTGGGGTGGCTCTCTGGATGGAAAGCTGACACGTGGTCCTCCTCCTGCCCTTCCACCTGCCCTCTGGCTGAGGAGTTCAGACACATGGACGCTGTGAATGGCTGGACCAGAAATAAATCTGAGTCAGCAGAAAGGCAGACATGGTCCATCCGGGATGCCCAGGAAGAGCAGGGGGCTCGGGCTGGAGGCAGTGACAGAACCCAAGGCCTCCTCTTCACATTCTAGGATGTCACAGAACCAGAGAAGAGCATTAAGACCAGGATCTGAACTCCCAGTATACCTGCCTGGGACCAAGAAATGTACAGCTTGTGGCCACTTAACAAAAGGGCTTGATGTAGCTGTCGTTGTTTTTTTAATGCGGAGGGCAGTGTAGGAACAAACAGGATATTATTGCTTTTGGCTCTGTCTGGCTGTGCTCTTGCACCTCCCCATCGCTCCAAATCTCCCTGGCTTGGAGCCCAGGTATTCTGCCAATTTTAGCCTAGATGCTGTAAGCAGTGTTTTTCAATTCAGGAGTCATTGTGGTGTTCCAGGTTAGGGAAACTGAGGCAGAAAGCTTCTATGGGGTGAGAGCTGGAGACCACCTTCCTCTTCACACTGGCACAGCATCCCTAGCAAGGCCTGGCAGGCACATTGAGCACTAGAGTCAGAGTGGAGCGGGCAGAGATATCCCTGGCGTCTGGGTTACTTCAGCGGGAGCCTGAGGACAGGGAAAGAGAACAAGTTTATAATCTGCAACTTTAGAAGTCATATGCCCTGAGGTGACAATCCTGTGCCTAGGAGCTGCTGTGTTAAATGCACTTCTACGGTCTTGGGGGTTTGACTGAGTGGAATGATCTGTGGCACCACAGGTTTTAAGCCACAGGGGTGGTTTCCCTCCAATTGCTGGTCAGTGAAGGGCTGTATGTGAGGTGCTGCGGTCTGCAAGGAAGCTGAATCCAGTGCAAAAGACAAACCTGGGTTCAAATCCCAGCTCTACTAGTGTGCTGGCACTGAAACCTGGGGCAGGTCACTTCTCTTGAGCCTCTGTTTCCCCATGCCCAAAATAAAGCATACTTGGCAGGATTGTTACATAGACTGATTGTGTTTGTAAGGTCCCTTACATAATGCATGGCTCATGATAGGAGCTCATAAATGCTCAAAAAGAAGACAGAAGGTTTGACTCAGTCGGTGTATAGGGTTGGAAAGGATATTCCAGGGGAAAGAAAACACTCAAGCAAAGGCTCAGAGGTGGCAAAGTGAAGGACCTGTTCAGTGATGCCAGGAAGTCATTGGAGACACTGTTGGAGGGGTGGAGTCTGGAAGAAGAACTGGGGAGCCCAATTGGTTAAATCCATTTTGTGAACCCCGATGTTGGTTTTCAGAGGATGATCAGTAGATCTGAAAGTATGTGATAGACACCTTTGAAGTCTTGTCCGCAGAGATAGAAAATACAAATTAAAAGAAGGCAGCTGTG
Organism: Homo sapiens; assembly: GCF_000001405.40. NCBI lineage: Eukaryota > Metazoa > Chordata > Mammalia > Primates > Hominidae > Homo > Homo sapiens. The sequence continues at coordinate 81,236,879 of NC_000005.10, forward strand.
GTGGTTCACACCTCTAATCCCAGCACTTTGGGAGGCTGAGGCAGGTGGATCACTTGAGGTCAGGAGTTCGAGACCAGCCCGGCCAACATGGCAAAATCCCATCTCTACTAAAAGTACAAAATTAGCCACATGTGGTGGTGGGCGCCTGTAATCCCAGCTACTTGGGAGGCTGAGGCAGGAGAATTGCTTGAACCCAGGAGGTGGAGACTGCAGTGAGCTGAGATCGCACCACTGCACTCCAGCCTGGGTGACAGAGCGAGACTCTTTCTCAAATTAAATGAAACATTTAAATGCGAAAAATGTAAGTTAAAATCAAAAAGCATTCAGAAAAGGGGCAGGCCGAGTGCTGGCTGGAATAATCAGGTGTGGCTTTGGGGAGGGAGTGATGATGATCCCATAGCCTTAGGGTCATCAGGGGAAGGGACTCATTTATTCAGTGCCTACTGCAGCCTGTCCCGTCGTCTTCACAACACCTCACAGGGAGACCTCATCATGCCCATGATGGGGAGGAGCTGCTGAGGCTCGGGTGGGTACCAAGCAGGGTTCCTACACCTAGCGGGGCTTGGTAACATCCTGTAATCGGGGAGCTTTTTCTCATTATACATGTGAGGGCCCCACTCTTGGAGAGACTCATTCAAAAAAGGTGGAGCCTAGAAATCCAAAATTTTAACACACATCAAAATTTTCTTTTTTAGGTTTTTACTTTTTTATCATAAAGATAACACATGCTTATTTTTACAAGTGATACAATACAGAGTTCCATTAAGAGAAAATTAATCTGCCTTCTCCGAGTCCGTTACTCTGAAGCAACCCTTTTAGCAGTTTGATGAATATCCTTCAATACTTTTATGTTCATACAAATACATGAAAATGTATATGTATATATACATCATTGTTACAAATTGCAACCGCTCATATTCAGTCCTAAGCAAGTTTTTCTTTTCCTTTTAACCTAAAAAGGTGTCACAGATGGGCCTCCAGGTAAGTGGAGGCAGTTTTAACTCCTTTAATAGCTGCAGAATATTTCACCATCTGAATGCACCAGCATTTGTTGAGTGGCAGTGCTGGGCTTCTCAAACTATCTGTGGCAAAATCTCTTATTAATTTCTAATCCATAGCAGACTCACACATTTGTAAAATATGATAAAGTGCAACTATTAGAAAAAGAGAATAAGGCTGGGCGTGGTGGCTCACACCTGTAATCCCAGCATTTTGGGAGGCCAAGGCGGGCAGATCACGAGATCAGGAGATTGAGACCATCCTGGCTAACATGGTGAAACCCCGTCTCTATTAAAAATACAAAAAATTAGCTGGGCGAGGCGGCAGGCGCCTGCAGTCCCAGCTACTTGGGAGGATGAGGCAGGAGAATGGCGTGAACCCGGGAGGCGGAGCTTGCAGTGAGCAGAGATCGCGCCACTGCACTCCAGCCTGGGCGACAGAGCGAGACTGTCTCAAAAAAAATAAAAAAACAAAAACAAAAAAAAACCAGGCATATAAAATGCCAGCTCAAAATTTAAAAAGTAAAATGACTATCAAAGTGCTGTAGGTGTTCTAAATGCTTAATCTCAATTCCTGTACTTACATCGTCACGAACTGCTAACAGCCCACAGACCACACTTTGGCAGCATTGGTCTGGGGTCAGCCTTCCCTAAGTTGAAAAAATCACTCTTCTGTGAAGACCTTGTCACTTTTCACCACCTCCAAATTCAAGTCCCAGGTCTCACAGTTTGTTCCTTTGGCTATGGCTCCAGTGCCACGTGCTTTGGCTCCAACCTGTCTCTGCAGTCCCTCCCCTGCCTCTGCCACTCATGGCTCCTGCCTCTGCACATTCTGTCCACTGTATCTGGAAAGTCCTCCCTTTATCCACCAGGCAAGGTGAAGTGATAGCCCCGAAGATTTTTTACCTCTTCTAGAAAGCCCTCTCTGACCCACCAGGCAAATTTGGGTCTTCTCTCCTCTTTACTATTTTTGCTCTTGTCCTTTGGATTATAGTGGTAGGTTTTTATAGTGATCTGTCTCCCCCACCTGGCTGTACCCTGAACTCTATAAAAGCTCCTTGAGGGCAGCCCCAGTATCTGACACAAGGATTGATTCTCTAACGTTTGTTGAGCAGATGGAGGGATGGATGAGCAGATGGATGGATAGATGGACAAACGGATGGATGAAAGAGCTTCCAGGCTTAGCTCTCAGGCTGTAACGTAATCTTTGCTGTACACAGGCCGTGAACTGGGTGGTTGGCCTTGCCCATGTTCAAATCCATTTCTGTTCTAGACTCCAGAATCTGTCAGGGCTGTCTTGAACCGTGGGTTTCCTTGAGGCCCTCTAGGGTACGTAGCCACCACAAATTCCAGCCAGAATCAGTCCTAGCTTAATTCAACTCTCCAAATTTCAGGGGAATTATCTTCCGTAGAGTCCCTCCAGAGGCAAATTTGTATTAGTGACAGTGGCCCAGGATGCTGTGTCCTCATCTTAGGAATCTGGACTAGGAATAGAACAGGGGACACATTTAGCCCTTTCTTTTTTTTGGCAGCATTCAAGGGCAGGCTAAGTCTGCTCTGGGCTGAGGGGAATGGCCATTTCCCCACCTGGAAGATGCCTGGAAAGCAGCTTTGGGGAGGGAGGAGTGGGGGCACGTGGCATCCACAGTCCTCCACTGATGCACATGGGTGTGCAGGGGTCTATTCATCGTTTCCACTCGAATCCTTTGCAGGGTGTGACCTGTCCTAGTCCCAGGGCAGGTGGAGGCATGCAATACAGTACTTTGGTATGCTTAAGACCTGACAAGGCTCCTCAAACAACATCGTTGAATGGTCTGTCCCATAGCCAACCATGCCCTCCCAGGACCCCCCAACAGGCTCTGGCTCCCCAAGTAGAGCACAAATCACACACAATTTCTAGTTGCCCAGCAGAGGGCCGTGGTTAAGAGTGTGGACTATGACTGCTGGCCAGAATCCCAGCGCTGCCACTCACAAACCATGTGGTCCTGGGTGAGTTATTTTGCCTTTCTCTCCCTGCATCTGCTCACTTGTAAAATGGGAATAACACGAGCACACAGCGTTTTTTTCCTCAGACTAAGGACTCTGGAAAAGCTGCCACATAGTAGGTAAATAGTCATCAGATGAATAAGTAGACAAATACATATCTCTACCCCCTCCTCACCCCCTCTTTCCCCTCCCTCCAATGCTGCCCACCATGGCTTCTCCCTACCTGAAACATATCAGTGTCATTCACCCACTTGCCCTTGACTCACATGACCCGCTGACCGCCTGGAAGCCTGTAGTGAGTGGTGTTCCTGCGAAGGAAGGCCCCAAGAGCCATCCCCTGGTTCTGCTTCCCCTCAGTGCTGCCTGGAGTGACACCTGTGTGCTGTGGGCATTTTGGCCCCATACTTAGCCTCCCCTCGGCATCAGCCTATGGAAACCCTGCTTAAGGGAAAACACTCAGCATACCTGAGAGACCAGGGAGGATCTGAGGCAGCTGGAACTCTCTGGCAGCTCCATTCCTTGGGAGACAAAGGGTTAATGACAATGGCCCAGAGGAATGGGGGCACACGGCATCCACAGTCCTCCATTGATGCACATGGGTGTGCAGGGGTCTATTCATCGTTTCCACTCAAATCCTTTGCAGTGTGTGACCTGGTCCTAGTCCCAGGGCAGATGGAGGCATGCAATACAGTACTTTGGTATGGTTAAGACCCCATCTAGACATGCTGTAATATTTGTATGGTAAACTATTGTGAGTGAAAGGATCTTTATTTAAATGAGTGCCTGGTGCAGAACAGACACTCGATACATATGATTTCCCTTTAGCTGTGTGACCTTGGGCTGTTAGTTAATGTCTCTGTTTTTGAGTTCCCTCCTCTGTGACATGGGATACCTACTTCTTGGGATTGTTTTGAAAAAAGTACCCTGCCCTTGAAAGCACTCGAATTTTGTTTTCTCTCCTTATTCAGATATTAAAAATGTTATAATAATTACAGTTATCCAACAGTAAAATGGGTTGCTGTGGCAAGTGGTGGGATCCCCAGGACTGCTGGTATTTAAGGAGGGCTGAGGGAAAGGGATGCCTGAATTTCAGCTGAGGTAAATGACCTCTAAAGCCTCTCAGGTTCCTGACATTCATTCACTTACTCATCAGACATTTAATGATAACCTATCATGTGTGGGCCAGCGTGCTTAAGAACCAAGACAAACTGTGGCCCAGTTCTACATTCATTGGGTCTTGTCCCTCTGAAGTAAAGGATGGACCCAGTGATTGTCCCTTGTCCCTTTGATGCGTGGAATTCCCAGTGATTGTCCACCCGACTGGAGCCTTGCCAAGCTTCTTACACTGTGCCTTCCAGCACGTGGAGGGAGGAAACCAATTCCTGCTCCTCGTGAATTCCAGAATGTAAGTTACCCCACAAGCCCATGCAAAAAGGGGAAGAGCTTCCTCCTTTTTCTTAGAGCATTTCCTTTAGAAAACTTATATTTTGCTGCCCCTTTGAAATGTATATAAATCTTTTTAAAAGCTAAGTAAGGCTCCAGTCGATTTTACAACCTAGGACTCTTTTCCTGCAAGGGCCTGGAAACCATCTCTTTGAAAATACAGACATCAAGGAAGATAGCTCCCTACCTCCCACTGTCAGTGGGAGGGCAGTGGGTAGTAGTTTCATTTAAGCACCTGGCTCCAAGTTGTAAAACTACCTGCTGTCCTAGAAACTTGAGTTTTATTTTTCCTTTTGATAAAGGCAATTAGCGAACACAAATGGTCACCAGGTGAATTTAGGATGAATTATGCTTGACAAATGGTGCTGTCAAGTCCTCTTACTTTAGTTCGAGAACATGTATGTAATGAATGGGTCCTATTTGCTTGCCCACATAAAAGGGTGGGATGTCTGTCTTTGCAATCTCCTTAGCAGAATGCTAAAGATGTGCATCACTAGTTTAATGTTTATTCAATAATAAAATATTTTCTTTTTCCTATATTTTATGGAGAGGAATTTCTGGGGTGGGAGGAAATTTAAATTGTTTCCCCAACACCTAGCACTTGCTCCTCATCTGATTCTTCCTTTCCAATCTGCCTGCTCAGTCAGAACCCCTAAAAAAAAAAAAAAGGAAACAGAAGGACATGCACATTTAGGCCTTGTACTCTGCTGGCTTTCGTCTGTTATCTGTGGGGTAGTCTCTGCTGTGTCACATACGGACATCTCTGACGATGGGCACGATGAGCTCCCAGGGTTCAGACAGCCTGTCATGGTCAAACGGTCAGGAGCCTGCACTGGGCCACCCTAATTTGCAGATACCAGGAAACGGAGCAGGTACATGCTCAAAACCAGAACTGAGTGTCTCACTTGGTGGCTTTTATTGATAGGATTTCAAAATCCATGTCTGAAAGAAATGTGTGTCACATCATATAAGTAGATTTCATTCAAAAGTTTGTGGGCTTTTTTTTTGTGAGACAAAGGTTTGTTCATTTCTTGCATTTGAAGTACTCTTTGATGACATCCTTGGGCTGAGACTCCTTGCCATAGTCCTTAACTACTACACAACTGCAACCAACCACTTTACAGGGTTTCCCCTCTCTGTCAATTTTACAGAGGTCGCCTACTCATTCCCCTAGTTTCTTGTCATCAACCTTAATTAGGTTGATTTGGTGTTCAGCACAAAGGGCCTTGACCAACCTGACATACATAGGCTCATCAGAATTGGATGCAGGCACACAAAGATGGGGTTGGTTCTGGTTGCCCAGCATGCCAAAAAAGCCAAACATTGACGCTGAGATTTGTAGTGAGAAAAAGGCGTTTATTGCTGGGTGCCAAGCAAGAAGAATGGGTACCTAGCACTTAACACCTGAGCTCCCTGCTGGCTTATAAGCAAGGGTTTTTAAAGCAGGAGTGAGGGGGTATCCAAAATGAGTTAAGAGCTAGGGAATTTCTGGAACTTCCATATCTATTTTTTGGTTTCAGTCTGTCTGAGTTCTATGACAGTGGTCAGCATTTTCCATCTGGTGTGGGAATTGTTTTCTGAAAAGCAATGCAAGGGAATAGGTCAAGATGCTATCTTTAGTTTCTACAGGGAATCAAACATTTTGTGACTCTGACTTACTTGAGTGGCTTTTAAATTATTATCTTCTTGTTTAGCAGGTTATTCGTTAACTTCCCTAATTGCTGGCTGTAGGACTAGCTAGGTACCTGGAACTTCCCTTAAAGGGACTGAGAATGTTGCCTTGATTTCTATGCTTGGCACATGTGGGTAAGGGGAGGAGCCCAGCAGGGCCATAAGAGAGGTCCCTTGGGAAGACAATACAAACATTAGGAGTGAACAGAATAGAGATATGTGGCACTGAGTTTACCCGCAGATGCCAAAAAGGCACAGAGCACAAGGGCAGATGAATGAGCAGCCCATGAGTACACTGCGAACTGAGAGAGAATGCAGTCATCTTGAGCTAGAAGGGAACAGATTTTGTGGGGATTGAGGCACCAGGCTGTGGTCCAATTAGGCAGAGAAAGATGGACAACAGAGTCCAAACGGTAGGGGGTGATAAGAAGCAAGAAACAGTAATAACTGTTTCTAAAACAAATTAGATTTGTTGCATTAGCACAAAATAGAAACAGCAAACCAATATTTTAAAAAGTCATATACAGTATATAATATTAGAATAGAGATACAAATGTAGGATATACATGTGTGTTTTTCAAATTGAGATCATGCAAAGCTCTAGTGCAATGGAGCTGAATGTGAGGCTAGCTACTGTGTCCTGATGTTCTGGGCCCCCATAACAGGCCTTGAATGATGTGTGCAAGAACTGTGTGAGCTTTCATGAAATTCCTAATAGGATTTTTTTTTTTTTGAGTCAAGTCTCTATCACCCAGGCTGCTGGAGTGCAGTGGTGTGATCTCGCCTCACTGCAACCTCCGCCTCCTGGGTTCAAGTGATTCTCGTGCCTCAGCCTCCCGAGTGGCTGGGATTACAGGCGCGTGCTACCACACCTGGCTAATATTTTTTGTATTTTTAGTAGAGACAGGGTTTCGCCATGTTGGCTAGGCTGGTCTCTAACTCCTGACCTCAGGTGATCCGCCCACCTTGGCCTCCCAAAGTGCTGGGATTACAGGCATAAGCCACCATGCCCAGTCCCTAATATGATCTTATTTAGTTGACATTTGCCTCTTTCCCCAAAAATAGATCAAAGGAAATGTTTCCCTTTGTCCCGTTTCACACTAAACGGGTTGGGGAGGAACCAGGGGAGATGTCAACCGTCTGCCGGTGACTGGGAAGTTTTCTGCAAGTCCTCCACAGCATAGGCCAGCAGGCCACTTTTCACTAACAGAAGTCACAAGCCAAGTGAGGTAAAGTTCCTTACTGTAATGCATCATGGCTCATAGAAATCGCAAGATATAATTGCCTGCCTCATCATTAACATCACCTGCCCCTTCCTGGTGTGGGCCTCTGTGTTCTTGGGATGAGTAACCACTATCTATGTGGGCCTTTCTACCTGTCTGCCTTGACCTGAGCAGTTCGACAGTCTGATGATGCTGGAGGTCTTAGCCTGGTTGTAAGACAAAGTAAAATCAGACGCAGATGTCATCTGCCAGGGATTTCCAGAAAGAGCTCTCAGATTGCCTCAAAAACACATTGGAGCCTCTACACTACATATGCTACAGTTACACGAAATGAGGCAACTCTCTTTTAGGCTCTGCCCAAAGAAATTTCAATTTTGAAGACAAAACTGTGGATAAGAGACTTCCTCTTCCCTGAGTGGACGAGTATACCAAAGCAGGCTCCCAAAGGGCACCACTGTGATGACACATGAGGGTATCAGCAGCTTGTCCTCAAACCTCTCATTGCCCTTCCTCTTCCACCCACTGGCTCCATCGAGGCACATACCTGAAAGGCTTTCCTTTATCACAGTGCTACACAGGAGGGGAAACGGACCAAGCCATTGTTCCTCTATCAGGATTCCTTTGTGTGGGCATGCATCCCCCTCACTATTTTTTTTTTTTTTTTTTTTTTGAGACAGAGTCTTACTCCATAGCCCAGGCTGTAGTGCAGAGGCACAATCTCTGCTCACTGCAGCCTTCGCTTCCTGGGTTCAAGTAATTCTCCTGCCTCAGCCTCCCAAGTAGCTGGGATTACAGGTGCCTATCACCATGCCCAGCTAATTTTTGTTATTTTTAGTAGAGACAGGGTTTCGCCATGTTGGCTAGGAATCCTGGCTTTAGATCAAGGAGTCAAATGCCTGGTACAGCATCTGTGACATCAACACATGATGTAGGTCCAAAGTATGCCTGTGTTGAGGTTTTTTGGCAGCTGCTGCAGGCTTTGACAGCTGGGGCAGGGTAGAATCCCTTGTCAAGATCCAGAAAAGGGGGTGGAAAGAGGGAGTAGCCACCTCCCAGAAGTGCGAGGTGGGACAGCAGAGCTTGCTGGCCATGTGGAAGGAACACGAGGTGGAGTCAGACAGGTGTGCGTTCAAATTCCATCTCTGTCGCTCACTAGCAGTGTTAACACTGAACCAGTCATTTAACTTCATAGAGGAGTATCTGGCTTCATCTGGAAAACAGGGACAATAGCATATAATGTGCCTGGTACAGCAGGTACCCGATGGTTCCCTCTCTCCTTTCCTCCTTGTAATGCAAATATTACTCATTTGGGTGGAGACGTACATTGAAGGCCTGAGAGAGCAGCTACATCTGAGGTCGTCTGTGAGTTGAAGAGAATGTGGGGAAGTTCTTAGGGCACAATGTCATCACTGGGTCATAGCAGTCTCTGTGCTGGGCAGAAATGGGGCCTGATGGCCAGGCCTTCACTATAGGTCTTATGAAGCCTTTGAAAGAGTCCCAGGAGCCAGCGGGATGGGAAAGCTGAGACGGGGCAGCAGGTGATCAGGCAGAGGGCACAGCAGGGCCAGAGCTGTGAAGAGTCCCAGCAGCTGTGGTGCGAGGGGCCCGGGGCCACCACACAGATCATCCACATCTGCCAGCAACACTCTGCTCTCAAACTGCTCCCCCACCAGTGGGCCCCAACACCTAACGGCCTCACCACCCGCCCAACTGTAGACCAGAAATCTCAGGCATCCCTGGTTTTCCCTTATCTTTCATTTCCAAACCATTAGCACGACCTGTCAGCACTGCCCCAGAATAGACTGCAAATACATTCTCTCTCATCCTCGCTGACTCACCTGGGTCTCAGCACCTTATCTCTCACCTGGACAATGTCTAGGGCCTCTGACTGCTCTCTCTGCTTGCATTCTGCACATGTCCCTCTAAACCATTCTCCACTGGCAGCCAGAGCTACCCCTGTAACTCATAAAATGAGCTCAGCACGTCTCCTGCTTGCAAGCACATCTGTAAATTTCCTCTGCACTAGGATAAAATCCAGACTCCTTAGGGTGGTCTCGGGGCCTGCACACCTGGCTCCCCTACACCCTGCCCGTCCATCCTTTCCGAAGTCCACTGTGATTTGCTCCCTGTGCTTCAGCTCCACTGACCTCCTTTCTGTCCTGGGACAAGTCCAGATCTGTCCAGCTTTAAGGCTTTGCTGTTCTACTCTCTGCCCCTGCCTAGCCTATTTAAAAGTAGACATCACTTACATTTTCTCTGAATAATATCCTGCTTATTCCCTTCTTTGCACTCATCCCCACCTACGATGATTTTGTTTTCTTGTTTCTTGACTGTCTGCCACAAATGAATTAGAAGCCCCCACAGGAGAGAACTGTTTCTTTTGCTCACTTTCATATCATTATTGCCTAGCACAGTGCCTAACAGTAGGCACTCAGTAAAGAGTTCCTTAATGGATGAATTCCATGCTTCCTGCTGGGGCTAGAAGCCAATCCCGGGCTGTAAGACTTTCTGGGATCCCTGTGAGAACGGGCACAGTGGCAGATGTGAGGCTGGAAAACAGGGCCAATTAGAGTGGAGGGGATGGTGGGAAGAAACACGGGCAGCAGCGAAGTTGAGAAGCCAGCTTCCCTCAGCCCTGTGATATCTAGCAGCCAGGGTTCCCTGGAAGAAGGGTCCTTGTGGACCCGTACCTGCCAGTATTGGAAGTGTGGTCCTCTCACCGAACTGCTCACCATATGCTGACGGGGAAGCTGGATCAGCCAGCAAGGACCAACTGCAAAAAGAAACATTTGGGAAAAAGATGTGTGCTTCCTACAAGCTGTGAGATGCTCCTGCTGTTTCCAGTCCCCTCTAGCTACAGAAGTGGAGCCCACAGTGAGGGTGTCTGAATGCTTGAGATTTTATCCCAGGGAGAAACATCCTGGCTGCTCTGGTTCCTCATCTCCTCTCCCTAGTGGTCTCTGAACAGAACAGTTCAGTACGTTATGATAATGCTCAGAACATGGAGGGAACTGAAAACGTTAAAAAAGCTTTGCAATGAGCCTGAGATTTCTTTTTGTTCCAAACTTTTGTCCTAATGGTTTCACAAGATATACTGACTTATAAAACCATGTTTGGAAACTAGGCAAAACCAATACTATCTGCTTTGATAGACACAGATTACCCCTTACAAACAAACATCTTCCCAGCTTTACTTATGCCACATGTTATCATGTGTGCAAATAACAAATCAAGCCTCTTCTGAGTAGGGGTTACAGCTGCAGAGAATGCTTATGTAACATTTGGGGCCTGCCAGGTAACAGGGAAATGTGTAAGACAAAGCAATGTTCTGACTGCGCAGCGTTTTAAAGACTAACTTTTAACATGCAAGAGAGATTTAGTTTAGTCATGAGGAAAAGTGATTTCATTGCAAGCCTTGATTCTGGGTCTTTGGAGAGCATGGAACAGCCATTGCCAGAGCACCAGCCTGTTCAGTGAGACCTTTGTTTCAATTTCACAAACAAGGTTACTAATTAAGGCCTTAATAGTGAAATTCAATGCCTCTTTGTGTTCTGGCGAGACAAAAACAGAGTCAAGGAAGCAGGAATTCTTTGCTTCACCAAAACCTGGAGTCTGTGTCAATTCTCTTCAAGGAATCAAAGCAAGGATACTGAGGAATTTCAGTTCCAAGATTGCTTTGCTAGCCACAATCAAAGCTTCCCCAGGATTATCTGCATGAGTCATCCTTTGTTGCTCAGACACAAGGGCAGTATTGGAACTTGGAATAAAATAATAATTATAAATTAATTAAATTAGTTCCTTCCAGGAACTAAAATATGGATATGACACTTCAAACATTAATATTCTGAGCCAGATACCCACTCACACATCACCCTTACAGGGAGGAAGACCTCCAGTGGTCACAGGACTATACATGGAGACCATTCACTCCCCTTCCTCTTGGCTCTGCTTCCTAAGATTTATCATCTCAGACACTGACTTGGGCACATATCAGTGCATAGGCAATTTAAGGAATGAAAAATAGGGACCAGGACATTTGGGTCATCCCTGGTCAATCCCAGAAAGGAACATACTTCCTGTTAGCTTAGGAAGACCATGTCTGGCTTATGTTTAGGCCCATACTGCCTGGAAAGAATCTGGGCAAAGCTTCTTTCACTTTAGTGAGTTCTACAGTAAACCTCTAGAGTGACAGCATTGCCTCTCTCTAGTTAGAAAGTGGGTTTGAGGGTGTGATGGCAAATAAGATGGCCCAAAGGATGTATGCTAGCGTTGCCTGCTGCAAGCAAGGACCAGGAAGCACTGGTGCAGCTCACTGAAGAGCCGTTATCTATTCTTGGAGGGATACTGACATGATGACCTGAAATCTAGCAGGGGAGCAAAGAAGTTTCCATGATGAGAATGAATGTTGGTCTTTACAAGTCCCCAGGACAACTTCAAGAAATGACCAATTTATATCTTGTCTGCTCTTAGTAACTTACTGGCTTTAGAATTGAAAGAATTGTTTGCAGATATTAGCACGGAAGAAGAACTAATAATCTGATTTCCTGGGCTATCCTGTAACCTATATCCTGTAACCCCTACTCAGAAGAGGCTTGATTTGTTACTTGCACACATAAACATTCTCAAATGTTTTCAAGGTCTTTGATGCTTTTAGTTGGGACATTCAGGTTTAGTAGAGACTTCGAAATGACGGTTCTATTAGGAGTTGATGTTTATTCTTCACTGGATGGCCCAGGTTTTCAGCTACAGCCTTACACATCAGCAAGTTCTTTGAAGCAATCAATTCAGCTAAGTTTGGAGCATCTTGCAGCTGAGTCTTGGGAGCCTTCCAAATATGAGGGAAATCCATGCTCTTTTTTTTTTTTTTTTGAGACAGTTTTGTTCTGTCACCCAGGTTGGATTGCAGTGGTATAATCTTGGCTCACTACAACCTCCACCTCCTGGGTTTAAGTGATTCTCATGCCTTAGCCTCCTGAGTAGCTGAGACTACACTACAGGTGCATGCCACCACACCCAGCTAATTAATTTTTTGTAATTTTAGTAGAGACAGGGTTTTGCTGTCTCTACTAAAAGACAGCTAACAATGTTGGCCAGGCTGGTCTCAAACTCCTGGCCTCAAGTGATCCGCCCACCTTTGCCTCCCAGTGCTGGGATTACAGGCATGAGCCACCATCCCGGGCCCATACACTCTTTATTTGGGCATTATGGAGATCAAATAGAGTACTGAGAACTACGTACTCTTTTGTTCTCTACTCAAAGAGCCACATTACACAGCTCCCTGCTAGGTGATACTGTGGGGCTAATTGGCCCTTCTAAATCTCTAGGCAGTAGCAGACCCAACAGGGTTTCTGTCTGTGCATGTTTATCCTCTTTTTCATCGTTTGTTGGTAGTTCAGTACTTGTATTACAAATAAATATATAAATACTTATTTAGATTTATACATGTTTTCTCCATTTCAGGCTCTCTCCTTATGCTGTCATTTCCTTTCTTTCTGAAGCATATAGCTTAGTAATTCCTTTGTTATTGATCTGTTTTTTATCAATGTTTTTCACTCTCATTTTTGAAAAAATGGTTAGACTAGTTCCCCAGTTCTAGGGTGACAGTTATTGCTTCTAAAAATATTATCTACCTGGGCTCATTATCAAAAAATCAGCTCGTTTGTCATTTCTTTGTAGGTAAACTGTCTTTTCTTTCTGACTGCTCTTCACGTCTTTGTCACTGTTATTCTGCAGTTTTATTATTTGTCTAGGTGTCAATTTCTTTGTTTGCTTAGATTATGTTACACCTCTTGAATCATGGATTCTTTTATCAGTTTTAAAAATGTCTCAGCCATTCCTCTTCAAATCTGACTTCTCTGTTTATTCTCTCTTTCTGGGACTTCAATTTGATGTGTATTTGAGCTTGACATTCTATCCATCATATCTCTTAATTTACATCTATTTTCCATTTTCTCATTTCTCTGTGCTACATTCTGAGTAATTTCTTAAGCTATATCTTCCAGTTCATTTATTCTATGTTCAGCTGTGTCATAATGAGTGGTTCAATTTGGTTCTTACAAATCAACTTGGTCATTCTTAATAGTCTCTTGTTGCTTGCTCATAACTATGATTCCACACTTAGTTCTTTAAACATTCAATATAGGGCTTATTTATATTATTGTCTGACAGTTCCAGCATCTTCAGTCGTTAGCAGTCTACATCTGCTATTTCTTCTGTTGACTCTCATTCATTGTACCTCCTTGTGTGTTTGGTGATCTTTGGGAGTTCATTGTTTCATCTTAATCTGTAGGAATCCAGGGCCTAAACTGAATATAATTTCCTCAGAGAGCTTTTAGACCTGCTTCAGGCAGGAGCCAGAAGTTGGGGTCTGCTGACTTTGTGCCACTTCAGCCTCTTTCAAAGGTCCTACTTCAATGGGGGAATCCCAGTCTCAGCCCCTATTCCCAATGCTGGCATCCCAACTTCAGTAGAGTGGGAGGGTGGTCCTCAGAAATTTCTCCTACCTTTCAGAAGTCCAGAAATCCATCCTGTTCAGGGTCTAGTTGTGATGCAGTGGCAAAGTTCAATAGAGCATATGGTCTGTCAAATAGCTGGAAGAAGACATCCCTGCTGCTGTTTATTTTTTATCATAGCATATTAACAGAGAAAAGGCATGGAATTCAGAAAGTTTAGACATTATGTCTAAAACTACCCAGATTTTCCCAAGCAATATGAAGAAAAAAGCAAAGCAAGAAATAGAAAACACACACACACACACACACACACACACACACACACACAGAAAGAGAGAGAGAGAGACAGAGACACCGGAAAGAGAGGCTATGGCTCCTGCAGTTCTCTTGCCCATTGACCCCTATGTTGTGGCTCAGGGTCATCCTATGAAGCTATCTAATCCAGCTTCTTTGCTTTCCAGACACTCATCCAAGAGGAAGGATGGCCAGTATCTTTTCTAAGTTGCTAACTGGCCGCAATGCTTCTCTGCTGTTTGCTACCATGGGCACCAGTGTCCTGACCACCGGGTACCTGCTGAACCGGCAGAAAGTGTGTGCCGAGGTCCGGGAGCAGCCTAGGCTATTTCCTCCAAGGTAAGGGCTCCTGACTTTAAAATAACCTCAGGCCAGGCACGGTGGCTCATGCATGTAATCCCAGCACTTTGGAAGGCCAGATCACGAGGTCAAGAGATCGAGACCATCCTGGCCAACATGGTGAAACCCCATCTCTACTAAAAATACAAAAAAATTAGCTAGGCATAGTGGCACATGCCTGTAGTCCCAGCTACTTGGGAGGCTGAGGCAGGAGAATTGCTTGAACCTGGGAGGCGGAGGTTGTTGTGAGCCGAGATCGCGCCACTGCACTCCAGCCTGGCAACAGAGCAAGACTCCGTCTCAAAACAAAACAAAACAAAAACAAAAACAAAAAAAAATCTTCAAAGACCAGCAAGAAATATGCTTTCCCCTGCTGGAAACTGTTAGCAAGGGTCCTTCTTTTTGCCTTTGAGGATGACTAAGTAAAACCGAAAATCATTTTGAGACTCATTAAGCCAGTGACCTGTCGTGTATACAAAGAAGTGTAGCATCGTCATTCTTGCTTAGAGCTTGCAGTCCAGTTGCATAGTAATAATGGGGATAGTTAACATTTGTGGAGCACTTTTATGTGTGACCAGCACTTTACATGGAATATCTGTTTTTCATCTTAGGATCCTTCTGTGATGAAATGAAAGCCTAGAAAAATTAAACAGTGCCCAAGTTCACATAGCTAGTACAGCGAAATGCAAATCCAGGCCCCCTGATTCCAGACCCATGCCTCTCTCACTGCTCTACCACCTTCTGGAAAAAGGGATATCATAGTACTGACTTTAAGTATCGGCTCTAAAGGACACTGCAGATGGAAAGTGGAGGAGTGGCACGAGAGGGATGAAAATAGATGTGTTTTCTCAGCCCTTGGAACCCTGCCATGGATGAGATACCATGCGCTGAGCAGAGTTTGAGTGGCATGCAGAATTCCACATAGGCAGGTATGGATGAGAGAGACAAGGAAAACCACTGAGGTGTCTCTGAGACATTTAGTGTCTCTTATGAAAATCAGGATCTCTGAGGGAATCGCCAGCAACCCCCATGTACCTTGGGAATTCCTGAGGTGACATGACTTGTGTTTGAGGCTGTGGTGGTCCTAAATCTCCTATTCCTCAATCAGTACACACTCCAGGGTAAGACAGCACCCAATTTGATTTCTATTATTCCAACAGATATTTACTGAACACTGGTTTCAACAGCCAGGGACTGTTTTCAAAAAGGCAAAGTCCCCGCTCTCGTGGAGCTTGCTTATTTTTTGAAACCTGGTGTATTCATTTATGACTCCTAGGCAGTTCTAGCCAAGTATCCCTGTGCCCACTGGCTGAAGGGAGCCTAGTGGAAGGATGGGCAAACAACAAGTCCTTCCATTGGCCCCTTTCCTCGGGGGCTGCTGGCTGACAGCCTGCCCTCCTCCCCACACAGCGCAGACTACCCAGACCTGCGCAAGCACAACAACTGCATGGCCGAGTGCCTCACCCCCGCCATTTATGCCAAGCTTCGCAACAAGGTGACACCCAACGGCTACACGCTGGACCAGTGCATCCAGACTGGAGTGGACAACCCTGGCCACCCCTTCATAAAGACTGTGGGCATGGTGGCTGGTGACGAGGAGTCCTATGAGGTAAAACTATTGGCTGCTGGTTCCAGGGTGGGAGGGATGCTCTGGATATGACTGACTTGCACAGTCCTGGGGTCCTTTTCTTCTCTATGGGGCCAACTTTCTGCCTTCTCAGGAAGGGCTCTCATAAAGGGAAGCCAGCTCCAGCAGAACCATCTGGAATGCTTTCTGAAACAATGAGGTCTATAGCTTCCCAGGGACAAGGCTTCCCTTGCTGCTGTGCTAAGATCCCTCCCTGTGGAGGAATGAATTGCATGACAGAACTCTGAGCTTGTCAAGTGGATGAGTTGGTACAGAAACAATAAAATTGAATGGTGTGTATTCACCAGTAAGACATTAGGAGCTGATGTGTTTGTGGCTGAGCTTTATTGGGTGGGGGTCGGGAGGAGGGTTCAGTGTATCTTTGGGAATATGAGGAATTCTCCTCTTATTCTATTATTATTACTGATTTCTCTCCTATTACTGATTAGACGATCACTGTAGCCCAGACTACTGAATTCACTAAGTCTCTTGGATAAATCCCATGACCTCGGCATCCTCATCCTCAATGCAGAAGCACAGGGTGGTCGGCTGGAACAGTGCTCAGCCACTATGCGTCCCCTCCACAGAGCAGCCTCTCCGCTGAGGCAAATGCCTGCAGCCCTCCTCCTTCAGGTCCACCCTTTTGGGTTCTTCTGTTGCAGGGAGCTGAAGGCAGTTCCCTAGAAAGGCAGCCATAGAGAAGAGAGGGAGCCATCTTGAATAAACACGACTGGTGGCTCATTTACGTACTGCAGTGCACAACCCTGGGTCTAGTTTGGGTCCCAAGCTAGCAGTAGCTCTCTAGACTCAAAGTCCTCCCCACTTCCCACAGCTCCCAAAGTCTGCAGGGTGCTTTGTTACAACTTCTTTTAACAATTTTTTTTTAACATAAAGGATATGCCTGAAGTTTTGTTTTTAGAATAGATTTTGCACGAGATCATTTGGGCTGGGGAAGGTCCGCATCGGGTGAGAGGTGCCTGCTTTGCCCAAACTGCTGCTATGTACTTTTCTTCTGGCGTAGCCAGGTTTTCAACAAATTTCATATGTAGCTTAATATTTAGAATCTGACTTTCCCTTGAGCATAAAACTGTGTAGCCTCTGATCAGGTAGCTTCTTGTAACCCACAAGAGCAAACACGTCTAGGAAACTCCTTAAATTCCTAACCGTAAGTATTTTCTTGCTCAATCTGATGGCAGTGATTTTGGCAGAATCACTCAGCAGGAGGTTAAGATGACAGAACTCACCAGCCCCACCCTATCTCAAGGGGCAAGATGCCTTCAAAAGGCTTTCTCTCTTGTTGTTGTTGTTGTTGTTGTTATTAACCAATCCATTCTCACATCCATTTCCTATATGATAGTCCTGAAAATTTCAGAGAAGGAGGGCATCAACTTTGGCTTTTAAGATACAAGGGGCAAGTGAATGGAAAGGTCTTTAAATAGTAGGTGAACCAGTTAAAGAGGAAACACCCATCTTCCCTCCTGCAGGTGTTTGCTGACCTTTTTGACCCCGTCATCAAACTAAGACACAACGGCTATGACCCCAGGGTGATGAAGCACACAACGGATCTGGATGCATCAAAGGTAGGCTCCAGCCTCCCTCTCCTTCCCCACGAAGCTGGCACTCCTGAGCCCAAGGGGAAGGCCCCTGGAGAGAGGGGTTCCCCGCTGTAAGTCAGATACCCCTGGAAAGCACTGTGACTGCCCTGGCACAGCCTTCCCTCTGGAGGGCCACAGAGAAGGTTAGGAGGGTCCGAAAGTCTGTTTTCTTTAATAAATACAACTAGGGAAGGGTTGGTCATTGGGAACTTTAAACCTTTCCTAAAGCTACTCCCTTTTTCATCCCAAACCACCCAGTGACGGTCAAGGACCCCAGACCACGCTATATAAAACAGCTTTCCCCTTTACTAGTCGAAGGTCCGTGCCCCAAGACTTCCGGAATGTGTCCAATTTACGGATTGTGCAGTCGTGCACAGTGCCTGAGGGTCCCCAGGGAAACTGCAGATTGGCGATTAGAACCCACTGTGGCTGTGGCAGGACCATGGTCCGAGGCTGGCCACAGTGACCCCACAGTCTGCTTGGCAGATCACCCAAGGGCAGTTCGACGAGCATTACGTGCTGTCTTCTCGGGTGCGCACTGGCCGCAGCATCCGTGGGCTGAGCCTGCCTCCAGCCTGCACCCGGGCCGAGCGAAGGGAGGTAGAGAACGTGGCCATCACTGCCCTGGAGGGCCTCAAGGGGGACCTGGCTGGCCGCTACTACAAGCTGTCCGAGATGACGGAGCAGGACCAGCAGCGGCTCATCGATGTGAGTAGCAGATGGGGCTCCCTGGGGAAGGACTGGACCAAGGGCTCTGACCCGCACAGGAAGGCCTCTCCTGGTGCTCTGCTCAGTCCTTACCCTAGCTGGGAGCTTGCTGGGCTCCACCCCTGAGCTCAGCCCAAGAGCATCTACTTATTCAGTGTAAGGAAGAAAGACGAGGCCACACATTGTACTTGTCAAGCCACTGAAACATTCTATGCATAAAATCTGCATAGGAAACTCCAATATGGAGATGGTGCCTGCGGTTAGGAGGGTGGAGATGAATGGAGGATCTCCTAGCTTGTTGATAAATGGGAACAGTTAGGTGTGGAAATCCTGTCTGTGTCCAGAAGATGGTTTCCATTATCACAGCCAAAGAAAATCCTGGAAGCTACAAAAATCTAGAAAGGAAATTCCAGGTGGGAGGCCTGCCCTGACTCTTGTGGAGCAAGCCTCTGCATTTCCTGGTGGGGTTGATTCCTGCTGCTTCCACCATGTCTACCACGGCTTCCCTCCGGCACCAGGGTGCACAAAACTCAAGTCCCTTACTTATTTTCGTCTTAGCACAGCTAAAACAAGATGGCATTTTCAAAAGTAACAACTTTAAACTCTTAAAAAAAAAAAAAAGCAGAAACAAAATTTTGTCATTTCAAAAGATGCAAATGCTAAGAAATATGCCTCATTTCCAAACCAGACAGGCCAACTATATGGCCTGCCCAGTTACAGAACAAGCCCTCCTCCACCTCAAGTCACCACCCTGGTTTCCTGCTTAAGGGACATGCTGCTCCTGGGCAGTGGCAGGTCACAATCCTCTCCTGGCTGAAGTCTCTGATCTCTCCCACTTAGAGACTGCAGGACTCCTCTCCCCACATCCACTTGGTCTCTTACGTGTGTAATCATATTTGAATATATCTCTCTGTAGAGTATGTGTGTAACTATGCAAGAAAGAGTAGTATACACATTGCAAAAAAAAAAGTCTTGACTTTAATTTTGATATGTGGAGTAGTATATTGCAGTGGTTAAAGGCATAGGCTTGGGAGTCACAGAAGTCTACATTTGAATCTATACTCTGCTACTTCCTACAACCATCCTATTGGACAGGTTGTTTGATCTCTCTGAATCTGTTTTCTTCATTTATAAAATAATTACACTTATTTCATAGAGTTGTGAAGATTAAAGGAAATAAAAGCCTGTAATCTAGAGCCTGGCACAGTCAGCATTAATGGTAACTATATTTATTGATCATTACTGTACATCTCTAATACTTTTTAATGAAATAATGAAGCAATAATGCTAGAAACAGAGAATGAGCACTGTGTAGAACAGCCTTTTCAGGATAGTATCCCTCATTCATTGCTCGCTCAGCCATTGTATAGGGTTGGTGTTGGTAGTGTATACCCGCTCCACAGTGATTTCATGAGTTCCAAATGGACTAACCCAGTGTTTTTCACCATTAGCTGCAAACTAGAATCACCTGAAGAGTTTTTAAAACGTCCTGATGCCCAGATCAGTCTATAACAACTAGGTCAGAATCTCTGGGCATTGTTTGAAGCTCCCAGGTTATTCTAGTGGGCAGCCAAAGCTAAGAACCACTGCCTAAGAGACAGCAGCCATGATAAGTGGGTTGGAACTTGTTCACCTGGCACTTGCAGTCCTGTTTGATCTCATCAGTCTCTCCTCTCTGCTTTATCCCTTTTGGCCTACAGGACCACTTTCTGTTTGATAAGCCAGTGTCCCCTTTATTAACATGTGCTGGGATGGCCCGTGACTGGCCAGATGCCAGGGGAATCTGGTATGGATGCAGCATTTTCACATTTGCAATATCTGTAGAGGATGTTTTTGAGATCACCTGCTTATCCTAACCTGGAGTTGCTGTGTACTGCAGTTGACAGCATGCCCAGACTGAGCTAAATGGAAAAAGACTACTTGGAAAGTGTGTGTGTGTGTGTGTGTGTGTGTGTGTGTGTGTGTGTGTCTAAGCATTGTGGTGTTTCTAAGATGTGTAGAAATATGACCTGGTTTGCATGAATTATGTGCCTGAAGGAGCAGAAATAAAAAATGTTCATGTGCAGCTGCTCTGTAGGGATGGACAGGCAGGATCCATGGAGCAAATGTGTGAAATGTTGTGTACCTTCAACATCTTGGGTGGAAGGTAACCCCCACCCGCTTTTTAGAGCACAAGATTTTGGTTGAATCTTTTAGGAGACAAAACATTCTTGTTAATGTCGAAGCCAAATGTTATATAGTTGAATTACTGTCATCCTAGTCAGAGGACCTAGGGGGAATTAATTATATTCTTGTTTGGTAAAAACATGACATCTTTTAGGGTGAGAGTTGGTCTTAATCTTCCTTCTGTCAAAGTAACATTATTTTGTCATACTTGTTCAGGCACAGTTAAGAGATTAGGGCCATCTAGGAAATGAGGAAGGTGAAATGAAGCAATCAAGCTAGGGAGGTAATGGGAATTTTCATGTGTTGAAACAAATGCAATTAACACTCAGTACCATATTTCTCTCTTCATTAGGCATAATTATGATAAGACATTTCTCATCTGGATAAATGAGGAGGATCACACCAGGGTAATCTCAATGGAAAAAGGAGGCAATATGAAACGAGTATTTGAGCGATTCTGTCGTGGACTAAAAGAAGTAAGATGTTATCTGAGATTTCTGGATATTTATTAAAATAAAATTACCGTATTGTTTGTTCTTGAAAGAAGACACTATGGTAACTTCCAAGATGGAGCTAATTTTTTTCTAGAAATCAAAGCAACTGCCGCCTCCCAGGTTCAAGTGATTATCCCGCCTCAGCCTCTAGAGTAGCTGGGATTACAGGTGCCACCACCACACCTGGCTAATTTTTGTATTTTTAGTAGAGAGGGGTGTTTCACCATGTTGGCCAGACTAGCCTCGAACTCCTGACCACAGGTGATCTGCTGGCCTCAGCCTCTCAAAGTGCTGGGATTACAGGCATGAGCCACCACGCCCAGCCTCAAGGCATTTTTTGGATGAGCCACCACGCCCAGCCTCAAGGCATTTTTTGGAGTGCAACTTCCAAGGTAGTGCTTCAGAAAATAAGTGACTTTCTCTTGTTATTAGAAAGCTATTACGCTTACTTCCCCATTCCACTGTGGTTTGGGGAAGTCTGTGGATCATTACTTGTTTTTTGATTTATTTAATATCGCTCTGAGCTATTCTAAGCATACAGATGACAGAGAATGTAGCCTGACCATAGACTCACCTGCTGATAATTCCTGTATTCTCCTACTCTCTTGGCATGAAAAATGCCACCAACTAACATTCATCAAGTGCTTAGTACAGGCCAGGTACTATGTTGACTGCTTTACATCAGGGGTCCTCAACCCCGGGGCCACGGACCTGGTACAGGTCTGTGGCCTGTTAGGAACTGGGCCGCACAGCAGGAGGTGAGTGGTGGGTAAGCCAGCATTACTACCTGAGTTCTGCCTCCTGTCAGATCAGCAGAGGCATGAGATTCTCATAGAAGCACAAACCCTATTGTGAACTGCGCATGTGAGGGATCTAGGTTGCGTGCTCCTTATGAGAAACTAATGCCTGATGATCTGAGGTGGAACAACAGTTTCATCCCAAAATATTCCCTCCCTACGATCTGTGGAAGAATTGTCTTAAAACATTCATTATCTTTCAAGACACCGGTCCCTGATGCAAAAATGGTTGGGGACCACTGCTTTACATGGTTCATTTAACTTAATTGGGCCATTTTAATAGTCTGGTAGGAGAGGTATTATTTTCTCTTAAAGGAGTACTATAAATTTACCTTAATTTCATTCATGCCAGAGGAGGGTACACATCTCTCTCTCTGGTGTTAGGGATGTGCTGAATGAATGGATGTTGGAAAATGCTGTCATTTGTTCACTGTGGTTCTACTTGTAGGTAGAACGGTTAATCCAAGAACGAGGCTGGGAGTTCATGTGGAATGAGCGCCTAGGATACATTTTGACCTGTCCTTCGAACCTTGGAACAGGACTACGAGCTGGTGTCCACGTTAGGATCCCAAAGCTCAGCAAGGTACTGTTATGTGCCCAGTGGCCCTGATGGGCCAGGATCAGCTCAGATGCGACTGCTTTGTGGAGGAAGAAAACATCACTGCCCATTCCTTAACCCTTACTTTCTCTATCTACAATATAAAAATAAGAAAAAAATTAAGTTTGCCTCCAAAGACATTTGTATTAGTTAGAATAAAAGGTTCAGGGGCTGTAAGAAAAAGATGGTAGCTTCAAGAATAAGGCCTTTACATTTTTCCTCATGTAACAAATCAGGATAGGTAGGCTCTGCTCTCTCTGGTTCTTTCTATCTCCTTTCTCCATCTCTCCTAGTTCAAGCAGTTCTCAAACTTGAGCATGCAAGAGATCACCTGAAGGACTTGGTAAAACACAAGTTGCTAGGCCCCACCTGCAGAATTCACATTTCTAACAAGTTTCCAGGTGATGCCGGGGTTGTTGGTCAAGGGACTACACTTGGAGGAACGCTGTCTTAGAGCACTCTTCTTAGAGACCTACAATGAGACTTAGACTCCCACACAATAACAGTGAGAGACTTTAACACCCCATTGTCAATATTAGATCAACCAGACAAAATTAACAAGGATATGCAGGACTTGAACTCGGCTCTGGACCAAGTGGACCTCATACACATCTATAGAACTATCCACCCAAAATCAACAGAATATGTACATTCTTCTCAGCATCACATCGCACTTATTGTAAAATCGACCCCACAATTGGAAGTAAAACACTCCTCAGCAAATGCAAAAGAACGGATATCATAACAGTCTCTCAGACCACAGTGCAATCAAATTAGAACTCAAGATTAAGAAACTCACTCAAAACCGCACGAATACATGGAAATTGAACAACCTGCTCCTGAATGACTACTGGGTAAATAACGAAATAAAGGCAGAAATAAATAAGTTCTTTGAAACCAATGAGAACAAAGACACAATGTACCAGAATCTCTGGGACACAGCTAAAGCAGTGTTTAGAGGGAAATTTATAGCAGCAAATGCCCACAGGAGAAAGCAGGAAAGATCTAAAATCGACACCCTAACATCACAATTAAAAGAGCTAGAGAAGTGAAAGCAAACAAATTCAAAAGCTAGCAGAAGACAAGAAATAACTAAGATCAGAGCAGAACTGAAGGAGATAGAGACACAAAGACACAAAAAAACCTTCAAAAAATCAGTGAATCCAGGAGCGGGTTTTTTGAAAAGATTAACAAAATAGACCACTAGTCAGGCTAAAAAGAGAGAAGAATCAAACAGACACAATAAAAAGTGATAAAGGGGCTATCACCACTGATCGTACAGAAATACAAACTACCATCAGAGAATACTATAAACACCTCTGTGCAAATATACTAGAAAATCTAGAAGAAATGGATAAATTCCTGGACACATACACCCTCCCAAGACTAAACCAGGAAGAAGTCAAATCTCTGAATAGACCAAAAACAAGTTCTGAAATTAAGGCAGTAATTAATAGCCTACCAACCAAAAAAAGTCTAGGACCAGACAGATGCACAGCTGAATTCTACCAGAGGTACAAAGAGGAGCTGGTACCAGTCCTTCTGAAACTATTCCAAACAATAGAAAAAGAGGGACTCCTCCCTAACTCATTGTATGAGGCCAGCATCATCCTGATACCAAAACCTGGCAGAGACACAATAAAAAAAGAAAAATTTCACGGCAATATCTCTGATGAACACTGATGTGAAAATCCTCAATAAAATACTGGCAAACCGAATCCAGCAGCACATCAAAAAGCTTATCCACCAAAATCAACTCAGCTTCATCTCTGAGATGCAAGGCTGGTTCAACGTACACAAATCAATAAACGTAAACCATCCCATGAACAGAACCAATGACAAAAACCACATGATTATCTCAATAGATGCAGAAAAGGCCTTTGACAAAATTCAGCAGCCCTTCATGCTAAAAGTTCTCAATAAACTAGGTATTGATGGAACATATCTCAAAATTATAAGAGCTATTTATGACAAACCCACAGCCAACAGGCAAAAGCTGGAAGCATTCCCTTTGAAAACTGCACAAGACAGGGATGCCCTCTCCCACCACTCCTATTCAACATAGTGTTGGAAGTTCTGGCCAGGGCAATCAGGCAAGAGAAAGAAAGAAAGGGTATTCACGCAGGAAGAGAGGAAGTTAAGTTGTCTGTGTTTGCAGATGACATGATTGTATATTTAGAAAACCCCATCATCTCAGCCCAAAATCTTAAGTTGATAAGCAACTTCATCAAAGTCTCAGGATACAAAATCAATGTGCAAAAATCACAAGCATTCCTATACACCAATAGACAAACAGAGCCAAATCATGAATGAACTCCCATTCACAATTGCTTCAAAGAGAATACAATACCTAGGAATACAACTTACGAGGGATGTGAAGGACCTCTTCAAGGAGAACTACAAACCACTACTCAGAAATAAAAGAGGAGACAAACAAATGGAAAAACGTTCCATGCTCATGGATAGGAAGAATCAATTATAGTGAAAATGGCCATACTGCCCAAAGTAATTTATAGATTCAATGCTATCCCCATCAAGCTACCATTGACTTCACAGAATTAGAAAAAACTACTTTAAATTTCATATGGAACCAAAAAGGAGCGCATATAGCCAAGTCAATCCTAAGCAAAAAGAACAAAGCTGGAGGCATCATGCTACCTGACTTCAAACTATACTACAAGGCTACAGTAACTAAAACAGCATGGTACTTGTACCAAAACAAATATATAGACCAATGGAACATACAGAGGCCCCAGAAATAACATCACACATCTACAACCATCTGATCTTTGAAAAACCTGGCAAAAACTAGAAATGGGGAAAGGATTCCCTGTTTAATAAATGGTGTTGGGAAAACTGGCTAGCCATATGCAGAAAACTGAAACTGGACCCCTTCCTTACACTTTATACAAAAAGTAACTCAAGATGGATTAAAGACTTAAACATAAGACCTAAAAACCATAAAAACCCTAGAAGAAAACCTAGGCAATACCATTCAGGACATAGGCATGGGCAAAGACTTCATGACTAAAACACCAAGAGCAATGGCAACAAAAGCCAGAATTGACAAATGGGATCTAATTAAAGAGCTTCTGCACAGCAAAATAAATTATCAGAGTGAACAGGCAACCTACGGAATGGGAGAAAATTTTTGCAATCTATCCATCTGACAAAGGGCTAATATCCAGAATCTAAAAGGAACTTAAACAAATTTACAAGAAAAAAACAACCCCATCAAAAAGTGGGCAAAGGATATGAACAGACACTTCTCAAAAGAAGACATTTATGTGGCCAAAAAACATGAAATAAAAGCTCATCATCACTGGTCATTAGATAAATGCAAATTAAAACCACACCGAGATACCATCTCACGGCCAGTTAGAATGGTGATCATTAAAAAGTCAGGAAACAGTTGCTGGAGAAGATGTGGAGAAATAGGAATGCTTTCACACTGTTGGTGGGAGTGTAAATTAGTTCAACCATTATGGAAGACAGTGTGGCAATTCCTCAAGGATCTAGAACCAGAAATACCATTTGACCCAGCCATCCCATTACTGGGTATATACCCAAAGGATTATAAATCATTCTATAAAGACAAATGCACACGTGTGTTTATTGAGTCACTGTTCACAACAGCAAAGACTTGGAACCAACCCAAATGCCCATCAATGATAGACTGGATAAAGAAAATGTGGCACACATACACCATGGAATACTATGCAGCCATAAAAAAGGATGAGTTCATGTCCTTTGCAGGGACATGGATGAAGCTGGAAACCATCATTCTCAGCAAACTAACACAAGAACAGAAAACCAAACACTGTATGTTCTCACTCATAAGTGGGAGTTGAACAATGAGAACACATGGACACAGGGAGGGAAACATCACACACTGGGGCCAGTTGGGGGGTGGGGGTTTGGGGAGGGATAGCATTAGGAGAAATACCTAAGGTTGATGATGGATTGATGGGTGCAGCAAACCACCATGGCACATGTATACCTATTTAACAAACCTGCACGTTCTGCACATGTATCCCAGAACGCTTTATTTAGTTAATCTATATATTCAATATATATATCTATTATAAATATATATATTTATTATATATATAAAAAGTTAAACTGTTATCTCTCACTATATGTCTTTTGTCAGTAAACGCACCAATGATTATGAATCAATTTTGCCTCTTAGCACATTTAAGTATTATCCCTTTGTCCTAGGACCCACGCTTTTCTAAGATCCTGGAAAACCTAAGACTCCAGAAGCGTGGCACAGGTGGTGTGGACACTGCCGCGGTCGCAGATGTGTACGACATTTCCAACATAGATAGAATTGGTCGATCAGAGGTAACGTCTCTCTCACTTTCCTAACATGAACTAACAAAATCAGCCTAAGAGAGAATAGAGAAAAGCAAACAGCCTAGCCGTTTTCACAAAATTCGAGACCTCCTCTTCGCCCATTGAGTCCTGAGTTATGTTAGCTTTTCATTCTGTAACATTATTCTTCCATGGGAAATAACTGCATAAAGGGAAACATAATGTGAGCTGAGAATTTATAGGCAAGTATAGGAATTCACAGTGGGACTGTTGTCACCGACCTGCCATGAGAGCTATTCCAACAATCCTCAGCGAGCAGGAGCTCTGTTATGCTAAAGGACTGCAGTTTTTTTATTACTGTAAAGTCAGAACATCTATGCTATCCCTCTGAGGGTGGCAAAATAGTGGAATTTTCTCTTGGTTCTGAATTTTCTTTGGTGAAGGCTACAAATGATCATCTTCACTTTGGTGTTCTTAGATACTCGATGGTTTCTAAACTTTTATTTCTTAGGCTAAAGATAGCAACTATGTTATGTGCTAGGTTTAGATAAGTTTGTGCTCATAAAATCCTTAGGATTCTGTGATGAATATGTAGGATGAAAAGGATTCATAGACTTTGTGTGGCCTGAAACAATGAATGAGGCAAAAAGATCACATGTAAGGAACATGCAGCTGAATGCTAAGCAAATACTGATCATGGTAAGTTATACCAGCCTATCTGGATGTGGTCCCATTGGACATATTATGCCCATCATTAATTTTAAAGCCTCTTCTCATAACAAAACCCTTAATAATTCAGTGACTGGTTATTAAATCTGTGGATTATCAAAGTTCTCTCTTCTTCCTTACCAGTTTTTGAATATTTCACTGCCTATCAATATCCCTACCAGTAAGTACACTGAGGAAAAGGAAAGGAAGAAACCCTCAAAACAATTAGATCAGCCAGTGTGCTATCAGCTCTGGTAAAGTACTTGAGGGACATGTAACTATAATACCACAACTTCTGAAATTTACTGAATAATGTGTGGTGTAGTGAATAAAGAAAATCTGGGAGTCTATCCCTGTTGATTCTAATATTAACTAGATATTTATTACTGGAAAACAATGTAGTTAATGCTTTAAAAATGTTAAGTCTAACTATACTAGGCAGTCACTATAAAAGTGAGGAAAATGCCAAAAAATAATTTAAAAACACCATTTATTTAACCCAACAACCCTGATAACCATTGTGAACATTATTCTAAATGGCCCTTCATTCTTTTTAAAAACTACCCAAAAAACTTGAAAAAATTGTTATAATACATGTTTAATATTATAACCAAATACTGGTTATAATTTTTTTCCAATGCATTATATCATGAACATTTTCCCACAATATTAAGTATTCTTCACAAACATGATTTTTAATCACAGTAAAGATAATCCATTACCTATTTAATGTTTTCCTGATTTTATGTTTGACCATCTCTCTACATAATTCTAATCACAACTCTGGTTATTTAGTTAGGATATACTTCTAGAAAAGGAATTCCTGGGTTAAAACCAGAGTTCCCTATTTATAATCAAGTTTTCTACCAGATTTATACCAAGATAGAGTCCTACTGGCAGTGAGTGAGAGACCTATCTCACCATACTCTCACCAACACTGGAAGGGATCAAAAGGATAAATAGAAAATATGTGTTTTAGTTAGTAGTGACTAACATTCTGATTCAACCCTCTCTTGGGGCCTAAGTTTCCTTATGCATATAAAGAGATAGATAGGGAGGCAGCTGGAGTATGTGATGCCTGAGAGCTAACATTCAATGGTCCCTTCCATCCTTGCTGCTCATTCTTTAGTTGTATAATGTATGTCTGGAATTAACTAATTTCTCTCTTAATTTGGGTTTCCTTGGGGGCAGTACAAGTCATTTGCTTAGGAGGTGATCCCAGGGGAAAAAAAAATTAAGTAGATGTGCTCTGGTTTAAGGAAAACAAATATTTGGAAACCAAAGTTCTATACAGAGTTTTTTAAGAACAGGAATTTTAGAAAGTATATCTTAATTTGCAAAACTCATTTCATTAATAAGCTTGCCTAGCATAGTACAAACATGATTTAGTTGCCAAACATTTGACATTAATTTTTCAGGAAGACACCCACTGTATTAATGATGATATCTGAGCTACATTAGCATATCCAGTGCTCAGATAGATTAGTGGCAGGTCAGAATTCAGATCCAGGCCAAAGAATAACACGAGGGTGTCACTGTAGTCTTACTTCTAGACAAACTCTGATATTTTATAGCAGACACTGGTAGGAAAAAATGTTAGAGATGCAAACTAATGGTTTTCACATAGTAAAAAAGCTTTCACATACAAAGTAGTATCCCCATCTTAACTATGGAAAGATTGAGAGAAACCCTTATATCTCTGCCTTCCATTTCTGAGAAGGAAGGAATTGTTGTGAAGTCCATCTAAGTGGCAAGTTCTCATTTATCACAGTGCTGTTCCTGTTAATCAATGCCCTGCAGATGCTTCTATTCAAATTAATCATTCATCTTCTTCACTGTCAAAGGTTGAGCTTGTTCAGATAGTCATCGATGGAGTCAATTACCTGGTGGATTGTGAAAAGAAGTTGGAGAGAGGCCAAGATATTAAGGTGCCACCCCCTCTGCCTCAGTTTGGCAAAAAGTAAACTTTCCCTTTCCCAATTTATAAATAATCTGTCTGCTGGTACGACAGACATAAATCTCTACTCTGAGAGTTTTTATACACTTGGAAAAATATAAAATTGTAGATCCTGCCTATCTTTACAATAAAACTCTCCTTAATATATCTTTGCTTTGTTTCTCTGATTTTTAAAATAATACTAAGAAGGGCAAACACATCCGATTACAAGTAGACAAGAAGCAAAATATTTTAAGACAATAAAACTAATATTTTAAGTTTTGATTTTGCCACAACTTACACACACCTCTAAATAACCCATTAGCTATCCAGATGTTAGTCAACCCTTTTGGAAATATCTTATGGACCCCATTGGAAAGTGAGAAATTAAATTAATATAATAAGCAATTTTCTGGCAAATGGAGCAAGAGGAGACTTACCTATTGAAAGTGTGGAAATAAAGACTATACAAAGAGAGGCTACTTATTTATTCAGACTTTGCTTTCACAAGGGTGTCAGCTATCATCACTTGCATTTGGCAGAGACATGAGAAATCTTCATGGTGAAAGAAAGGGGAGGCTTCAGATATGCTCTGATTGGGGTTGCAGGCATGGGGAAGTTGGAGACAGGCTACCTAGAAGCGGGGTATGCTATGTGATTATTTTGGGAAGCATATTTGGTTTTATCTGATTGGTCCTGAGTTTGAGGCAGGGGCAAAAATTAGGGAAGCCAGCAGTCATTGACCAAGTCCTGACCATCCTTTACTGATTGTTACAGAGGTTAGGGTTTGGTCTCCTAGAACGGTTGCTTTAGAGGTTGTGGGTGAGAGTTCTGTTGTCCTGTGGTCTAGCCATTGTCTCTGTATACTCAGTCTCTCAAAAACAATTCAAAATTTGATGTCTGAAATACTGAAAATGTTTTTAGCATAGTCTGAAAGCAGAATTCTTCCTTCAGCATGCAGATTGTTACCTTGAATCTTGTTATTTTCTGTCTATCCTGTGATGTCTATAGCCTGAAGGAACACAATAGAGTAGGTGGGAGCAATTAATTGTGTAACAAGTTAGGAAACAGCTCCACACAAAAAAGATAAATACTTTTTAATAGAAATGAGATCAAGTTATGCACCCTATAGTAAGTGAGCACTGCAGGTGCTACAGTTAAACTGGTGCTTTAGTGTATGCATTTGTATTCCCTCCTGCTATATTGAAAAAAAGTATAAGAAGATTACAATTGTGCTGGTGCTAATATGCACTACTCTAACTGGTATATGGTAGAAATTCAGAAAGAGGAAACCATACCAATATAATTTGGAACATCATGCTCAGTACCCCAAATGGTAGAGGGTGAAGGGCTGTTCCTCCAACAAACGCCTGGCAAAAGGGAGGATCACAACCTCAGGCAGTGGTTGATACTCTTGGGTTAGAGAAAGGGTAGAGAAGGCTGGTGTCATGATAAGCACACCGACTCTACAGCTGCATTGCTGGGGTACAAGTCCCAATTCTCCAATTATATGACATTGAGTTACTTAATCTCTAGGTTCCTCAGTTTCCTCTAGATAAAATGAAAACAATGATTATACCTATTGCATTGGGTTGTTGGGAGGATGAAATTAATTAGTATATGAAAGTTTACTTACCAGTGTTCAATGCACAGTATTATGTAGGCATTTGCTAAATAAATAAATCAGTATTATAATCATATAATGATCCATCTGTGAATATGCCTTAACAACACTATCTTTTAGGGCAAGCCAACAGGACTCATGGTCCCTCTTCTGAAAGACCTTATGAGCTAAGTGGTAAATGGAAGCAAATTCACATTGCTAAATAAGCATTATGCTCATAAGCATAAGTGGGCTGAACAGACTAGACAGATGTATATACCAACATTTCATTTAAGAAAAGCTGAAAAAAACAAGTATTATCATAAAGTATAGGGCTACTGACATACTAAGTCTTGTAATCTATACCACAACATCTAAAGCAACAGCAACATCAACAAGAATTAACTAAATATGTAAGGGACAGTGAATTCCAGATAACATCTCTCTCCTTTTTGGTGCTGCATTTTTATCTAATTTATTTCTCACCCCTATCCATTAGTTTTAATTCATCAATAACCTCAGTGACGTTCGCTTTCAATACTGGCTTGCTTACAGACTGCTAGTACTTCATCTTTAAATTATCTACATTTCAAACTCTTCATTTGTTGGGCTGTTTGACCTCTGGTATATTACCAGGAATGTACTCATGTGACTTTACTCTTTAGAAACAATATTCATAACCAAAGACAGTCATTTAAACCAAGTCTACAATGGATTCCTCAACACTCGATCTGGCACCTCACTTTTCTTCGAAATCCTCCATATTCATCAACTATCTTTTCCTGATAGGTCTTCAACCAATTTTCAGATTATGTAATAGCACTTAAATAGGATACAAGAATATGCTTTCTCCTCAAGCACTGACAAGCATTTGAGTGATCTCATCCTGTTTGCAGAAGTTGTGATAAGTTTTAATTTTGCCACAAGAAACAAGCACATTGGCAATATTACAGTCAAAATAACACCTTTTATAAGATGAGTCCATTGGAAGAGATAAAGGGACTTTTAATTATTAATTAAAATGCTAATTGAATACCATATCTTCCAGCCAAGGGAGTCATATAGCATGCAAATAGTTCCTGTTTACTAAAGTCTAGTTCAATCAGTATTCATCAAACAGTCATATGAACAGAGCATGGTTCTGAGTCATAGGCCTTTTAAAATTTGCTGCATTCCTTACATCAGAGGCAGATGCAATGAGAAAGCTTTGATGGCTGAAAAATCATTCTGGCTCTCTTCCACAGGGGAAGAGAAACAGGGGTGTTCTCCTTGACTTCTGAGCTTCCACAGTAAGTTGGCTTATGGAGACTGAGCTACTCTCCCCTCAGGCCAAATATCATAAAAGAGCATGTCTGAACGTTCTGAAAGAAGCCAAAATAATTTTTTTTTTTCCTTGAGACAAAGTCTCACTCTGTCACCCAGGCTGATGAAGTGGCACGATCATGGCTCAAACTCCCAAGCTCAAGCGATCCTCCCACCTCAGCCTCCTGAGTAGCTGTGATGACAGGCACACACCACCATGCCCAGCTAATTTTTAATTTTTTTGTGGAGACAGGGTCTTACTATGTTGCCCAGGCTGGTCTTGAACTCTTGGACACAAGCAATCCTCCGGCCTTGGCCTCCCAAAGTGCTGGGATAACAGGCATGAGCCACTGTGCCCAGCCCAAAAAGAAGTTATTTTGAGGTCAAAAAATTTGCATGAAATTCAGGCTCAACCACTAACCAGCTACATGACCAAAGGTAAATTATTTAACTCAATAGTCTTGGTTTCATTTGTAAAATGGAGAGAATTCCTGCCTTATGAAGTTTTTATGATGATTAAATAAGGCAGTGACTTTTTTTTTTTTCCTTTTACTGTAACCTATGGGAAGAAATATATTTTACATTAGAACCCAGTACACAAACAGGCAGGCTGCAGGCTCTGGGAGACAGCCAGAAAACTGTGAGTGCCCAAGGTGTGAAAGTGTGAAAGGGGGATCATTTGCCCCCAAACACACATCTTCATTGGGGAACCTGAAGGTCCAGATCACAGAAGAATTTGACCTTGCCTGGGAGCTGAGACAAATTTAGAGAGCTGAGCCAAATACAGGGGTAGGGGAAGCAACAGGAAGAGCCCTGTGAGTAACTTTCCATCCCCAGGGAAGCCATTTCTGACTCTGTCTCTCAGGTATCCTTGGGGAGGGCTGCCAGTGAAATTGGGGAAAGACCACAAGGAGAAGGAAATTTCCAGCTGAACTTTGTAACAATTTTGACCAAACACAAAGTCTCCTGGATAGAACCTGGGGAGGGGACAAACAGGCAGTGCAGATACAAGCACAGAAGCTGTGGCAGGCAGGGAGGCATGAAATCTGAAAGCCTTGCTTGCTTCCTCAGTCGGGAGGCATGGAGCCTGCGGCAAGTTCTCAGCCCTACTCACCCGCTGCCTGGAAATAAACAGCGCAGCTGGGGATGGGGCAACCGGGCCTCTTGGGTTGCATGGGAGCTGGTAACGCCTGTAACTGCCAGCTTTCCCCCACTTCCCCGGTAACATGCACGACAAAGCAAAGGCAGCCATAATCCTCCTGGAAACATAACTTCATTGGCCTGAGAACCACACCCCCGTACCCCACAGCAGCTGCAGCAACCCCCACCCAAGGAAAGTCTGAGCTCAGACACACCTAACCCTGCCCCCACCTGATGGTCTTTCTCTATCTGCCCTGGTAGCCAAACACAAAGGACATAATCTCTTGGGAGCTCTATGGCCCCGCCCACTGCCTGGTTCTCCCTATACTACTGCAGCTGATGCTCTCTTGAAAGTGCCACCTCCTGGCTAGAGGCCAATCAACACAAAACTAGCACACTAAACAAAAATACAACCAAGGACCCTCACAGAGTCCATTTCACCCCCTGCTACCTCCACCAGAGCAGGTGCTGGTATCCATGGCTGAGAGATCTGAAGACAGATCACATCACAGGACTCTTTGCAGACACTCCCCAGTACCAGGCTAGAGCCTATTAGCTCTGCTGGGTGGCTAGATCCAGAAGAGAAATAACAGTCACTGCAGTTTGCCTCTCAGGAAGCCACATCCCTAAGGGAAGAGGGAGAGCACCACATCAAGGGAGCACCCTGTGGGACAAAAGAATCTGAATAGCAGCCTTCAGCCCCAAATCTTCCCTCTGACATAGTCTACACAAATGAGAAGGAACCAGAAAAACAATCCTGGTAATATGATAAAACAAGGTTCTTAATACTCCCAAAAGATCACACTAGCTCACCAGCAATGAATCCAAACCAAAAAGAAATCTCTGAATTGCCAGAAAAATAATTCAGAAGGTCGATTATTAAGCTACTCAAGGAGACACCAGAGAAAGGTGAATACCAACTTAAAGAAATTTTTAAAATGTTACAGGATATGGATGAGAAAATCTCCAGAGAAGTACCATAAATAAAAAACAATCACAACTCCTGGAAATGAAGGATGCACTTAGAGAAATACAAAATACAATGGAAAGTCTCAGCAATAGAATCAAACAAATAGAAGAAAGAACTTCAGAGCTCAAAGACAAGGCTTTTGAATTAACCCAATCCAACACAGACAAACAAAAGAGAATTTTAAAAAATGAACAAAGCCTCCAAGAAGTTTGGGATTATGTTAAACAACCAAACCTAAGAATACTTGGTATTCCTGAGGAAGAAGATAAATCTAAAAGTTTAGAAAACATATTTGAGGAAATAATCAAGGAAAAACTTCCCCTGCCTTGCTAGAGATCTAGACACCCAAATACAAGAAGCTCAAAGAACACCTGGGAAATTCATTTTAGAAAGATCATTGCCTAGGCACAGAGTCATCAGGTTACCTAAGTCAAGACGAAGGAAGAAATCTTAAGAGCTGTGAGGCAAAAGCATCAGGTAACCTATAAGGGAAAACCTATCAGAGTAGCAGCAAGGGATTGGGGTCCTATCTTTAGCCTCCTTAAACAAAACAATTATCAGCCAAGAATTTTGTATAAGCTTCCTAAATGAAAGACAGTCTTTTTCAAACAAACAAATGCTGAGATAATTTGCCACTACCAACCCAGCACTACAAGAACTGTTAAAAGGAGCTCTAAATCTTGAAGCAAATCCTTGAAATACATCAAAATAGAACCTCCTTAAAGCATAAATTTCACAGGACCTATAAAACAAGATTGCAATGAAAAAAAAAAACAAAAAAACCCAGGTATTCAGGCAACAAATACCACGATGAATAGAATAGTACCTCACATCTCAATACTAACTTTGAATGTAAACGGCCTAAATCCTCCACTTAAAAGATACAGAATGGCAGAATTGTTATGAATTCACCAACCAAGTATCCACTGTCTTCAAGAG
The DNA here is from genome assembly GCF_000001405.40 of Homo sapiens. Lineage (NCBI taxonomy): Eukaryota > Metazoa > Chordata > Mammalia > Primates > Hominidae > Homo > Homo sapiens. The sequence continues at coordinate 81,272,185 of NC_000005.10, forward strand.
ATTCACCTAACACATAAGAACTCACATAAACTTAAGGTAAAGGAGTGGGAAAAACATATTCCACGCAAACATCAAAAGCAAGCAGGAGTAGCTATTCTTATATCAGACAAAACAAATTTTAAAGCAACAGCAGTTAAAAAAGACAAAGAGGGACATTATATAATGATAAAAGGACCTGTCCAATAGGAAAATATCACAATTCTAAACATATTTGCACCTAACACTGGAGCTCCCAAATTTATAAAACAATTACTGCTAGACCTAAGAAATGAGATAGACAGCAACATAATAATAGTGGGAGACTTCAATACTCCACAGACAGCACTAGACAGGTCATCAAGATAGAAAGTCAACAAAGAAACAATGTACTTAAGCTATAAACTACAACAAACGGACTTAACAAGATATTTACAGAACATTCTACCCAACAAATATAGAATATACATTCTATTCATCAGCACATGGGATATTCTCCAAGACAGACCATACGATAGGCCACAAAACAAGTCTCAATAAATTTAAGAAAATCGAAATTATATCAAGTACTCTGTCAGACCATAGTGGAATAAAAGTGGAAATCAACTCCAAAAGAAACCCTCAAAACGATGCAAATACATGGAAATTAAATAATCTGCTCCTGGAATGATTCTTGGATCAACAATGAAATCTGAAATCAAGATGAAAATTGAAAAAATCTTTGAACTGAATAATAGTGACACAATCCATCAAAACCTCTGGGATACAGCAAAGGCAGTGCTAAGAGAAAGTTCATACCATTAAATGTCTACATCGAAAAGTCTGAAAGAGCACAAATGGACAATCTCAGGTCACACCTCAAGGAACTAGAGAAACAAGAACAAACCCAAACCCAGCAGAAGAAAAGAAATAACAGAGATCGACCAGGCACAGTGGCTCACACCTGTAGTCCCAGCACTGTGGGAGGCTGAGGTGGGTGGATCATGAGGTCAGGAGTTCGAGACCAGCCTGGCCAACATGGTTAAACTCCAGCTCTGCTAAAAATACAAAACAAACAAACAAACAAAAAACAAAACTAGCCGGGCATGGTGGCAGGCACCTGTAATCCCAGCTACTGGAGAGGCTGAGGCAGGAGAATCGCTTGAACTTGGGAGGCGGAGGTTGCAGTGAGCCAAGATCACGCCATTGCACTCCAGCCCAGGGGACAGTGCAAGGCTCCATCTCAAAGAAAAAAAGAAAAAGAAAAAAAGAAATAACAAAGGTCAGAGCAGAAGTAAATGATACTGAAACAAACAAAAATACATAAAATAAATGAAACAAAAAGCTGTTTCTTTGAAAAAATAAATAAAATTGATAGACCACTAGCAAGACTAACCAAGAAAAGGGGAGAAGATCCAAATAAGCTCCATTAGAAATGAAACAGGAGATATTACAACCAATACCACAGAAATACAAAAGATCATTCAAGGCTACTAGAACACATTTATGTGCGTAAACTAGAAAACCTAGAGGAGATGGATAAGTTCCTGGAAATATACAACCCTCCTAGATTAAACCCGGAAGAAACACAAACTGAACAGACCAACAAAACCAGGACCAGATGGATTCACAGCTGAATTCTATCAGATATTCAAAGAAGGATTGGTACCAATCCTATTGACACTATTCCAAAAGATAGAGAAAGAGAGAATCCTCCGTAAATCTTTCTGTGAAGCCAGTATCACCCTAATACCAAATCCAGGAAAGGACATAACAAAAAAAGAAAACTACAGATCAATTTCCCTGAGGAACACAGATGCAAAAATCCTCAGCAAAATACTAGCTAACCAAATCCAACAGTATATCAAAAAGATAATCCACCATATCAAGTGGGTTTCATACCAAGGATGCAGGGATGGTTTAACATCCACAAGTCAATAAATGTGATACACCACATAAACAGAATTAAAAACAAAAATCACATGATCATCTCAATAGATGCAGAAAAAGCATTTGACAAAATCCAGCATCCTTCTATGATGAAAGCCCTCAGCAAAATTGGCATAGAAGGGACATACCTTAAGGTAATAAAAGCCATCTACTACAAACCCACAACCAGTATTATACTGAAGTGGAAAATGTTGAAAGCATTCCCCCTGGAACAAGACAAGAATGTCCACTTTCACCACTTCTAGTCAACACAGTACTGAAAGTCCTAGCCAGAGCAATCAGACAAGAGAAAAAATAAAGGGCATCCAAATTGGTAAAGAAGAAGTCACACTGTCGCTGTTTGCTGATGATAAGATCATACACCTAGAAAACCCTAAAGAATCCTCCAAAAAGCTCTGGAACTAAAAAATGAATTCAGCGAAGTTTCAGGATACAAAATTAATGTACACAAATCAGTAGCACTGCTATACTGCAACAGTGACCAAACTGACAATCAATCAAGAACTCAACCACTTTCACAATAGCTACACACACACACACACACACACACACACACACACACACCTCAAACAAAAACCACTGAGGAATATACCTAACCAAGGAGGTAAAAGACCTCTACAAGGAAAACTACAAAACACTACTGAAAAAAATCATAGATGACACACACAAATGGAAACACATCCCATGCTCATGGATGTATAGAATCAACATTGTGAAAATGACCATACGGCCAAAAGCAGTCTACAAATTCAATGCAATTCCCATCAAAATACCACCATCATTCTTCACAGAACTAGAAAAAACAAACTTAAAATACATATGGAACCAAAAAGGAGCCCAAATAGCTAAAGCAAGACTAAGCAAAAAGAACAAATCTGGAGACATCACATTACCTGACTTCAAACTATACTATAAGACCATAGTCACCAAAACAGCATGGTACTGGTATCCTCATCTCTTACCTTATACAAAAATCCACTGAAGGTAGATCAAAGACTTAAATCTAAGACCTGAAACCATAAAAATTCTAGAAGATAACACTGGAAAAAACCCTCCTAGACACTGGCTTAGGCAACTACTTTATGACCAAGAACCCAAAAACAAATGCAATAAAAACAAAGATAAATAGATGGAACTTAAACTAAAAAGCTTCTGCACAGCAAAAGAAACAATCAGCAGAGTAAACAGACCTCCCACACTATGGATTGTGGGAGAAAATCTTCACAATCTATAAATCTGACAAAGGACTAATATCCAAAATCTACAAGGAACTCAAATCATGAAGGAAAAAAAAAAAATCCCATCAAAAAGTGGGCTAAGGACAGGAATGGACAATTCTCAAAAGAAGATATACAAATGACCAACAATCATATGAAAACATGCTCAAAATCACTAATGATCAGTGAACTGCAAATCAAAACCACAATGCAACACCACCTTACTCGTGCAAGAATGGCCATAATCAAAAAATAATAGATGTTGGTGTAGATGTGGTGAAAAGAGAACACTTTTACACTGCTGCTGGGAATGTACACTAGTACAACCACTATGGAAAGCTGTGTGGAGATTCCATAAAGAACTACAAGTAGATCTACCATTTGATCCAGGAATCCCACTACAATCCCCCTATTGGGCATCTACCCAGAGGAAAATAAAACATCATACAAACAAGATACTTGCACATGCATGTTTATAGCAGCACAATTCACAACTGCAAAAATATGGAACCAGCTCAAATGCCCATCAATCAACGAGTGGATAAAGATATACCTTGGAATACTACTCAGTCATAAAAAGGAACAAAATAATGGCATTTGCAGCAACCTGGATAGAACTGAAGACTATTATTCTAAGTGAAGTAATTTAGGAATGGAAAATCAAACATTGTCACTCATAAGTGGGAGCTAAGCTATGAGGACACAAAGGCACAAGAATGATACAGTGGACTTTGGGGACTGGGAGTAAAGGGTGGGAGGGGGGTGAGGGATAAAAGACTATATATTTGGTGCAGTGTACACTACTCGCATGATGGGTGCACCAAAATCTCAGTAATCACCACTAAAGAACTTATCCACGTTAACCAAACACCACCTGTTCCCCCAAAAACCTACTGAAATAATAATTAAGAAGAACAGAAACAAAGCAAATTACAACAAGGAAAAAGAGTAAACAGGCAAACACACGGATCATCCAGACATTAATGAGTCAATAAGAAGATAAGTCAATAAGTCATAACAACTTTATGCCTATACATCTGACAATTTCGATGAAATGAGAAAATTCCTTGAAAAACCATCTGACAAAAACTGAAAGATATGATTTGGATTCGAAGAATTTACCCTATTACTTAAAAAACAAAAAACTTCTCACAAAGAAAACTCTAGTGATCTCTTTCAGTGAAATATTCGAAACATTTAAGAAATAACACACTTAGACAAACCCTTCTAGAGAACAGAAAAAAAAAGTTATATTTACCAACATATGATGGTTTTTTTTTTTCTTTTTCTTTTTTCTTTTTTTTTTGAGATGAGTTCTCGCTCTGTCACCCAGGCTGGAGTGCAGTGGCACAATCTTGGCTCACTGCAACCTCCACCTCCCAGGTTCAAGCAATTCTCATGCCTCAGCCTTCCAAGTAGCTGGGATTACAGATGCGCGCTACCATGCCCAGCTAATTTTTGTATTTTTTACTACAGACAGGGTTGCATCATGTTGGCCAGGCTGGTCTCGAACTCCTGGTCTCAGGTGATCTGCCTGCCTCAGCCTCCCAAAGTGCTGAGATTACAGGCATGTGCCACTGCACCTGGCCTTGCCATTTGTTTTTCTTTTTCTAGACAGGTTCTCTGTTACCCAGGCTAAAGTGCAGTAGCAGGATCATAGCTCACTGCAGCCTCAAAACTCCTAGGCTCAAGTGATCCTCCTGTCTTGGCCTCCCAAAGTGCTGGGATTACAGGCTTTAGACACTATGCCCAGCCCCAATTTATAACTTTGATAAACAAGCCTGACAAGTGTATTACAAGGAATAAAAATGGCAGTACAGACTCCAACATAAATGTAAATGCAACAATTAGAAAAAAAAAAGGTGGGAGGAGCCAAGATGGCCGAATAGGAACAGCTCCGGTCTACAGCTCCCAGCGTGAGCGATGCAGAAGACGGGTGATTTCTGCATTTCCAACTGAGCTTTGAAGAGAGAAGTGGTTCTCCCGGCACACAGCTTGAGATCTGAGAACGGGCAGACCACCTCCTCAAGTGGGTCCCTGACCCCCAAGTAGCCTAACTGGGAGGCACCCCCCAGTAGGGGCGGACTGACACCTCACATGGCCGGGTACTCCTCTGAGACAAAACTTCCAGGGGAACCATCAGGCAGCAGCATCTGAGGTTCAACAATATCCACTGTTCTGCAGCCACCACTGCTGATACCCAGGCAAACAGGGTCTGTAATGGACCTCTAGCAAACTCCAGCAGACCTGCAGCTGAGGGTCCTGTCTGTTAGAAGGAAAACTAACAAACAGAAAGGACATCCACACCAAAAACCCATCTGTACGTCACCATCATCAAAGACCAAAGGTAGATAAAACCACAAAGATGGGGAAAAAACAGAGCAGAAAAACTGGAAACTCTAAAAATCAGAGCGCCTCTCCTCCTCCAAAGGAACAAAGCTCCTCACCAGCAACGGAACGAAGGTGGACGGAGAATGACTTTGATGACTTGAGAGAAGAAGGCTTCAGACGATCAAACTACTCCGAGCTACAGGAGGAAATTCGAACCAATGGCAAAGAAGTTAAAAGCTTTGAAAAAAAATTAGACGAATGGATAACTACAATAACCAATGCAGAGAAGTCCTTAAAGGACCTGATGGAGCTGAAAACCAAGGCACGAGAGCTACGTGACAAATGCAGAAGCCTCAGCAGCCGATGCCATCAACTGGAAGAAAGGGTATCAGTGATGGAAGACGAAATGAATGAAATGAAGCGAGAAGAGAAGTTTAGAGAAAAATAAAATAAAAAGAACCAAACAAAGCCTCCAAGAAACATGGGACTATGTGAAAAGACCAAATCTACGTCTGATTGGTGTACCTGAAAGTGACGGGGAGAATGGAACCAAGTTGGAAAACACTCTTCAGGATATTATCCAGGAGAAATTCCCCAATCTAGCAAGGCAGGCCAACATTCAAATTCAGGAAATACAGAGAATGCCATAAAGATACTCCTTGAGAAGAGCAACTCCAAGACAAATAATTGTCAGATTCACCAAAGTTGAAATGAAGGAAAAAATGTTAAGGGCAGCCAGAGAGAAAGGTCGGGTTACCCACAAAGGGAAGCCCATCAGACTAACAGCTGATCTCTCGGCAGAAACTCTACAAGCCAGAAGAGAGTGGGGACCAATATTCAACATTCTTAAAGAAAAGAATTTTCAGCCCAGAATCACATATCCAGCCAAACTAAGCTTCATAAGTGAAGGAGAAATAAAATACTTTACAGACAAGCAAATGCTGAGAGATTTTGTCACCACCAGGCCTGCCCTAAAAGAGCTCCTGAAGGAAGCACTAAACATGGAAAGGAACAAGTACCAGCCACTGCAAAAACATGCCAAATTGTAAAGACCATCAAGGCTAGGAAGAAACTGCATCAACTAATGAGCAAAATAACCAGCTAACGTCATAATGACAGGATCAAATTCACACATAACAATATTCCCCTTAAATGTAAATGGGCTAAATGCTCCAACTGAAAGACACAGACTGGCAAATTGGATAAAGAGTCAAGACACATCAGTTTGCTGTATTCAGGAGACCCATCTCACGTGCAGAGACACACACTGGCTCAAAATAAAGGGATGGAGGAAGATCTACCAAGCAAATGGAAAACAAAAAAAGGCAGGGGTTGCAATCCTAGTCTCTGATAAAACAGACTTTAAACCAACAAAGATCAAAAGAGACAAAGAAGGCCATTACATAATGGTAAAGGGATCAATTCAACAAGAAGAGCTAACTATCCTAAATATATAGGCACCCAATACAGGAGCACCCAGATTCATAAAGCAAGTCCTTAGTGACCTACAAAGAGACTTAGACTCCCACACCATAATAATGGGAGACTTTAACACCACACTGTCAACGTTAGACAAATCAACGAGACAGAAAGTTAACAAGGATACCCAGGAATTGAACTCAGCTCTGCACCAAGCAGACCTAATAGACATCTACAGAACTCTCCACCCCAAATCAACAGAATATACATTCTTTTCAGCACCACACCACACCTACTCCAAAACTGACCACATAGTTGGAAGTAAAGCACTCCTCAAGCAAATGTAAAAGAACAGAAATTATAACAAGCTGTCTCTCACACCACAGTGCAATCAAACCAGAACTGAGGATTAAGAAACTCACTCAAAACCGCTCAACTACATGGAAAATGAACAACCTGCTCCTGAATGACTACTGGGTACATAATGAAATGAAGGCAGAAATAAAGATGTTCTTTGAAACCAATGAGAACAAAGACAAATGTACCAGAATCTCTGGGACACATTCAAAGCAGTGTGTAGAGGGAAATTTATAGCACTAAATGCCCACAAGAGAAAGCAGGAAAGATCTAAAATTGACACCCTAACATCACAATTAAAAGAACTAGAGAAGCAAGAGCAAACACATTCAAAAGCTACCAGAAGGCAAGAAATAACTAAGATCAGAGCAGAACTGAAGGAAATAGAGACACAAAAAAACCCTTCAAAAAATTAATGAATCCAGAAGCTGGTTTTTTGAAAAGATCAACAAAATTGATAGACCACTAGCAAGACTAATAAAGAAGAAAAGAGAGAAGAATCAAATAGACACAATAAAAAATGATAAAGGGGATATCACCACTGATCCCACAGAAATACAAACTACCATCAGAGAATACTATAAACAACTCTACGCAAATAAACTAGAAAATCTAGAAGAAATGGATAAATTCCTGGACACACACATCCTCCCAAGACTAAATCAGGAAGAAGTTGAATCTCTGAATAGACCAATAACAGGCTCTGAAATTGAGGCAATAATCAATAGCTTATCAACCAAAAAAATTCCAGGACCAGATGGATTCACAGCTGAATTCTACCAGAGGTACAAACAGGAGCTGGTACCATTCCTTCTGAAACTATTCCAATCAATAGAAAAAGAGGGAATCCTCCCTAACTCATTTTATGAGGCCAGCATCATCCTGATACCAAAGCCTGGGAGAGACACAACCAAAAAAGAGAATTTTAGACCAATATCCTTCATGAACATTGATGCAAAAATCCTCAATAAAATACTGGCAAACCGAATCCAGCAGCACATCAAAAAGCTTATCCACCATGATCAAGTGGGCTTCATCCCTGGGATGCAAGGCTGGTTCAACATACGCAAATCAATAAATGTAATCCAACATATAAACAGAACCAAAGACAAAAACCACATGATTATCTCAACAGATGCAGAAAAGGCCTTTGACAAAATTCAACAGCCCTTCATGCTAAAAACTCTCAATAAATTAGGTATTGATGGGACACATCTCAAAATAATAAGAGCTATCTATGACAAACCCACAGCCAATATCATACTGAATGGGCAAAAACTGGAAGCATTCCCTTTGAAAACTGGCACAAGACAGGGATGCCCTCTCTCACCACTCCTATTCAACATAGTGTTGGAAGTTCCGGCCAGGGCAATCAGGCAGGAGAAGGAAATAAAGGGTATTCAATTAGGAAAAGAGGAAGTCAAATTGTCCCTGTTTGCAGATGACATGATTGTATATCTAGAAAACCCCATCGTCTCAGCCCAAAATCTCCTCAAGCTGATAAGCAACTTCAGCAAAGTCTCAGGATACAAAATCACTGAACAAAAATCACAAGCATTCTTATACACCAATAACAGACAAACAGAGAGCCAAATCATGAGTGAACTCCCATTCACAATTGCTTCGAAGAGAATAAAATACCTAGGAATCCAACTTACAAGGGATGTGAAGGACCTCTTCAAGGAGAACTACGAACCACTGCTCAATGAAATAAAAGAGGATACAAACAAATGGAAGAACATTCCATGCTCATGGGTAGGAAGAATCAATATCGTGAAAATGGCCATACTGCCCAAGGTAATTTATACATTCAATGCCATCCCCATCAAGCTACCAATGACTTTCTTCACAGAATTGGAAAAAACTACTTTAAAGTTCATAAGGAACCAAAAAAGAGCCCACGTCGCCAAGTCAATCCTAAGCCAAAAGAACAAAGCTGGAAGCATCACGCTACCTGACTTCAAACTATACTACAAGGCTACAGTAACCAAAACAGTGTGGTACTCATACCAAAACAGAGATATAGACCAATGGAACAGAAACAGAGCCCTCAGAAATAATGGCACATATCTACAACTATCTGATCTTTGACAAACCTGACAAAAACAAGCAATGGGGAAAGGATTCCCTATTTAATAAATGGTGCTGGGAAAACTGGCTAGCCATATGTAGAAAGCTAAAACTGGATCCCTTCCTTACACCTTATACAAAAATTAATTCAAGATGGATTAAAGACTTACATGTTAGACTTAAAACCATAAAAACCCTAGAAGAAAACCTAGGCAATACCACTGAGGTCATAGACATGGGCAAGGACTTCATGTCTAAAACACCAAAAGCAATGGCAACAAAAGCCAAAATTGACAAATGGGATCTCATTAAACTAAAGAACTTCTGCACAGCAAAAGAAACTACCATCAGAGCAAACAGGCAACCTACAGAATGGGAGAAAATTTTTGCAACCTACTCATCTGACAAAGGGCTAATATCCAGAATCTACAATGAACTCAAACAAATTTACAAGAAAAAACCAAACAACCCCATCAAAAAGTGGACAAAGGATATGAACAGACACTTCTCAAAAGAAGACATTTATGCAGCCAAAAGACACATGAAAAAATGCTCATCATCACTGGCCATCAGATAAATGCAAATCAAAACCACAATGAGATACCATCTCACACCAGTTAGAATGGCGATCATTAAAAAGTCAGGAAACAGGTGCTGGAGAGGATGTGGAGAAATAGGAACACTTTTACACTGTTGGTGGGACCGTAAACTAGTTCAACCATTGTGGAAGTCAGTGTGGCAATTCCTCAGGGATCTAGAACTAGAAATACCATTTGACCCAGCCATCCCATTACTGGGTATATACCCAAAGGATTATAAATCATGCTGCTATAAAGACACATGCACACGTATGTTTATTGCGGCACTATTCACAATAGCAAAGACTTGGAACCAACCCAAATGTCCATCAATGATAGACTGGATTAAGAAAATGTGGCATATATACACCATGGAATACTATGCAGCCATAAAAAATGATGAGTTCATGTCCTTTGTAGGGACATGGATGAAACTGGAAACCATCATTCTCAGCAAACTATCGCAAGGACAAAAAACCAAACACCGCATGTTCTCACTCATAGGTGGGAATTGAACAATGAGAACACATGGACACAGAAAGGGGAACATCACACACCGGGGACTGTTGTGGGGTGGCGGGAGGGGGGAGGGATAGCATTAGGAGATATACCTAATGCTAAATGACGAGTTAATGGGTGCAGCACACCAACATGGCACATGTATACATATGTAACAAACCTAAACGTTGTGCACATGTACCCTAAAATTTAAAGTATAATAAGAAAATTTAAAAAAAAAACCAGTACACACATATATGAATATCCAAGTGAATGTATGTAAAATCCAAATAAAGATTTCATGTAACAGAAGTTACCCTTACAATCTGAGATGCACTCTGATACTTTATTCTATACTGTCTTAAACTCTTCCAGTTTTAAAAAATTCTGATTGTAATACATTAAATGGATTTCACAAGACATTAAGGGGATAAAATTCAATTTCAAAAACATAGACTTAATTACCTGGCTCAATAATCATTAAATTCCCTCCTTCATTCTTTTTATTCTTCATTCAACTCTAAATACTTTGTTCCATTTTATTCTCCATGTTTTTTGATGAAAAGTTTATGGTTATGCAAATAGTTGTTTTTCTATATGTAATGTGTCATTTTTCTGACGGCTTATAAGATTTTCAGCAGTTAATGTGCCTAGGTGATTTTCTACATATTTATACTTGAGTTTCACTGGGCTTCTTATGTTGATTTATATCTTTTACAAAGTTTGGAAAGTTTTTGGCTATCATTTCTTCAAATGCTTTTTTCGGCCTCATTCTCTCTTTTAGGACTCATAATTAGACATATACTGGACCTACTGCTATTGTTCCACAGTACTCTGAGTGTCCATTTTAAAAATAATTTCCCCCCTTTTCTGTTTATTCAATCATTTCCTTTTCTTCAGAATGAATAATTTCTATTGTTCTATCTTTAAGTTTCTAAATTCTTACCTCTCTATTCTACCTCTGTTCTCTCTATTCTGCTACTGAGCTCAACCAGTGATCTTTTATCATCACAGATATTGTAACTTTTACTTCTCAAATTTTTTTTTTTTTACATATTCTATTTCTCTGCTGAGATATTCCATCTTTTCATTCATTGTAAACATCTTTGCCTTTATTCATTGAGCACAGTTAGAATAGCTGGTATAAAGTCCTTGTGTTATATCTTTTGGTCACCTTGTTCATCTCTGGGTAAACCTGTTGGCTGTCTTTTTCTTGTCATATTTTCCTAGTTCATTCTCTGTCAAGTAATTTTGGATTGTATCCTGGACATTGAGAAAGTTATATTTAGTATAACCTGAGTTCTACCGTATTGCTTTAAAAATGACTGAGGTATTTGTTTTAGCAGGCAATTACCTTGATTAGACTCAAACTGTGGTCTCACCTGCAATGACTGCAAGTTCAATATACAGTTAAGTTACTTAAGCCTCAGTGGTTGTTTTGAAGCTGCTTCATTCATGTGTAGTTCAGGGGTCAAGTAAAGATTTGAGCAGAGTTCATCCAGAGAACCTGGACCTCCACTTCTCTGGGTCTCTCCTCTAGAATACCCCCTTCTGGTGGCTATGCTTATTCCAGGCTCCATTTCCTGGTTTACTAGGCCAGAAAAGAGCTTGGTTCTCTACTGGAATCTTAGCCACTCCGTGCTGTACAGTATCTATGGCACATGCAGGCTAATGTTGCAAAATATGAAATGTACTTTGTGCAATCTCAACCTCTAAGATTTGAATACTCTCCAAAAGCTACCTGCTTTTTTCCAATCTCCAGAGTTCTTGTATAATTTTAAAAATTTAATCAGAGTTTATAGTTCTTATCTGTAGGAGAATGAGCCTATTGGGAGCATACTGCACCATAGAAGTAGACCTTTTTCTCCTTCCAAGACTTTTAAAGAAAACTGATTCTATTTTAATAGGAAAGGGGAGGGAAAAATTAATCTTCTGACAAAACACTTTAAAGTCATCAATAAATTAATTCCAAATGAAGGAAGAATACAATTCTTTTCATTGGGATAAGTGCAATAAATTACAATATCTGTGGAAAGCCAACTATATCCACAATTACATCAAATATAGTTGGCTGGGCACAATGGCAGATGCTTGTAATCCCAGCACTTTGGGAGACCGAGGTGGGCAGATTGCTTGAGGTCTGGAGTTTGAGACCAGCCTGGTCAACATGGTCAAACCCCATCTGTACCAAAAATACAAAAATTAGCTGGGCATGGTGGTGCACGCCTCTAATTTCAGCTACTCAGGAGGCTGAGGCATGAGAATTCCTTGAACCTGGGAGGCAGAGATTGCAGTGAGCCAAGATTGTGCCACTGCACTCCAGCCTGGGCAACAGGGCGAGACTCCGTCTCAAAAAAAAAAAAAAAAAAAAAAAAAAGGACAAACTACAGCTATGGGCAAAATCTGACTCATCATAGCCACACATTCATATACATATTGTCTGTGGCTGCTTTTGTACTACAATGGCAGATCTGAGTAATTGCAACAAAGACCATATCGTCCACAAAACTCAAAATATGTAGTATGTGGCTCTTTACAGAAAAAAAAAAAAAAATTGTGTCAATCCCTGGTCCAAACACTCCACTTAAAAGGCAGAGACCATTAGGGTGCGGAAAAAATGTTAAAAACCAATGATATCCTGTCTACAGGAAACTCACTTTAAATATAAAGACACAAAAAGTAAAAGGATGAAAAAAGACATACCATGAAAATACCAATCAAAAGAAAGAGTGTTCTATTTTATTACTAAAGTATACTCCAGAAAAAAAGCATAAAGGGGGGCATTTCATAATTATGCACATGTCAAATTCATTAAGACTTAAACATTCTAAATATGTGCTCATCTAATAACAAGTTTCAAAATATATGATGCCAAAACTAACAGAACTGTAAGAGGAAATAGACAAATATGCAATATTTCTCTTTTAGAATTCCATAGAACAAGTAGACAAAGTATCAAGAAAAATCCAGGAGACTTAAACAAGAATATCAGCTGTGTTTGGAGCTGCCAAGAAGCAGGTACCAAGACAGGATTTAACACGAAAGTGATTTTTGTGGGAAAGGATAAGAAGAGGTAGATACTTTCAAATCAGTATGCTAGACTGAGAGGGAAGGCGGCAAGAAGGGGTAGGAAAAGTCCTAGACCAAGAAAGGTTCAACTAGGCCAATGGATTCAGCCGTCTTCACACCTGCTGTAAGAGTTTTGCATCTCCTAAGGCAAGAACGGACTTTACTCAGTTATGAGCTGAACGTAGACTACAGGAAGCCTGGCCTCAGCATCAACACAATGGTTCATCCAGAGGGGCAGTAACTGAGGTTATTTGTCAATTATGGTCCCTGCAAGAGGGAATTTCAGTTATATATTTTCATGGCCACCACAGTCCACTGTGCATCATACAAATTTACTTCAGGGAAAAGCTCTTCCATGACTTCCATGGGTCTCACATCCTAAGGAACATCTTAGAAGAGGGAGGTTAGTGGTATGAACTAAAGCCCCATTGCTGCTACTCATCTTCAACCTCCTCCATTATCTATTCTAAATTTCCCTCACTTTCATCTATCACCTTGATAGACTTTGGTGGCTTACTTCATTGTGTAAACCAAACATTCAGCCCTGAGCCTGCAATTACATGCTGTCAGGCCAGGGTTGTATCACATCTCTGTCGAGTTACAACAGGACAAATTAACAGTAAGCACCAGGAGGCAGCCAAGTGTCTTATTCCCCACTGCTCCCTGCTCTATGTAAAAGCAGCCTTTTTTTTTTTTTTTTTTTTTTTGGTTTTTTGTTTTGTTTTGTTTTTGAGACAAGGTCTCACTCTGTTGCCCAGGCTGGAATGTAGTGGCACAATCATAGCTCAATCTCCTGGGCTCCAGCAATCCTCCCACCTCAGCCACCCGAGTGGCTGGGACTTCAGGTATGTGCCACCATGCTTGGCTAATTTTTAACTTTTTTTTTTTTTTTGATAGAGATGAAGTCTCACTACATTGCCTAGGCTGGTCTTAAACTCTGACCTTAAGTGATCCTCCCGCCTCAGCCTCCCAAAATGCTAGGTTTATAGGCATAAGCCACCACACCTGGCCCGCTCTACCTTTCTGCTCCCAAAATTGACTCCCCCTTTCACAACAGCAACTCCTCTTCTCACCTGTAGTTCCAAGAGAAAAAACATTTCTTTATTCCTTTTGATTGTCAAAAACTATTTCATACCAACTTTTTGAAATTTAAAATTGAATCAAGCATAATTTTTAAGTGCAAATCAAGGATATATAGCTGTTACTCAATTTTAATGGGGAAAAGCTTTGTTATGATAGAATATCTAATGTATTTGATAGTCATTCATTTCTTATCTATGCAGGGAACTATCCAGGAGCTTAAAATTTTATTGGGAGACAGAATACATGAGGGGGCCTCAAAACCCTCAAAAAAAAAGTTAAGGTCAGTTAATAAGATTTCCATCTAAAAATTAAACTAGAAAAATCTGCACATAGTGGAGATTAGCCATCTGTAAAATGAAACCAAAGAACCATCCAGGAGGCAAGATTGGAATTGGAAGATTCAGAAAAGGATGCTGAACCAACTTCATTTTACCCTTTCTATAAAAAACACTTTTTTTTTTTTAACAGAGAAGGCAAATGGTTATCATGGAACCTAAAAAAGGGGAATTAAGAGATCATTACTGGGCCAGGAGCGGTGGCTCATGCCTGTAATCCTAGCACTTTGGGAGGCCGAGGCAGGTGGATCAACCTGAGGTCAGGAGTTTGAGATGAGCATGGCCAACATGGTGAAACCTCATCTCTACTAAAAATACAAGAAATTATCCGGGTGTGGTGGCAGATGCTTGTAATCCCAGCTACTCGGGAGGCTGAGGCATGAGAATCACTTGAACCCAGGAGGCAGAGGTTGCAGTGAGCCGAGATCGCACCACTGCACTCCAGCCTGGACAACAAGAGTGAAACTTCATGTTAAAAAAAAAAAAAAAAGAGCGAGATCGTAACTGATGAATAAACCTTCAGCACCATCAGAGAAAGCTCTATTCACCCTAGGGGTTAGACTGTTTGACCATGTTCAACCAATCACTTATCTGAGTGCTGTGAAAACACCCACACCAGAAATGAAGGATTAAAGAGGTATACCATAATTAATCATGTATTCATTCTGCAAACATAATCTATATCTGAAAATGAGTAAACCTAGTTTGAGGTATGTAATTATGAAACTGTAAAAGCAGGATTTAAGAAGAGTTTTTTAATAGCTTCATGAAACTTACGAGTTATAGTGGAAATCCAATGAACTGATATTATCATTTACTTTTTACTATATACATCAGATTCCCTATTCTCCAAAAGTGTATTTGACTCATAAGCTGTATCTATTTTCAACCTGAATGCCAAATTTTGGCATCATCACAAAATCTTTGTTTGCATAAAACTTATTTTTGGCATAAAAGCAATTATGAAAATAGAAAACTCTTTTAAATAATGTAGATGAGGCCAAAAAGGAAGACACTGGGCTCTTGTAAAAACTGTACTGCTGAAGACACGTGCAAACATGCATGAAACAGATGTAAATATAGACACAATTTGTGAACACTGCAGACAGGGCCTGAATTACTTGGAACTCATCAGGACTGATGAGGCACTAACTGCATTCAGGTGCACTTCAATCAGAACTAGATTATACCATTAAAATTAACGAGCCATAAGAAGACTTTAATGAATAAAAGAGGACTGGTATTAAAATCTTTTACACATTTTACTCATTTGGCAACAATGTGGTTAACAGTGCAGTCACATCTCTTTGTGGTAGACAGGCAAAAAATTTAATTATTCAAGTTTTTTTTTTTTTTAAGATGGAGTCTCGCTCTGTCGCCCAGGCTGGAGTGCAGTGGCACGATCTCAGCTCACTGCAACCTCTGCCTCCCATGTTCAAGCAGTTCTCTTGCCTCAGCCTCCCGAGTAGCTGGGATTACAAGGGCCTGCCACCACGCCTGGCTAATTTTTGTATTTTTGGTAGAGACGGGGTTTCACCATGTTGGCCAGGCTGGTCTCAAACTCCTAACCTCAAGTGATCCGCCCACCTCAGCCTCCCAAACTGCTGGGATTACAAGCGTGAGCCACCGCGCCCAGCCTTAAGATGTTTTTTAAGTAACACACTCTCTGGCACATCGCTTCGATATTCACTTAAATGGCCTATTGGAGGCCGAGGAGGGCGGATCACGAGGTCAGGAGATTGCGACCATCCTGGCTAACATGGTGAAACCCCGTCTCTACAAAAAAAATACAAAAAAAATTAGCTGGGCGTGGTGGCGGGCGCCCGTAGTCCCAGCTACTCCGGAGGCTGAGGCAGGGGAATGGCGTGAACCCAGGAGGCGGAGCTTGCAGTGAGCAGAGATCGAGCCACTGCTTTCCAGCCTGGGCGACTGAGGGAGACTCTGTCTCAAAAAAAAAAAAAAAAAAAAAAAAGAGATCAACTTATCTGTATCTGTCTTTTGCCATCCTGTTATTTCTTAAAATAGAAACAAAACATCTTTCTCTGATCCCAAATTTTCTCATTATACTGCTGAGATGTTGTTTTTTCCCTCTTTTAAGTTGTTAGTGCTTTTCTAAGCCAATAAGGCCCCAATTAAAAAAAAAAAAACTCTTTTCTAGGAATATATTCCCCATTCCATGACAGGGATGGAAAGTCCAACCATCTTCAAATAGGGCTACTATAACATTCTGCAATATATAAAGTTGGCAAGGAAAGATGAATATTTGTCAGGTATCAATGTGTACTTTATTATTAGCCCAGCAAGTAATAGAAATATTAGACAATCTCAGGAAGATAACATGGCCATATCTCTCAGCACAGGGAAGGAAACAGACATTTAAAATTCTGGATCCACAAAACCTCACATATCAATATTAATCTTGAATGTAAATGATCTAAATGCCCCCACTTAAAAGGCGCAGAGTGGCAAGTTGGATTAGAAAAGCAAGACCTATCCATCTGCTGTCTTCAAGAGACCAATCTCACACATAAGGACACCCACAGACTCAGTAAAAGGTTGGAAAAAGATCTATCATGCAATGGAAAACAAAAGAGCAGGGGTCGCTATTTTTATATCAGCTAAAACAGACTAAACCAATAACAGCAAAAAAAAAAAAAAGGACAAAGAAGGGCATTATATAATGATAAAGGGTTCAATTCAACAAGAAGATGTAACTATCCTAAATATATATATGCACACAACACTGGGGCAACAAGATTCATAAAACAAGTACTTCTACATCTACAAAAAGACTTAAGACAGCCACCCAGTAATAGTGGAAGACTCCAACACCACACTGACAACATTAGAAAGATCATCAAGGTAGAAAACTAACAAAGAAACTCTAAACTGACATTTGACATTTGACCAACTGGATCTAATAGACATCTATAAAATACTTCCACCTATCAACCACAGAATATACATTCTTATTTTATGTTCTGGGGTACATATGCAGGATGTGCAGGTTTGTTACCTAGGTAAATGTGTGCCATGGTGGTTTGCTGCACCTGTCAACCCATCACCTAAGTATTAAGCTCAGCATGCATTAGCTATTTTTCCTGATGCTCTCCCTCCCCTAGCCCCTGACCCTGCCTACAGGCCCCAGTGTGTGCTGTTCCCCTCCCTGTGTCCATGTGTTCTCATTGTTCAACTCTCACTTATAAGTGAGAATATGCAGTATTTGGTTTTGTGTTCCTGCTTTAGTTTGCCACAAGACACATTCTTATATGCACATGGGAACATACTCCAAGATCAACCACATCCTGGGCATAAACCAAGTCTTAATAAACTAAAAAAAAAATCAAAATCATACCAACCATACTCTCAAAGTATAGTGGGATAAAAACAGAAATAAATGCCAAGAAGATCGCTCAAAACCACACAATTACATGGAAATTAAACAACTTAGTCCCAGAGGACTTTTGGGTAAACAAGAAAATTAAGGCAGAAATCAAAAAATTCTTTGAAAGAAATGAAAATAGACAACATACCAAAATATCTAAGATACAGCAAAAACTGTACTTGAAATGTTAGAAAAATCTCAAATTAATGACCTAACATCAGACAGAGGAACTAGAAAAATAAGAACCCCAAAGCTAGCAGAAGAAAAGAAATTTTAGTTATTTCAGAGCAGAACCAAACAAAATTCAGACCCAAAAGTCCATACAAAGAATCAACAAAACCAAAAATTGGTTTTCTGAAGGATAAAAAAGATCACAGACCACTACCTAGATTAACAAAGAAAAAAGAGAGATGATCCAAATAAGCACAGTTAGATATGACAAAGGTGGCCAGGCATGGTGGCTCATGCCTGTAATCCTAGCACTTTAGGAGGACAAGGTGGGTGGATCACTTGAGCCCAGGAGTTCAAGACCACCTGGGTAACATGATGAAACCCTGTCTCTACAAAAGTTAGCTGGGCATGGTGGCATGCACCTGTAGTCCCAGCTACTTGGGAGGCTGAAGTGGGAGGATTACCTGAGCCTAGGGAGGTCAAGACCTCAGTGAGCCAATGATCATGGCACTGCATTCCAGCCTGGGCAAAAGGGTAAGACCCTGTCTCTAAATAAATGACAAAGGTGATATTACCACCAATCCCACAGAAATACAAAAGATACTGAGAGACTATTATGAACACCTCTATGCACACAAACTAGAAAATCAAGAGGAAATGGACACATTCCTGGAAACACACAATCTCCTAAGATTGGATCAGGGAGAAACTGAAATCCTGAATAGACCGGTATCAAGTTCTGAAATTGAAACCAGTGATAAAAAAAATCTATAAGCCAATAAAAGCCCCAGACCAGATGGATCCACAGCAGAATTCTAACAGACATACAAAGAAGAGCTGGTACCAATTCTACTGAAACTATTAAAAAAAAAATCAGGGAAGAACTCCTTCCTAAATTATTCTATGAAGCCAGCATCACCCTGACACCAAAACCTGGCAAAGACACAACAAAAGAAAAAGAAAACTATATGTCAATATCCCTGATGAACACAGATGCAAAGATCCTGAACAAAAATACTAGCAAACTGAATACAACAGCACATCAAAAAGTTAATTTACTACGATCAAGTAGGCTTCATTCCCAGAAAGCACAGTTAGCTCAACATGTGCAAATCAATAAATGTGATTCAGCACATAAACAGAAGTAAAACAAAAACAATATAATCATCTCGAAAGACACACAAAAAAGCTTTTGATAAAATCTAATATCCCTTCATGATAAAAATCCTCAAGAAACTATGCATCAAGGTGTTGTGGCTCCTTCACTCCCATAGTTCAGTGAGTTCCAAGTTCTTGTCCCATGACCAAGAGGAATGAGGTTCACGGACACCAGAGGGTAAGTAAGGCATAGATTTTTATTAAGTGACAGGAAAAGCTCTCAGCAGCAACAGGTGACCTGAAAGTGGGTTGATGCCTATGGGCTTGTCCCCAGAGGTTTCTGTCCCCTCTTTCCAGGGGCGTTTTTCTCATTTGCATCTTGCACAACCCTCTATGTCCTGGTTGCTTCCTGGTCCCACTTCTTTCTGCACAGGTGTGTTCTTCTCCAAAGCTACTCCATCTTAGTTATTACCCATAAACATCACAGAAAAGCCCACATGGCAGGGGGGTGAAACTACCATGCAGATGTCATGTTAATGACTTATATATAATGAGCTGGGTCAAGTTAAGGATGTTACGTTTATTTACTGCACCTGTGCCTAAGTTGGGACACTCCCTTCTTGGGCAAACATCCTGGTATAAGAGGAAGCTCTTCACCACACTTCCACCTGCTTGCTACATAACACGGGCAGTGCAGTTGTGGTCCCATAAGTGTTGTTCTTCTCCAAAGACCTTCCCTAACTGCCTAGCCAGCCCCTAACTGCTCCTCTCTCAAAAGGAACATATTCCAAATAATAAGAGCCATCTATGACAAACCCACAGCTAACATCATACTGAACAAGCAAAAACTGGAGAAGTTCCCTTGAGAACTGGAATAAGACAAGAATGCCTTCTCTTACCACTCATATTCACCATAGTACTAGAAGTGCTAGCCAGAGCAATCAGGCAAGAGAAAGAAATAAAAGGCATCCAAATAGGCAAAGAAGAAGTGAAACTATCTGTCTTCATGGATGATATGATTCTATACCTTAAAAACCCTAAAGCTGGCTGGGTGTGGTGGCTCATGCCTGTAATCCCAGCACTTTGGGAGGCCAAGGCGGGAGGATCATGAGCTCAGGAGTTCAAGACCAGCCTGACCAACATGGTGAAACCTGGTCTCCACTAAAAATACAAAAAAAAATTAGCCAGGCGTGGTGGCCCGTGCCTGTAATCCCAGCTACTCAGGAGGCTGAGGCAGGAGAATCACTTGAAGCCGGGAGATGGAGGTTGCACTGAGCCAAGATTGCGCCATTGCACTCCAGTCTGGGTGACAGAGCGAGACTCCATCCAAAAACAAAAAAAAACAAAAAAACAAAAAACAAAAAACAAAGCTGTCATCAAAAACCTCCTAGAACTGATAAACAACTTCAGTAAAGTTTGAGGATACAAAATCAATCTATAAAAACAGTAGCATTTCTATATTCCAATAACATTCAAGTTGAAAGCCAACTCGAGAATGCAATCCCACGTACAACACATACACACACACACACAGAGAGAGAGAGAGACAGAGAGAGAGAGAGAAGTACCTAAGAACATATCTAACCAAGGAGGTGAAAGGCCACTACAAGGAGAACTACAAACACAGATGATACAAACAGATGGAAAAACATTCCATGCTCAGATTGGAAGAATCAATATCATTAAAGTAGCCATACTGCCCAAAGCAATCTACAGATTCAATGCTATTCTTACCAAATTACCAATGTCATTTTTCACAGAACTAGAAAAAAGCTATTCTGAAATTTACATGGAACCAAAAAAGAGCAGGAACAGCCAAAACAATCCTAAGCAAAGGGAACAAAGTTGGAGGTATCATGTTACCTGACTTGAAACTATCCTAATAAGTTACAGTAATCCAAACAGCATGGAACTGGTACAAAAAGAGACAGAGACCAATGGGAATAGAATAGAAAAACCAGATATAAAGCTGCACAACCATCTTATATTCAAGAAAATCAACAACAACAAAAAAGCAATGGGGAAAGGACTCCCTATTCAATAGTGTTGGGATGGCTAGCTAGCAACATGTGGAAGAATGAAACTGGATCATACCTTTCAAAAATTAACAATAGATAGATTAAAGATTTAAATGTAAGACCTCAAACTATAAGAATTATAGAAGAAAATCTAGGAAACACCATTCTGGACACTGGCCTTGGAAAAGAATATATGCTAAGTTCTCGAAAACAACTGTAACAAAAACAAAAATTGGTTTAAGTGGGACGATCTAATTAAACTAAAGAGCTTCTGCACAGCAAAAGAAACTATCAACACAGTAAACAGACAACCTACAGAATGGGAGAAAATATTCACAAACTATGCATCCAACAAAGGTCTAATATCCAGAATCTATAAAGAATGTAAACAATTGAACAAGCACAAAACCCCTTTAAAAAAACAGGCAAAAGACATGAACAGGCACTTCTCAAAAGAAGATATACACGTGGCCAACACATATGAAGAAATACTCATCATCACTATCAGCAGAGAAATGCAAATTAAAACCACAATGAGATACCATCTCCCACCAGTCAGAACGGTGATTAAAAAGTCAAAAAACAACAGGCTGGGCACGGTGGCTCATGCCTGTAATCCCAGTACTTTGAGAGGCTGAGGTGGGTGGATCACGAGGTCAAGAGATTGAGACCATCATGGCCAACACGGTGAAACCCTGTCTCTACCAAAAACACAAAAATTAGCCGGGTATGGTGGCGCATGCCTATAGTCCCAGCTACTCAAGAGGCTGAGGCAGGAGAATCACTTGAACCCAGGAGGGGGAGGTTGCAGTGAGCCAAGATCGTGCCACTGCACTCCAGCCTGGCGACCGAGTGAGACTCCGTCTCAAAAAAAAGACCAAAAAAAAAAAAGTCAAAAACAACAGATGCTAGTGAGGCTGCAGAGAAAAGGGAATGTTAATACACTGTTGGTGTGAATGTAAATTAGACCAGCCACTGTGGAAAGCAATTTGGAGATTTCTCAAAGAACTGAGAACTACCACTTGATCCAGCAGTCCTGGGTCTCAAAGGAATGTAAATCGTTCTGTTATAAAGACACATGCACTCATATGTTCACTGCAGCACTATTCACAATAGCAAAGGCACAGAATCAACCTAGGTGCCCATGAATGGTGGACTGGATAAAGTAAATATGTACATATACACCATGGAATACTATGCAGCCATAAAAAGAAATCATGTCCTTTGCAGCAACATGGATGAAGCTAGAGGCCATTATGTTAAGTGACTTAACACAGGAACAGAAAACCAAATACCATATGTTCTTGCTTATAAGTAGGAGCTGAACACTGGGTATTCATGGACATAAAGATGGCAACAACAGTCACTGGGGACTGCTAGAGGGAGGAGAACAAGGGTTGAAAAACTATTAGGTATTATGTTCAGTACTTGGGTGATGGGATCAATCATAACCCAAGCCTCAGCATCATGCAATATACCCATGTAACAAACATGCACATTCTTAAGAATGCTGTGTTTCACAAATTGCACATTCTAAATTCAAATTGTTTGCAGATTTTGTGATAAGGGAAAGTATACATAGTTAACACCTTGATTCTTACATTTAAGAGTAACTTAAGTAGTAAATAAAGGAGAAAGATGTAAAACTGAGCTTCAAGAGAATCAAGTAAATACTACTCATAAAATGGTTAAACACAAGTTTTTAAAAAATTTTTTTTATATTGTGGTAAACATACGTAACAAAATTTACTACTAGTCATTTTAAGTGTACAGTTCTGTGGCATTAAGCATATCCACAATGCTGCATAACCATCACTACCATTCTAAATTTCAGTTTTAAAAACCAACATCCAATACAGGAAAAGTGGCAACACATGTAGATTGAATACTGTACCTTAGGATTAGGTCTTAAAAGTCCTTCTTAGTATTTAAAAGAAGAATTTTTAAAAATTTTATATATATATAATATATATAAAATAGATATATCATATATGATATCTCTCTATATCATTAGATACGTCTATATATGTCTATATATCATATATAATAGATATATCTATTATATATCTATCATATGATATATATCATATATCATATGATAGATATATCTATTACATATTATAGATATATCTATTATATATCTATATCTATTATATATTATATTTAATAGATATATCTACATATAATATATATTATATATTATATAATAGATATATCTACATATATTATATATTATATATAATAGATATATCTACATATTATATATAATAGATATATCTACATATAATATATATTATATATAATAGATATATCTACATATTATATATTATACATTATATATAATAGATATATATCTATTATATATTAGATATATATTATATATCTAATATATATTTAATTATGTATAGTATATATAAGATAATAGATATATCTATAATATATAGTATATATCTTATATATACTATATATAATAGATTAATATATCTATATTATTATATATAATATTGGTTATATATAATAGATATATAATTATATGTATCTATTATATATATATATCTCTATCTGGTTTGCTGTACTTCTCCAAGACATACTGTTTAGAGATCTAAAAGCCACATACACTCAGTGTAGCTAATCTTCCTCTCTGAAAACTTGCTGGTGACTTCCATATAAAGCTTCCCTGGGCAAAACTACACAAGTGCCTTCCTTCATTTGCTCCTTGAGGAATTTAAAATCTGTTTTTTTTTTTTTGAGACAAAGTTTCATTCTTGTCACCCAGGCTAGAGTGCAATGGAGCGATCTCAGCTCACTGCAACCTCTGCCTCCGAGATTCAAGCGATTCTCCTGCCTCAGCCTCCTGAGTAGCTGGGATTACAGGTGCCTGCCTCCACGCTTGGCTTTTTTTTTTTTTTTTTTTTTTGTATTTTTACTAGAGACGAGGTTTCATCATGTTGTCCAGGCTGGTCTCGAACTCCTGACCTCAGGTGATCCGCCTGCCTCGTCCTCCCAAAGTGCTGGGATTAAAGAAGTGAGCCACCGCGCCTGGCCCTGTTTGTCTTCTTTACCAGATTCCTCTGGGGGTATGAACTGTGTCCAATTCATCTTCATAGAGCTCACCATTAGACTCTCACATCTTCCGGAATATATGTAAATGTGACTTTCTACATCTTCTTGGTCCATAAATGTTTCTTAAATATTTGTGGGACCTCTTTTCCTATGATCATTTATTTGCTATGCCATAGTTTTGGGCAGGTTATGTTTTTCCTCGTATGTGGTCCTCTTAAATTAGTTCATCTGAAATCATTAATTACTGTACTGTTTTTACCCAGACTTACTGGTAGATTATTTTATATAGTAGTTACTAAATCAGTACGAAATATTTTTGCCACTTGGTTATGTTCACTTTGACCTTTTATGAAGTACTAGCATAAATTTTTATCTCTTTTTTGTGTATATGTCAGCGTGTGTCAGTCTTATCTGCAAAAGCATTTCAGCTTATTGGAGAGGATTTTAGATCGAGTACATGTATTTATTTTTTACTGACTCCTCCTCCTCACCTCCCTGATCCCTCTCTCCAGTTGTCTGCAACACATTCTACTGTGAAGTTTTTCTTAAAACTTCCCAGGAAGAAATATTTTATCTGTAATCTCTATATCACCATAATTCCCTCACTAATTATAACATCAGCTTATTAGTGGTTTAGCAATCTGTCTTACTCTCACAGGCTCTTGGCTGCTTAAGGGCAGGGACCTCTCTGTCATTTGTATATATTTAGCACTTAAGGTACTGGCAAATAGTAGACATCAAAAAGTGCTTTTTCCTCACCTATCCTATTTTACAGAATTCCATTTGTAACTGCAAGACCTCTCATTGTTCCTTGGAATGGACAGTCTAAGGCCCGTATCTGGTATGATTTCCTCAGACATAAGGAGGAGGAAGTACGCATTTCAGAGAATAAAGGAGAGCTTGCAAATCTTGCCACTTGTTTGTAATTTAGGTTTAAGTATTCATTTGAAGCACTTAACATCCTAACCACCGAAACACATGATTAGGAACTCAAATTTGAGAAATACAACAAGATGGTAAGATGAGTCAGAAGGATACATCATTTTTGTGATTAGTGTTCCAACACTATTCTTTATCACGTTTAAGCAAAGAAGATGAAAGAGATTCAAGCTTTTTCAGAGGGTAACACAAACTTTATATTATTCCTATTCCTTATTGCCTAGGAACCTCAAGTAACTTCCACTAATAGGTTTCTCTTGCTCCACACTTCCAATAGATTTTCTTTCACTTCTGAAATAAAGCAGTATTGCTTGTAATTTTGTTACTGAGAAAACCAACAATGCAAATGAAAGCATGTTAGTTAACAAAATTCAGTCACTAGCATTGTGTTCTATGGCAATCACTTAACTTCTCTGAAACTTAATTTATTGATCTGTAAAACAAGAAGATAGGGTTTTAAGAGGTATGTATTTCTATGAGTCTATAATTAGAAATTCTCATGTGCTGTGTCAAAACTCCCATGGATTAAAAATAACTCTTTAATAATGATTCTAAATGTAATACACACCCATTAAAGAATATCTGTAAAATTATGTATAAAGAAAAAAACCCTCACAATCCTATTACTCATGGGCCTTATTGTAAGGATCCTAAAGCAGCTAAAAATATCACTGACAGGTTTTTAAGATGTCAGAATGTCACTGGTCTGGATCTTATTTTTATTTCCAACAGCAGGGTCATTAATTTTTTTCCTCTCTCTTCTGCTGTATTTTTCTGCATACTATAAAAAAGTTCAATAACTGCCCGGAGAATGCATTAGGTACAGTTTTCCACACAATCCTCTTCTCCAGATCTATTTTATGGGATCTCCTGTATGATCTAAAACACTATCCACAGTTGTTCATTGCTTAAGCTCTAATGGATAAAGTTTGAACACTATAATTTCACATTTAAAAACACTTTAATTTGGCAAAATCTCATCCCAGCCTTCCTTTCCAGATTCACTGTTCTCCGTTCCAAATTGCTCTATAGGTAAACTGGCTGCCTGGAGGCTGTTCACTCTAATGTGTGAGTCAGTTAGAGGGATGGTCCACCCAGGCTGGGCCTTGGACACTTCTAGTCCTCATCACCTATTGGTCACTTCATCTAGGGTGGCCAAGCGCCTAATATTCAGAGAGAATCTGGGCAAGAATGAAGATTTAAAATTCTAATGGTAGTGGTTTCAATTCCTGGTAATATGGAATAAGCACACTCCACTGTCTCTGCCAGTGAATCAAGCTATAAATCAGCAATTTGAGGACTGGAAAAGAAACAGCAGCAGGAAAATTGAGAAGACGACCAGAATTCCTTATTTAACATTTACCTTCCTGATAATATTGTTATAAAAAATACATTTACAGTATTTCAATAAGTAGATGGGAAAACTGAATACAAACATAATCCCTTGAACTGTAAAAGTAAATACTTTCCAAAAAAAAAAAATCGAATTTGGGCAAGGATAACTTAGTAAAGTGTTTTAAAGTGGATCAAGTAGACAAACAATCCTCTGCAGTATTTCAAAGTAGCAGAGCACACAGGTTTGGATTGAGATCTTGGTTCAAATCCTGACTCTACCTCTTATTAGCTGTCTGACCTTGGATAAGTTACGTCAGCTCTGTGAATTTATTCCCTCATTGCAAAATGGAGAAAATAATAGTACCAACCTCACAGAATACTGAGTGGACTAATTAGGTAACGAATGCAAACCATTAAGCATACTGCTGGCACCTATAAAATGTTCAGTAAAGTTAGCTATTAGTAGCAATAGTTTCCTCCGAATTCCAAAGGACTTATTCTACGCCCTATTTGCTCAACTACTAATCTTTATTGGACATACCGCTACAAAAAGAAATCGGTATGTTCCTTTGCTTCCAAGAATGAACGACCTACAGTTTAAAATGCAATATACCACTAAAAAGAAAAGTTTTAGTTAAATGCGCCCTCTAGTGGTATGTTATGTGTAAGTACCTTGCATCTACCAAAGATAAAACCTCTTCATGAAATGTCACTACCCTGAAACCAGCTGGTTGAGATCATTACAGTATGGGCAGCACTACCACACATCTTTTAGGAAGTTCCCTATCTTCAAGAGCTGGAAGTTGCTGTTGTTTGTTTGTTGTCTTTTAAAACTTTCTCCACCATATGAACTACGGTATTTGTGATATGTACCATACCAAATCTCAACATTCCTACAAGCACTGACTTTAAAATCCCTTCTCTTAAAGAAAACTGGGCCACTTTCTAGTTTGCTTTAAACAAACATCGCAAAGTACTTATTCTTCATTTACTTAACAAATACGAGGGCCAGGCGCGGTGGCTCACGCCTGTAATCCCAGCACTTTGGAGGGAAGAGGTGGGCGGATCGCCTAACTCAGGAGTTTGAGACCAACCTGGCCAACATGGCGATATCCCATCACTACTAAAAATACAAAATCTAGCCGGGCGCGGTGGCGGGCGCCTGTAATCTCAGCTACTTGGGCGGCTGAGGCAGAAGAATCGCTTGAACCCGGGACGCAGAGGTTGCAGTGAGCCGAGATCGCGCCATTGCACTCCAGCCTGGGCGACAAGAGCCAAACTCCTTCTCAAAAAACAAAACAAAACAAAACAAAAAAACAAATACGCAGTGAGCACCAAGGATGTACCAGGCAATGAGGATACAATAAACTTACACAATTATTGTGTAATTACAAATGTGAACCGTGTCATAAGAAAGTATAGACTGCCGTGAGCACACAGTAGGGGATTGGTCTAGTATGGGGGTAGGGGGCTGGAAGGCTTTCTTGAGAATAAAATACTTAAAGCCTTGAAGGGTGAGTAGAAAGTAACTGGAAGAAGAAAAGGAGTACCATACAAAGAGACTAGCAAATGTAAAGGCCTGGAGATGGCAAGGTACACACGGCATTTGAGAAATTGAAAAAATGATCCTATGCACGGAGCTCAAAGGAGAGACTGAGCAAGGTGAGGCTAGGGAAGTAGGCAGGGACTTCATAAGGAGTTCGAATTTCATCCTAAAACAATGGGAAGCGAAGGGAGAGTTTAAAGCAGTACAGCAGTACTGCTTTAAATGTAATGATTTACATTTTCAAAAGTTCCGTTCCTACGACACGGAAAATGGATTTCAGGGAGTTGGGGCAGAATGAATCCCCAGACCAGTTGTAGAACTACAGGTACAATATGGGACAAGGGAGGAGGTGCCAACAGAGATAAAAAGAAGTGGACAAATATTCAAAAGGTTAAATGGATTGAGCAAACTGTTGAGAGTAGTGGTCCTGGTAAATTGCATTTTTTCACTAGGCACAGCTGGTGGTGGTATCCATTTGCAAGAAGCTACAGAAAATGAGCCGTTTGGAAATCCAGGGTTTTCCTCTTAAAAAGAGAACTTGTTTGGCTACAAAGTGTTAACATTTTAATTGAATGCTCAACGAGCACTGAAGGGGGGACATGAGGCACTGCCTCTCACCCAAGAGAGCCCCCAAATGTCCTTTTCAGACTTTTATCACAGTGACCCACTCCCACCGCGCCTTTACCTTGCCTCTGCCTGGAATGTCCTTAACTCCCTCTTGCCGGCAATTTCACCAGATTTTTGATTTCTTATCCAGTCTCACGGGAAGCCTTTCCGGCATCTCCCACCCTACCGATCTTCCCGTCTATCTCGCCTGCTACACTGTGAGTTCAGACAGCACGGATTGAACTCTTCATCTTTTCGTGTCGGCGTCCTGCACAGGGCCATCCCATCACTAAGCGCGCCACAAACTCAGCCCAGTATTGACGCCCACGAGTCGCTTGTAAAGACCGTCTGTGACGCCGGAAGTGACGCGCTCTCGGGCACTATGTGCTTCCGGTCTCCAATACCGCAGGAGGGCGGTCTTCCCCGGCTCGCCAACTCGGCTGCTCTGGGGGATTCGTGCGCGGTAAGAAGCTGCGCGGTAGCGCGGTGAGGTGAGGTTCTCAGCCACCAAAGCTGCAGGGTCTCGTCGTTCGTTCCCTCTGGCCTGGCGGAACTTGCGTGGGAAGCTGGGAGGACAGAAGGCTTAGCCGCTGGGTCCCTGAGCTGGCTGGAGCGCGGGCTGTCTAGGGGCGGCGACCTCAGCTGTTGGGCTCCGGCTGCTGGGGGCTGTGCGTCCAGCCGCCCTGGAATCCGCCTGTGGGTGGGCCGCTTGGCTCTCCCACTTCACCCTCTTGATAACCCAGAGCCTCCCCCTTCCCACGTACGTAGGGGAAGGATAATCTACTTCCTTTTGAACAGCTTCGGTCCCCACTATGACAGTCGCATAAACTTCAGCGAAGAGTGCGCTGGTAAAGTGGCATGGAGTTTCTCACACCAATTCATTGGGTCCACCCTTCAGCTTCTGTGGAAGGGGTCTTTCTGTTACTAGGAGCTGAGACTTGGGGGGTTGCCAGGGATGCTGGTCTTAAAAGGTGATAATTTAGGCCGGGCGCGGTGGCTCACGCCTGTAATCCCAGCACTTTGGGAGGTCGAGGCGGGCAGATCTCCTGAGCTCAGGAGTTCGAGACCACCCTGGGCAACATGGTGAAACCCCTTCTCTACTAAAATACAAAAAATTAGCTGGGCGTGGTGGCACGCGCCTGTAATCCCAGCTATTCGGGAGGCTGAGGCCCGAGAATCGCTTGAGCCCTGGCGGCAGAGGTTGCAGTGAGCCAAGATCGCCCACTGCACTCCAGGTTGGGCTACAGAGTGAGACTCCGTCTCAACAACGACCACAACAACAACAAAAAAGGTGGTGGCTTAATACAGCCATGCTCCCCTTAAGAACTGGTATAGTTATGAGAAATGGTTGGGCCGTTTCGTGGTTGTGTGAACATCATAGTGTACTTGCACAAACCTACACAGCTGGGCCGTATGGGATAGCCTGTTACTCCTAGTCTACAGACCTGTACAGTATAACTACTAAATACTGTAGGCAGTTGTAAAAGGATGGTGTGTATCTAAACACAGAAAAGATACTGTAAAAATATAGTGTAAAAGAAAACATGGTACAGCTGAATAGGGCACTTACGCATGGAGCTTGCAGGGCTGTCGGTAGCTATTAAGTGAGTCAGTGAGTGGTATGTGAGTGTGAAGGCCTACGATATTATTTAGGGTATTACTGTACACTACTGTAGACTTTATAAATGCGGTATGCTTAGTCTAAGTTTATTAAAAATAAGGTAATAACCTTAGCTTACTGTGCTTTTTTAACTTTATAAACTTTTAAATTAATTTTAACTCCTTGACCTTTTTTTTTTTTTTTTGAGACGGAGTTTATTCTCTCTGTCTCTCATTTTTGAGACAGAGTTTTGCTCTTGTCACCCAGGCTGGAGTGCAGTGGCGCAATCTCAGCTCACTGCAACGTCCACCTCTTGAGTTCAAGCGATTCTCCTGCCTCAGCTTCCCAGGTGGTGCGCGCCTGTAGCTGGGACTACAAGAGTGCGCCACCACGCCCAGCTAATTTTTGTATTTTTAGTAGAGATGGGGTTTGACCATGTTGGCCAGGATGGTCTCGATATCCTGACCTTGTGATCCACCTG
Organism: Homo sapiens; assembly: GCF_000001405.40. Taxonomy (NCBI): domain Eukaryota; kingdom Metazoa; phylum Chordata; class Mammalia; order Primates; family Hominidae; genus Homo; species Homo sapiens. Next base: position 81,303,289 of record NC_000005.10, read on the forward strand.
GCCTTGGCCTCCCAAAGTGCTGGGATTACAGGCGTGAGCCACCATACCCGGCCCACTCTTTTGTAATAACACTTAGCTTAAAATGCTAATGTGTTGTATAGCTATATAAAAATATTTTCTTTATTCCCTTACATTATTCTATAGCTTTTTCCTGTAAAAATTTTTTTTGTTGTTATAAACTAAGACACACACATTGTGCCTACACCGGGTCAGGAGCATCAATATCACTCTTTTCTTCCTCCACATCTTGTCCTACTGGAAGGTTTTCAGGGGCAGTAACATGAATGGAGCTGTCATCTCCTATAATAACTGCTTTTTTCTGGAATACTTATAATTGTCTAGTATTATGTACAGTACATCATTGTAAGCATTATGCTTGTATATGACTGGCATCCCAGGTTTGTTTACACCAGCATTACCACAGACATGAGTAATGTGTTACACTACAAGTTATGAGGGCTACAAAGTCAATAGGAATTTTTCAGCTCCATTATAATCATCTGAGACCAGTATCATGTGTGCAGTCGCTGTTGACCTAAATGTTATGTAGCATGTGACTAGCTGATGAATCTTTGATTATGGCTGAATGTTCTCATTCATTGCAGGAAAAAAATATCCTCCAAATCACTAGGTAGTATGTAAGTGACCAAAACTTTTTTCCATTTTATGTTGGAGCCAAATCATTAGTGTTAGGATAAATTACTTCTTTATGTATGTGCTCTAAAATGAAAAGTTATTTCTGAATATTAAAGCATATGTATTAAGAGTATAAAAACAAGATACAGATTTTGGTGTGAAATATATCTTATGATTCAAGTCATAATTTAAATAGAATTGAAGATGATGTGAAATCACTGGGCTGGAAGTAGCTTATACCTTGATTAGTAAGAGGAAGCCCGGGATCATCCTGTGATGGTAAACACTTTTATATGTTTTACTTATAACTTTGCCAGGAAATTTCAACAAACTTCATATTAAAGGACATGATTTCTGTATACTTAGTAATCTGCTATGCAAATTGTTGCATTGAAATGGCAGACGAAGCAAGAAGATTGGGAGAAAGTAGCTGTGGGACTTGGAGATAGGAAAATAAACAGCCGGGAAAACTGCAGAATGTGGGAGGAATAATTGCATTCATTGTATTACTATCTGATTTATATTTTATGAAATAATTTGGTTTCTTAAGATAGTTTTTCAATTTTAAGCACACCTTTTTTAACTGGTGTGGCAGCTTTTCTGGTAAGTGGTAGATTTATGTTAGAAGCATGTCTATGCAGCATATTATAGCATTAAATATGTATACAGATATCTAACTGAAATAAAAAGTGTTTTAATAATTAAAAGTTTAACATATGGGCATATGTGACATATAGTGATATAGCATGTCTCTTTAGTTTTGTTGTTTTTGTTGTTGATGGCTAACCACCCATGCTTGTCTTAAAAATTGATAAGGTACCACTGATGAAATTATGACCAGGTGGGCCCGAGTTAGTACCACATATAACAAGAGACCCTTGCCTGCAACATCATGGGAGGACATGAAGAAGGGATCCTTTGAGGGAACAAGCCAAAACCTACCAAAGCGTAAACAACTTGAAGCCAATAGGCTATCCCTCAAAAATGATGCACCCCAAGCAAAACATAAAAAGAACAAAAAGAAAAAAGAGTACTTAAATGAAGATGTGAATGGATTCATGGAATACCTAAGACAGAATTCACAGATGGTTCACAATGGGCAAATTATAGCAACAGACAGTGAGGAAGTAAGGGAAGAAATTGCAGTTGCTTTAAAGAAAGACAGTCGACGGGAAGGAAGAAGATTAAAAAGACAAGCGGCAAAGAAAAATGCAATGGTGAGAGCATCACTTCTACCATGTTATTTACTTTATTTAGCTGGAAACTATTCTTATATTCACACACATATATACCTTAGCCAGCTCTGGTTACCATTATGTCCCAGATTTATAGAGCATCGTTTTAAGGACTAGTACTTTTTTAGCACATATATGCTAGGCACATGATGTACTGGTTAATTATTACAACAACACAGCAAAGGTGATGGCATATATTCCCATATTATGGATGGCAAACACTGAAGTGCAGATAGATTAAATAACCTGTGGAAGCCACTTAGCTAGTAGCAGAGGTGACATTCAAACCCAGCCTGACTTCAAAACCTACGTTATAGACCAGATGTGGTGGCCCATGCCCGTGATCCCAGCACTTTAGGAAGCTGAGGCGGGAGGATCACTTGAGCCCAGGAATTAAAGACGAGCCAGGGCCACATAGGGAGACGCCATGTCTACCAAAAAAAAAAAAAAAAATTAGCCAGGTGTGGTGGTACACACCTGTGATCCCAGCTACTACTGCCAGCTGAGGCAGGAGGATTGGGCCTGGGAGGTCGAGGCTACAGTGAACCATGTGATCAACCGCTGCATTTCAGTCTGGGTGACAAAACGAGAGTTCGTCCTCCAAAAAAACCAAAACCTATCCTCACCTTCCAATAGCCCCTTTTTCAAATTAGCATTGAGAAAATGTCAAAATTATGAAGAAGATGAAGTAGAACAGGTTAAATGTGTGTGGGTCCCTATTACTTGGAAAGGATGTTCTTTATCTATGAAATACTGAAGCACAGGAAAGAGATACATAGGAGTCATACTAGTTAGAGCAGAGTAATAGCAGAATTGAAAGTCCTTGAGACTCCCTAGTCATTGCTTCCTCCCTCCCCCATATTACATTCAGAAGAATGCTGGGGGCAGCAGGTTTCTTTCTCTAATGCCTAGCCCTAGATTTTAAAGTATGTCAGGCAAAGGGGATGAAATACTTGGTATAATTATTTCCCTTCTCTAAGTGAGTTTCCCAAGCCTCCTAGTACACCACTTCATAAGAATGAGGACTTGTTGCTAGTTATTATACTTTTATTTTTTATTAGTATTACTATATGTAGAGCACTGTTTGCACCATTGCAGGCTTAAAATGTTAACAGCCTCTATAAATGTGTCTTTTGGCTGTTTGCAAGATTAGTCTATGCATTGTTATATTTAAAGATAGTTATTTAGAGATAATACTGATGAAACATTCCTTATGGATAAATTTGAATAGAAAGGATAACATTTCTGTTGGTATCAGGATAGAGTTTTGTGTAAGTTAACGATTTTTAAATATTTTAAGTCATTTTAGTTTAGTTGACATAGGCGGTATGGTGAATCACATACCATTTGAAAACATTTACTGTTATGACCGCTTAAGAAAAGCATTATGTTTGTAATTAAGTGGGGAAGGATATTGTTTTTTAAAAAGGGGAGTGCTATATAAATAGTATATGGCTTGTTATGACCTGTTGTTAAATTTACTTCCTTGGTATTTTTTTAATACCTTATACTAAGCATCGGTCCTTAAATGCTAATAAAATGATATGCTATAGAAATTTACAATCAGTGCTTCACAATCCCATCTACATTAAACTTAAGGACCATTCAAAAATGTTGTATTAGGTGATGATTAGGTTTTAAAAGAGAAGGCAGTGAACTAAGGCAGTAGTCTCAGCTTAGTAGAGACCACCTTGACTTCACCAAGAAGCCAAGACTTCTTATGGTGGTGATGCAGGTTTTAGCAGTAGCTTTTCCTGCATTTGTATAATAAATACAGCTTCTTTTTTTTGGACCAGCTCATTCTAAATGTACAAGTTACTGAAGAATTTAAAGGGACTCATTCTTTTTCAATATTTTATTAAGTAGGAAAAAAAGGACAGTTGCAAAATAAATGTTTTATTTTGCTGGTTGAATTTGCTTTTTAAAAAAACCTGTGCTTATTTTGAAAAAACATAATTAAATGACTATTTATTATCCAAGAAATATGTATATCTTTTTCCAGTTTAAATAAAATAGTTTAAATATCTGCCATCTTTGATTATGGTTGATGTTCTCATTTATTGCAGCAAAAAAATTCTTCAAATTTCTGTAAACAACTAACCATTGCTCAGTTTTATGTTGGAGCCAAATAATTCATCTTGGAATAAATTATTCCTTTAAAATGTATTGTGCATATATTCTAAAAATGAAACCTATTTCTGAATATTAAAGAATGTGTATGGCTGGGTGTGGTGGCTCATGCCTGTAATCCCAGCACTTTGGGAGGCTGAGGCAGGTGCATCAGGAGATCGAGACCATCCTGGCCAACATGATGAAATCCCATCTCTACTAAAAAATACCAAAATTAGCTGGGCGTGGTGGTGCGTGCTTGTAATCCCAGCTACTTGGGAGGCTGAGGCAGGAGAATCATTTGAACCTGGGAGACGGAGGTTGCAGTGAGCCGAGATCACGCCACTGCACTCCAGCCTGGTGACAGCGAGATTCTGTCTCAAAAAACAAAAAAGTATTTAGGGTAAAAAACAAGGATATACTTTTTGCTATGAAATATATCTTATGGCCAGGCGTGGTGGCTCATGCCTGTAATCCCAGCACTTTGGGAGGCCGAGGCGGGTGGATCACCTGAGGTCAGGAGTTCGAGACCAGCCTGGCCAACATGGTGAAACCCCGTCTCCACTAAAAGTACAAAAATTAGCCAGGTGGTGGTACACACCTGTAATCCCAGCTACTTGGGAGGCTGAGGCAGGAGAATCACTTGAACCCAGGAGGCAAAGTTTTCAGTGAGCTGAGATTGGGCCACTGCACTCCAGCCTGGGTGATGGAGTAAGACTCCGTCTCAAAAAAAAAAAAAAAAAAAAAAAAAAAAATCTATCTATCTATCTATCTATCTATCTATCTATCTTATGGTTTGAATCATAATTTGAATGGAAATGTCTGACCCAAATTCATTCAATTATGTGAACTTTAAAAGAAATATTAATTTTTTAAAATTTTGAGTACATAATTATATACAAATACAAATTTTGAGTGACAGTTTTTATAGCCACTGTCCATTTCCTATAGAAAATGCCATTTTTCTACTGCAGACATTCCAGTTAATAAAATGAATAGTCCATATTTGCTCAATTCATTTAAGCAATTGCCGTCTACAAAGCCACATATATAACATTGTTCCTGAGATTTATGGATTTATTGATTGAGGTTTTCAAAAGCAATGAAACCCTCTGATGGAAAGGATATCTCGTTGTTTAGGAACGTATGAAAGCTTTTTTCTACAAATATTGAGATTTCAGAAAAATAGCTTAATAAGATGAGAAATGTTTTAAATATGTTTTTGATAACAAGAATTAATAAAGTCACTGGTATAGTTTTGCAGCGTGCCAACCTACGTTTTGTTTTCCTAGGTGTGTTTCCATTGTAGAAAACCTGGTCATGGAATTGCAGATTGCCCCGCCGCCCTTGAAAATCAAGACATGGGCACTGGGATATGTTACAGGTGTGGGTCCACAGAGCACGAAATAACCAAGTGTAAGGCTAAAGTAGACCCGGCTCTTGGTATGTGTTTCTTTCAGTTTTTTGTTTTGTTCATGGGGAAAGCCAATAAATAGCACCTTGGGTATTTTTTTAACACAATTTGTTACGAGTGTGCCACTTAGTATTTGGAAATCATATGAGATTAAATTTTAAGTTATGTAAATATATTTTTTATTCAGAGTATTTTAAAATAATGTTAATTTTATGACTTGCCATATGTATTGTCAACTGAATAGGAACTGTTGATTTTTACAGGCGAATTTCCTTTTGCAAAATGTTTTGTTTGTGGAGAAATGGGGCACCTGTCTAGATCTTGTCCTGATAATCCCAAAGGACTCTATGCTGATGGTAAGTACTGTTACCCTCATATAGCAGAAATGGTGAGTCATCGTGCAGTTGTGATTTAATTTACACTCAATCACAGTTCTTGAATAAATTCTTGAATAAATTGCAAAACCTTGAGAATTACATTATTTTTATCAAGTGCTATCATATGTACTAGGCTTTTTGTGCAATTTGACTTCAGATGTTAATAAAACAAATCAGAAAAAACTAAGGTGTATATTTCCAACTGTGCTTGCTTCATCATTTGTGAGACTATGTCATACATTTCTACTTTTAGACATAACAGAAGCAGAGAGATTATATCTCAAGCTAATATGAGGTTTTTAAAATCGTATTATATATTCAGCCTCAGCCAGCATATCATTTTGGTGGAGGGGTGGGTACAGATGATTCAATATTGTAGTAATGTTTGCTTCTGAATTTTTTTTCTTAGTTATTTGTCTGGTATGGGATCATGTAGCTTTTTTCTCTTTAACTCGGGTAATTAAGGTTCACACAGTAAAGTCTATGCGGTCTAAAGCTTTAAGGCGGAGGTTGTTATCTGTTAATGTGATGGCTGGTGCCATCAGGCTCTAGACGTTTCTTGTGTCATGTCCTGGGTTTCCCTCCTGGAGAAGTCCAGTGAAAAAGCATAGCTTTTGGAGTTGGTCAGACTTGGGTTACAGCGCCAGCACTGCCACTCACTAGCTGGGGGGCTTTGGCCAACTACCAAACTCTGATCTCCGTTTCCTCACCTATAGAGTGGAGATGATAAAACTATATTTTATTGATTCTAAGATGCACAGTTTTTCAATTTTAATCTCTTGGAAATCAGAATGTATCTTACCGTTGGTGGGTCCCATATAATTGACAGCTGTTTTTCTTTCTGAGAGGTATGTGCAATAATGATACATCTTATAATCAGTGGTGTCTTAGAGTTGATGAATTATGGTATTTGCCTAAAGAATTTTTATAAGGATTAAAATGTATTATTCAAGTGCTTCTCTTTCACTATGGCATATAAAGAGGCCAGGGCCTGGAAAATGCTCAGGTGCATTTCAGTTTTGAGCTTATAAAACTGGGTAGATAACATGACTAGTGAGCAAAAATGGCTTTCACTGGTCAACCAAAGTGACTAGCTGTAAAAAAAAAAAAAAAAAAAAAAATTAATGCAGCAAGGAGAGTAGATCCCATAGATGTGAAAATTTGGCCATATTTGCCTGTGTGTGCCTTGATTTTATACCTTGTAATCTTTTGTTTACAATAAGGGGCTTTCTGCGATTTGTTTTAATTTAGAACACTTTAGTAGCAATAGAAACACTGGATACATTTTTGTATGGTACATTTGATGTATATAGAATTAGTACTTTATTTTTAAGAGGTAAAGCATTATGTTGGGGGAAAAGTAGGGTGGGTTTCCACATTTGCATTTTTATGTTAAAAATAAAGTCAAGATTTGGGGGAAAAAAAAAAGAAAATTCAGCCAGATTTGTATCTGATTAGGTCATTTTTCTAAGTCACTTAACATTTCGAGCATGATCAAGATAATGCTTGACCATTAAGCAATAGTGTTTGATCATTAAGTGAAACACTTATTTTAGAAACCACATGTGTTGTAATTCACAATCCTGGAATGTTGTTTAAAGTAGGCAGGTGGGCATTTTTATAGGGTTAGGGTGCCTGGCCAGTGGAAGGCACTGAAACAAAAATTAACTTTATTTCTTTCATAAATGCTTACCCCCATCTGATCTGTACAGTAGAACAGTAGTTTCTAATCTGTTTTTGGGCCATTGACTGTTTGAGAATCTGACATGCTATTCAGGAAAGTGCATCTGCTTACATCTTTTGTTTACAGGTCCAAGGGTTCACAGACTCTTGATTGTCTAAGCATTGTTAAGATCCAGGCTTCTGTGCAATAGCTCTTGAACAAGTGCCTTCCATCATATCTCATTTCTTTTTCCTACTTCTCAAGGCCAGGTGCAAGAAGCAGTGGGTGGGTACAATTTAGTGCTCTGTGAGGTTAAAAGGAATGGAGAATGAATTAATAGGAATAGTGGCACCTCCCTATGATCCTGGTCTAGCTACCTTTACAACTGACAGGGTTGTGAGGATCCAGTAAGATGTGAAAGTGCTTTGAGATGTTAAAAACCCCTTGCAAGTATGAGATGGTATTCAGTGGCTTTGCTCTTTCAATAGGTGGCGGTTGCAAACTTTGTGGCTCTGTGGAACATTTAAAGAAAGATTGCCCTGAAAGTCAGAATTCAGGTGAGATCTCTGGGCCTCTACTTAGAAGGGGTGAGATTAGTATTCCTCTGCGTTTTATTCTGCACTTGTTATTAATAACTCAATTGGGATACTAATGATTTTAAGACAACCTGTTTTCCTACTGTAGCAATGACTTAATCTCTGTCAGCAATAGACACACATAGTATTGAGTAACTGAATAGTTGGGGGAAAAAAGTGACCAGTAAGCCTTAGGGGACCCTGACTTTATAAGACACCTGATTCATAAGCATTTATATTTGCTAACTAATGAATTTAATATAATAGAGCCAATTCTGTTACTTACAGAAAAATATGAATTCACTGAGAAAATAAAAAATATGAAATAACTTTCAATAGCCTTAATATTGAGTGTCCTTATGTATGCTTTGCTTTGTATGTACCTAAAAGATTCAGAGTTGATTGCAGAAACTACCAAAAATATTAAAAATGTGTTATCTACACAGTATCTGGCGATTTTCTTCCTGATGAAATACCAGCCTTATTCATCAAACACTTCAGAGATGTTCACTCTACCTATGGCAGACTTTTAAGGAAGTGGAGATCATTATTACATTAGTTTGCCTGGACTAGAATGATAATCCTATGTGAAGGAAAGCAAGAAGACAGTAGGATAGCCCAGCAGTGCTTCTTATGGAAAGAGCACTTTTTTTTATTTCACGTAGTCACAACACTACGCAAATAAGTCTGCTCATTCTTACTTCCTATCCCTAACATTTAAATTTGAAAACCAAGAGTTCTTATTTACAAGCTTGTCTAGAAGATAGTCTTTAGTACATTGTAGGCAGTGAGATTGAAATGATGAAGTGGAATTTGAATTCTCCCTCCTGGGAGGATTGCCACTTCCCAAATGACAAGACTGACAAGCAGATGTTGTATAATTTCACAGGTGGAATCTTGTGCATTTAAAACTGATGCTTCATAAGCCTTGCTGTTTACAGACTCTTGGAATTCATTGACTCTGTAATGATGAACTCTGGGAAAGAATGAAAGAGCTTTCTCATCAGTTCGTGCATTGCAAAGTAGTTGCTGCATTTCCCTAATTGGGATGAGAAATTGCCTGTGGTACTCTGAAATCAAGGGTTATAATCAATTACAGAATTGCTCACTTTCCTTTAGTGATGGAGTCTTCCCTCCTTGTGATTATTCATATCAAAATGAGTTCCTTTCCCAAACCAATAACAATCTGAGTGGATGCATTTGATTACTGTTTTTCTAACATTCTGATTTTTCTATTCCTTTACAGAGCGAATGGTCACAGTTGGTCGCTGGGCAAAGGGAATGAGTGCAGACTATGAAGAAATTTTGGATGTACCTAAACCGCAAAAACCCAAAACAAAAATACCTAAAGTTGTTAATTTTTGATAACAGCTAGCACTATCATGAGTTACTACCTCATTGTTACTTTCTAAACCAGGCCCGCTTCACGAGTTAGAGTTGAGCTCCCCTGTAGCCAGGACTATGCTGTAGATATCAGTATGATCTGGGTGTGGCCAAAAACAATTTTCTTTATTCTGTCTATCAAATAGTACTTCTACCACTGTTTGGAGAAAATTGAAGAAAAGAATAAGATGATTAAATGAATTCTCTAAAAGAACATATTTTAAGAGACAGAACTTAGACATAACCAAGTAGTTGTATACCTGATTGTAACAATCATCTTTTATAAAAGCAAAATTATGCATAAATGTAAAACACCCCTAAACAAAGGGAACAAATGAATTTTTGGTTATATTGTTTTCTTGGCTCAAAGTATCAATTTATTATTATAATAGAAATTTATAAGTTGCTAGAAAGTCTATATTTTTAAAGTACGGAATAAAAATATGTTTTCTATTAAGCAATAGAAATATTTTTGTGTATAATTTTTCTGAATACTTGATTCTCGATTGAAATATCCATTGTTCGTTAATATCCATGTAACAATCCCATTGGAAACAAGATTTTTTTTGAATCCTAGATGAGAATAAACAGGGATTTGGTTTTTGTTTTAGTTTTGACATAAAGGATTCCAAGTTACTGAAGTTAAAATTGAAATATCTCAGTTTAACAGCAGCTCTTTTTTGCCCTTGATTTTCAAGAGAGAACTTCTAGCCAAAATTCAGTTTTTGTTACTTAACCAGAATGATGGCAGATAACAGATGGTATAATAAACTTAATAGCATTTTGTTCTCATGTTTTAGATGAGTCAGAGTAAGATGGAAGTATCACCATAATAGAGTTAGAACACTAATCAGAGACCCATTAGCTTCTTTGTTTGATTTGATGAATTCATGCATACTTAATACATATATTTCACAAGGCTTAACACTACCATTGTACTGTATAATGGAATGACTCTAGTGGTTTTGTGTTTCATTTGAAATTTTACCTGATTGAATCCATTTGTAACTAAAGGAAACAGCTGTGATTAGTTACTGATGCCTCAAAAGCAAAATATTTACCAAATAAGAAAAGAAACACTTTTCTCTGTTTTCATCTCTGCACAACTCGACAGTTCTAGTCTTAATAGGAGCTGTTCTTTTATTTCAGTGTGAGAGGAAAACATGACAAAATACTGCTCAGCATCCCAGAGCTTAAGGAAATGAGTGCTATTTAGAAGGAATTGCACAAGCCAGGCAGTTGGAAAAGGACAGTAATGCTGCCTTAGTCATCTAGTCCGAACGCACCCAGATTTATTTCACCTGTCCCATCAGGAGCAGAGTCTACAGCCTGTCAGCTGAAAGTTAGGTCTAATGCTTTTTGTAGTCTTCAGTGCAAGAATGTTGGTATCCACTTTGTCTTTTTTGGATTACTTTTTGTGTGTGTGTGTGTGTATAATTTTTTTTTTGATAGCTCACTCTGTCACCCAGGCTAGAGTGCAGTGGCACAATCTTGGCTTACTGCAACCTTTGCCTCTTGGCTTCAAGCGATTCTCCTGCCTCAGCCTCCTGAGTAGCTGGGATTATAGGCACGCACCACCACACCCCGCTAATTTTTGCATTTTTACTAGAGATGGGGTTTCACCATGTTGGCCAGGCTGGTCTCGAAATCTTGACCTCGTGATCTGCTCGCCTCGGCCTCCCAAAGTGCTGGGATTACAGGCTTGAGCCACCATGCCCGGCCTACTTTGTTTATATTTTAATGATCTATAAATATTAGGCAGTGAAGTCATTAGAAATAAACTGCAGGTACTGAATGTAACATTAAACACGTGTAGAGACACTAAAAGGAATGCACCAGAGGCAGAAATCCTGAGAGATCCTGAGTGTTCATTAAAAGGAACTATAGACGTTGGTTATTTTCTTAGCTAAAAATGCCTAAAGAGGAAGGCAAACAATTTATTCATTCATCTTATATATTTCCCAAGCACTACTATGTTCCTGTTACTCTTATGCACTTGAAATTGTGGCAGTCAGCAAGACAGACAAGACCACATGCATTATAATGGGGCTGAATAATGGACAGGAGACTTAGGGAAAATACCAGCAAGAAATGTTTTATTACATTCCTAAAATATTTTTTGAATCCCCTGAGACTTTAAAAAATTTTTAAGATGGGGTCTTACCCTGTCACCCAGGCTGGAGTGCAGTGATGCAATCGTAGCTCACTGAAGCCTCAAACACCTGGGCTCCAGCGATCCTCCCGCCTCAGCCTCCTGAGTTGCTGGGATTACAATAGGCATGAGCCACTACACCCAGCTGAATCCCCTAAGACTTAGTCTTTAGTGCTCCTTCGGTCTTTTGTAAATTTCATCTCTTCTTACAAACTTATCTTTCACTTTTCCATAAATGATTCCTAAATCTCCAGCTAGCCCTAAAATCCCAGGTTTCAGTCCCGTCTTTTCACCTGCCTCCTGAATGTTCCTACTGGGATGCTCCACTAATACTTCAAATTCAATATGGCTTTAAACAGACTCACTTTCCCCTGGGGAAAAAGTGAGTTTACCTTTTTGTCTCTTTTTTCACTACAATTATGTTCCAAGCCATGAGGCCTGAATCTCAAGTTGCTCTTTACTTGACATTCCCTCCAGTCCCCATGGCCAGCCCCCCATCCCTGCTTATTTCCTTCAGGCATCTGCTATGACCAGCTTGAGTCTTTCTATGACCATCCTTATAGGAAAGAGCAGCTCCTTGCTTCCTCATCCCAATACCTAACACTATAGCTCTATTTGTTCCCTCTCTACCAGATTATAGGTTACACGAGGGCAGGAATTTTGATTCTTGTTCATTGCTATATCCCTAGAAATGCTTGGAATGTATGAAGCATTTGCATTTGTTGAATGAGTTAATTCAATGAGTGATATAAAAGGAATCAACAGAGAGATGATGCAAGTGACTGGGTAGCTCTTAGATTGGATAATCAAGAGGAGGCCTCTGTGGAAATTTTAAAGCTGAAATCTGAATGACACAAAGGAACCAGTCTTGAGTTAGCCAAAACCCCTAAAGAGAGAATGAGTTTGCCATATGTGAGGGACAGAAAGGAGTGTAGCTGAAGCCTAGAGAAGGGCCACATCAGGGCTATTCTGACCACCCTATTTAAAACAGAATCTACATCTCCATCCTAACACTGGCACTCCTGGTTCCCCTTACTTTGCTTTATGTTTTTCTGTGTCATTTATCACCTTCTACCATATTAAGTTATTTATTATATGTGTCGTTTTTGTCCCATCTCTCTGCTAGAATATAATCTCCACGGGGGGTGGATTCTTGTCTGTTCACTGATATACCCCAAATGCCTAAAACAGTACTTAGCACATAGTAGGCCCATAATATGTATTTATCATTTGACGAAGTCAGAGAGGTGGTGGGGGCAGTATCACACTGGAAAATTTAGGAAGCCATGGGAAAGTTTTGGTTTTATTCCCCTAACAGCTTTATTGAGATATAATTCACATACGATAAAATTCACACTTTTAAAGTGTACAACTAACTGGCTTTTAATCTAGTCAGAGTTGTACAACCATCGCCATTAATTCCAGGACATGTTATCACCCCATCAACAGCCAATACCCTTAAGCAGTTGCTCCCTATCCCTTCCTTCCCCCAGCTACTGGCATCTACTAATTTACCTTCTGTCTCTATACAGTTGCCTGTTCTGGACACTTTATGTAAATGGAATCATGCAATATGTGGTTTTTTGTGATTGGCTTCCTTCAGTTAACATGATGTTTTCAAGATTCATCCATAATAATCTATTGCATAGATATACCACATTTTATTCATCAGTTGATGGGCATTTGGGTGTTTGCCACTTTTTGGTTATTATTAACAAGGCTACTGTGAACATTTGTGTATAATCTTGTGAGGACATGTTTTCATTTCTCTTGGATATATACCTAGGAGTATATACCTAGAATATTTTTCAAAGTGACTATACCATTCGATAATCTAATCAGCAATGTATGAGAGTTTCAATTCTCCACATCCTTGGCAACACTTGATTTTGTTTCTCCTTTTTATTTTTGTCATCCCAGTGGGTGTAAAGTGGAATCTCATTGTGGTTTTGATTTGCATCCCCTAATGACTAATGATGTAGAATGCCTTTTCATGTGCTTATTGGCCATTTGTTATATGATCTCTGCAGAAAAGTCCATTCAAATTCTTTTCCTGTATTTTTTAATTGGGTTGTTATTTATTGCAGAATTGAAACGGCTTTATTTATTCTATATACAAATTCTTTAACAGGTTTATGATTTGCAAATGTTTTCTCTCATTCTGTGGTTTGTCTTTTGACTTTCTTGATGGTGTCCTTTGAGGCACAAAAATTTTAAATTTTGATGGAGTTCATCTTATCTGATTTTTCTTTTTATTCTTGTGTTTTTGGTGTTATCTTTGATGTCACACCTAGGAAACCACTGTCTAACCCAAGAGTATTAGTCCGTTCCCACACTGCTATAAAGAACTACCCAAGGCTGGGTAATTTATAAAGAAAAGAGGTTTAGGCCAGGCACAGTGGCTCACGCCTGTAATCCCAGCACTTTGGGAGGCTAAGGTGGGCGGATCACCTGAGGTCAGGAGTTCAAGACCAGCCTGGCCAACATGGCGAAACCCCGACTCTACTAAAAATACAAAAATTAGCCAGGCGCAGTGGTGGGCACATGTAATCCCAGCTACTCAGGAGGCTGAGGCAGGAGAATCACTGGAACCCGGGAAGTGGAGGCTTCAGTGAGCCGAGATCGTGCCACTGCACACCAGCCTGGGCAAGAAAGCGAGACTCCATCCCAAAAAAAAAAAAAAAAAGAGGTTTAATTGACTCACAGTTTCACAGGCTATACAGGAAGCATGGCTAAGAGGCCTCAGGAAACTTACAATCATGGCAGAAGTTGAATGGGAAGCAGGCACAATCTTTACATGGTGGAGCAGGAGAGATAGAGTGAAGGGGGAGGTGCTACACACTTTCAAACAACCAGATTTTATAAGAACTCTGTCACGAGAACAGCAAGGGGAAGTCTGCCCCGATGATTGAATCACTTCCCATCAGGCCCCTCCTTCAACACTGGGAATCACAATTTGACATGAGAGAGGTGGGGACATAGAGCCAAACCATATCACCAAGGTCTGGTTTTCTTCTGAGTTTTATATTTTTAGTTCTTATACTTAGGTTCACAATTTTTTTTTTTTTTTTTTGGAGACAGAGTTTGTAGCCCAGGCTGGAGTGCAGTGGCACAATCTCCGCTCACTGCAACCTCCACCTCCCAGGTTCAAGCCATTCTCCCACCTCAGCCTCCCAAGTAGCTGGGACTACAGGCATGCTGCACCATGCCTGGCTAATTTATGTATTTTTAGTAGAGACAGGGTTTCACCATGTTGGCCAGGCTAGTCTCGACCTCCTGACCTCAGGTGATCTGCCTGCCTCGGCCTCCCAAAGTGCTGGGATTACAGGTGTGAGCCACTATGCCTGGCCCATAATTCAATTTTAATTACTTTTGTGTATATGACTGGAGGTAGGGAATCCAACATCATGTTTTGCATGTGGATATCCAGTTTTCCCAGCACTGTTTGTTGAAAATTTTAGAGTATTCTTTCTTCATTAAATTGTTTTGGTTTCCTTTTTGAAATCATTGACCACAAATATAACAGTATATTTTTGGACTCTCAGTTCTATTCCAATGATCCTTATGTATATCCTTATGCCAGTACCACACTTTTGATTACTATAGCTTTGTACTAAGTTTTGAAATTAGTAAGTGTAAGTCCTCAAACTTTTCAAGTTTATTTTCTCTTGTTTATTTTCTCTTCTCTATTTTCCCTTATATTTTCATATGAATCTCACAATGAGCATTAGTTCATCAATTTCTGCAAAAAAGCCAGCTTCAGTTTCGATAGGGATTGTGTTGAGTCTGTAGATGAATTTGGGGAATATGGCCATCTTAACAATATTAAGTTTCCTGATCCATGAACATAGGGGTCATGATTCTCCTTATTTTCCTTTTAAGTTTTTACCTAGCTTCTTGTTTGCCTCAACTAGTATCACTGCATCAGGCAGTTATGATGTTAAACAATTGCTGCTGATTGTTTTCCACCACACTCAGGAGATGGGGCTGTTTGCACTAAATAAGTGCTAAATCAAAGGCAAGCTTTAGAAAGAGGCTTTTCCAGAGAACTGCCAAGCAGGAAAAACAGTGATAGTTTTCTGGGGATGTTTGTTGGGGGAGAGCTCCAATTCCCCACCCCCACCTCCCCAGTGGCTATTAGGCTGCTATTTTTCACAGCAACTGTAATTGTGAGATTGCTGATTTTCAAAACTACTTAGGACCTGCTGGAGAAGAGAATGGGAATAGGACAAGTTGAAATGCTACAAAACTCATGCTCTTACAGAGATTCAGCTGCTTTTCTTGAATAAACACTCCTTGTATTGTTGCAAGCCTTTGATTCACTTCCAGAGTTCTGAAAAAGCTTATTTGGATAATTTTTGCTAAAGTTTTTGTTACCATTATGAAACAGGTTCCTAGTTGACTATTCTGGACATCCTTCTCCCTGTTGGAAAGCTGTTGTGGTTTCTCAAATAACAACTGTATTGTGATATAATTCACGTATCATATAATTGACTATTTAAAGTGTATAATTCAATGGTTTTAGTATATTCACAGAGCTATGCAACCATAACCACAATCAATTTTAGAGCATCTTCAACACTTTCAAAAGAAATCCATACCAAGCTGGGCGCAGTGGCTCACGCCCTTAATCCCAGCACTTTGGGAGGCCAAGGCGGGCGGATTATCTGAGGTCGGGAATTTGAGACCAGCCTGACCAACATGGAGAAACCCCGTATCTACTAAAAATACAAAATTAGCTGGGCGTTGTGGTGCATGCCTGTAATCCCAGCTACTTGGGTGGCCGAGGCAGGAGAATCGCTTGAACCCGGGAGGTGGAGGTTGCAGTGAGCTGAGATAGCGCCATTGCACTCCAGCCTGGGCAACAAGAGCGAAACTGTCTCAAAAAAAAAAAAAAAGAAACCCATACCCATTAGCAGTCATTCATCCTTCCTATCCCCCAATGCTCACAGACACCCCACCCACCCTACCCTAAGCACCCATGAACCTACTTTCTTTCTCTAAATATTTGCCTACTCTCCTCATTGGGAAGTTTTAAGCTAGGAAGTGACATGCTGTGACAAACCTTTTTAAAAAATATCATTCTGGCTGCTATATGGAGAATAAATTGTAGGAGTACAAGAGTAAACACAGAGAGAGAAATTAGGAAGCTCTTGCAGTAAGAAATGATAGTGTCTTAGACTAGGGCGGTGAATGTGAAGATAGAGAGAAATGGACATAAATTTTGTTTCTGGCAGGAGGGTGAACCTCCAATTTGTCTTACCACCAAAAATACACCCCCAAAATGTGGAATAAATTTATTTTTCAATCTCCTTAAAAGCATAACTGAGTTTACAAGGAAGCACAGAACCTACAGAGGCCAGATATTAAGTGAATGCAGGAGCTTCAGAAGATAAGCCGGTGCTGAAGCTGAGGGTATCTGCTGAATCCTAAAAACTTTGAGCTGCCTGGGAAAGGAAATAAAGTCAAGGGCCTACTTACTATGGGCAGTATGGTTGAAGAACTTTGCATAAAGCAGAGACCAAAGAGCTATACCCTCAACGTAAGAGTGAATGGGACATAAGCTTGCCCTAAAGAAGACAGGAAGAAAACTTGTTGCCTGTCTCCACTTTGGCATTGGGTGGCAGGGGAGAAAAATTGTCCACTATCACCTGAGTTTTCAGTCTTAATTCATACTGCTTGTATGGTCAAATTGGCCTCAACTTGAGATCTTCATTAAAAAATCTGCTGGCAACGGCAGAATCATCACAATCCATTCTGGCAGCCCTCGACTACAACCTAGGCCTCAAAGAATTCACACAAAATTCAAGGGACCAGACTGCATGATAAAATCACAAAAACACACAAGAAAATATGACATTATGAATAAGAGCCAGCAGCAGCAATGAGTAGTAAAATCAATCCTGCAAACATTTCAGGTTTGGGAATTATTAGAGAAAATATAAACAAGTATGCTTTGTGTTTTGTTTTGTTTTGTTTGGGCCACTATAACCAAATACTATAAACTAAACCAGATGGCTTATAAACAACAGAAATTTTTATTTCTTACAGTTCTGGAGACTAAAAAGTCCAAGATCAAGGTGCCAACAGATTCAGTGTCTGTGAAGGCCGGCTCTCTGGTTCAATAGATAGTGCCTTCTTGGCCTGGCAAGATGGCTCACGTCTGTAATCCTAGCACTCTGGGAGGCCCAGGTGGGTGGATCGCTTGAATCCAGCAGCTCAAGACCGGCCTGGGCAACATGGCAAAACCCCGTCTCTACAAAAAATACAAAATTCAGCAGAACGTGGTGGCTTGCACCTGTAGTCCCAGCTACTTGGGAAGCTGGGGGAAAAGGATTGCTTGAGCCTAGGAGGTCAAGGCTGCAGTAAGCTAAGATCGCACCACTGTACTCCAGTCTGGATGACAGAGACAGAGCAAGACCTTGTCTCAAAAAAAGAGAAAAGAAAAAAACCAGATAGTGCCTTCTTGCTGTGTCCTCATATGGTAGAAAGGACAAACAAACTCCTTCAGGCCTCTTTTGTAAGAGCACCAGAGGGCTCAGCCCTCAGACCAAATCACCTCTCAAATGCTCTATTTTAATAGTATCACCTTGGGGGTTAGGATTTCAACATATGAATTTGGGGAGGATATAACATTCAGACCATAGCCATTCATATATTTAAAGAAATTTTAAAAATGGAAAACTTGGGCAAGGAATAGGAGATTGTTTAAAAAAACAAACAAACAAACAAAAAACTACCAGACTTAAAAAGTAACCAATAGAAACTTCTAGAATTGAAATATATAACTGAAATTGAAATTTTAATTTTAGGTCAAAAAATGATAAAGTGGGCCAGGTGCAGTGGCTCACGCCTATAATCCTAGCACTTTGGTGGGGCTGAGGTGGGTGGATTACCTGAGCTCAGGAGTTCAAGACCAGCCTGGGCAACATGGTGAAACCCCGACACTACTAAAATACAAAAAATTATCTGGGCATGGTGGTGCATGCCTGTAGTCCCAGCTACCCGGGAGGCTGAGGCACAAGAATTGCTTGAACCTGGGAGGCAAAGGTTGCGGTGAGTGGAGATTGTGCCACTGCACTCCAGCCTGGGAAAC